>NC_000004.12:1748048-2054545 GCF_000001405.40 Homo sapiens
CCTGCAGCTGCCTCCCTGGGCTGGTCAAGACCCTTTCAACAGGGCCGGTGGGGCTGCCCCTCCAAGCTCACTCCCATGCCCCCATGCTCTCTCCAGGGGCCGCCAGCCACCAGGCTGGATGGAAGAGGGGGTGGGGGCGAGGGAGATAGGCCAGGACAAGCTGACCACAGCCCGAGCGTTCCCTGCCAGGCACCCCTCTGCAGCCCCCACCCTGCCCTACCCAGCCTGAGCCCCGGGAGAGAGTTCACCCAGCCTGCAGGCAGACCCAGATCACCCTCCCATGGACTCAGGAGCTGTCCCCAGCCCAGGCTGAACCCCAGACCCCTTTCGGTCCCCAAGGTCCATGCCAGTGAGGGTCGCTGCAAGCCCACGTGGTTGCCGGAGGTCCCTCCTCCAGCCCATCACTCCACTTTCTGGGAAGGACCCCCGGAGGCCTGGGGACTAAGCCCCGGCGCCGCGCCGGACTGCCCTGGTGGGCTGAGCGCACATCCCTTGTCTCTCTTAGGGAGCTCTGTGAGGGGCAGGACCGGGCCAGCAGCCGCTCAGGAAGCTGGAGCACGTGAGGGAAAAGCCCTGTCCCCACAGGGCTGAGGCTGGACGAGGTCCAAGGAGGGGCTTCTGCCCGAGCCCAGGCCTTCCTTGGGGTGTGCTCCAGTAGCAGGTGCGCGTGCCACCTGTGCCGTGGGTTGGAGGGGTGGAACGTGTACGTCCTGGCTGCCCCCGAGCTCTGGGGACCCCGAACTCCTGGGGCTTCTGCCTGAGCCTTTGGACCCCAACAGCCTGCAGGGGGCGCCATTGGGCCACCGGAGCCCCTTCTGCAGACCCGGCGCGACCGCACTCCTGCCAGGCTGTTCCTACCGCCTGGCCACAGGCCTCCAGGAGGGGCCCCCACCCTGGGGCGACGAGGAGCCACCTGGGCCCGCACCAGGCCTCCCCACAGGGCCTCCCCACCTGCCCCCTCCCCACTGCTCTCCCTCCCCACCGCTCTCCCTCCCCACCGCACCCCCTCCCCACCACGCCCCCTCCCCACCGTGCCCCCTCCCCACCCAACGTGCCCCCTCCCCATCACGCCCCCTCCCCACCTGTCCCCCCACCACGACCCCTCCCCACCTGTTCCCTCCCCCTGCCCCCTCCCCACCACGAACCCTCCCCACCTGTCCCCTCCTCACCTGTCCCCTCCCCACCTCCCCCCTCCCCACTGCGCCCCCTCCCCAATGCACCCCCTCCCCAACACGCCCCCTCCCCACTGCCCCCCCTCCCCAAGGCACCCCCTCCCCAACACGCCCCCTCCCCACTGTGCCCCCTCCCCACCATGCCCCCTCCCCATCTGCCCCCTCCTCACCTGCCTCCTCAGCATAGCCCCCCCCACCTCCCCCTTCCCCACTATGCCCCCTCCTCACCACCCCCTCCCCACCAGCCCCTCACTGCGACTTTGCCTCCCCTCTGTTCCCTGGACCCTGCACACTCACCAGACCCCTGGAGGTTTGTGGAGGGCAGGGCTGGGGACTGGGAGGTTTCAGGCCATGCAGGGCTGGAGGCAGCACACCAGGCACCCTCGCTAGCTGAGGGTCTGGCCTAGCCTGATAGGGGGACTGCAGGACAGGGGGGCCCTGGCAAGGCCCAATCCCTCCCTCCCTACCCAACCCTGCCCAGCTGGGTTCTGGGAACACACCCTGTAACTGGGTGGCTGGGGATATGGCGCTCTACAGCCTGAACCACCAGTGGTACTCACTGGGTCCTCCAACTCTGCAATTCTGCAGGCATGGACCAGACTCCAAGAAACAGCCCCTCGAACGCGTCTGCCCCAGCCCGGTTCCAAACACCAGGCTGAGGCTGCACAGTTTGCAAGTGTGTCAAATGAATGAAGGAACAACTGTGCAGGCTCCAGGAACCCCCACCCCACGGTCCCCGCCCCCAGTCCCCGCCTCCCTTCCACTCAGGCCCCTCCCTCCAGGCCAGCAGGGGTGAGGTGAGGGCTTAGAGCCCCTGCAGACATCAGGGTGGGCGGGGCCCCTGCCCTGTGTCTCCTCTGTCCCTCGATGTCCATTCGCACCCGTCTCCCCAAACCCCACTGACACGGACGGCCCCACCTGGCTGAGCTCACAGGAGCTCTGGGGCCCACTCTGCAGAGAGAGGAGGGGGCGGGGGGATGCACTTATGTTTGCTTCTGAGGGACAGTGGGCAGAGGAGGGCTGTTTGTGAGTGAGACACTCAGGCCCCGGGCCTCTGGACCCTCAAAGAAAGGGTTCCTGTGTGGGCTGGGGGCTGCCTCTGCTGATAAGTGGTGGCCCGGCCACTTGGTGTCCAAAGGCCCCATGTCCGTCCACACTTAGAGACTGGGGATGTGGGAGGCTGTTCCGGCAGAGCCACGGTGTGGACACCATCCCAAGGGGGCGTCTGCAGGGGCGCACCTGTATGGGCAGAGCCGGGGCTGCTCTGAGCCCAAGGGGTTCCCAGAGGGAGTTCCTTCCCAGCCTAGTGGGGTGGGTCCAGGGCAGTGCTGGGGAGGCCAAGCTGCCAGCGTCCCACAGGGGCCCAGCGGCAGAGTGGAGTGTGAAGGCCCAGGGCTTCTGCCCAGGGCGTGTGGTGACCCACCCTTGCCCCCTGCATGCCCGGTGGCTGAGGCCACACCCCACCTAGAGCATCCTGACAGCAGGAGCCCCGCTTGGTGCCAGGCAGTCCTGGCTGGGGTGGGGCAGGTGCCATACAGTTGGCCCTGGGTAGACCCTCACCCCGACCCCCCTGTGCCCACAGTGAAGCCCAGTGTCTCCATCGGTCAAGGTAGAGGTAGAACCCTGAGATTCGAAGGCTTCTCCACACACACTCATTCATTCACATGTCAAATGTGTACTGAGCACCATCTCTGTTCCCTGCACTGTTCCAGGCTCTGGGCATGGCAAGGACAGGACAGTCACAACAGGCCTGTGGTGAGAATCTTCTGGCCGGGGCGGGGTGGGGAGCAGCAGCGTGAAGGAACCAGTAAACACACAGGTGCAGGCACACACACACCCACTCCCATGGAACATGCCGGTTGGTGACAAGGCCGTGGGGGGCTGGAGGGTGAGGAGGAGAGGGAGTAAGCATCTTGGGTGGGTTCCAGATGCCCCTCAGAGGGGTCCTGCTGCTCCCATCAGGGTCCCCTGCCCCCACCCCACGATGGGGGCTCACCCAGCTCTGTCATGCTGTCCGCAGGGGCCCCTGACAAGCTCAAGGCCAGAGGAGCAGAAGCGCTTGGCGGGCGGGGCTGGCCTGCAGGGTCCTACCCTCCCACAGGTGTGGGGCTGCGTCGGGACTGGCCCAGCTCGCGGGGAGCAGATGGGAGCTGCATCCACGCTTCGAGGCCAGTGGTCGGGCTGGGCCTGGCTCTGTGCCCCCTCTAGGACCGCAGGCGGCCCCATGCCCTCTCTGTCCCGGGCCCAGCAACCCTGGGGCTCTTCTGGGCCAGGGAGGTGGCCTCTTTACCCCCAGGGTTCACCCACAACCCCCACCCCAGATGGACAGGGGCCGCCTGGTGGGTGGTCCTGCACCAGGCCAGGCAGCCCGGGACACTGAGTGGGCCCAGGGTGGGGGTACCTTGCACACACACCGCGCTGGGGAGGCCTCGAGGAATCAGAAACACACGGCCGAGCAGCCCAGTGCCACGCCACCAGTCCACAGGCGCTCACCCGCAGCCACCACCAGAGCAGACCCAGACAGCAGGGACCTGCCGGGCGCTCCTCCCTCCACCCGCACCATCCCTGCTGGGGACGTCCATCTGTGTCCCCACCACCCTGCCAGGCTCACTGGCTATCCAGGCCCGGAGGCTCCTGCCTGTGCACCCAGCTCTCCAGGTTAAGGTGCGCCTGCCAAGCAGGGAGCTGCTCCCAGGAGAGTGTCCCCTCCCCAGCCCGAACCTGTGGCCTGGAGGAGCTTGGCCTCCCTGAGGTCCACACCCGCAGAGCTCAGGGGCCTTTGTCACCCCCAATGCTGGTGATGAGGTGCAGGCCCCGGGACAAGGCCATGCTGCTCACTCGCCTCTGTGTGGTCAGCACTCTGGACAACCCAGCATGGGTGGGGATGGAGGCGGGCCCTCAGCATTGAGGGACTTCCTGGAGGTGGGGGCTCCTGAGCTGGGCCCCAGCGTGGGAGGGAGCATGGCCAGGCTGGGCCCTCTCCTAGAGGAGGCTGGGAATCCTGGTCAGTGCCCGACCTGCCCCACCTCTCAGCTGTCGAGAGGGTCCACAGTGTTCCCCTGGGAGGCCACACCTGGCCGGAGGGCAGCCCAAGCTGGGCGGATTCAGGCTGGATCTCCCCCGCCCCAACGTGCCCACGGCACAGCTCATTTCCCTCTGCGCCAGGTGCTGGCTCCTCTGCCAGGAACATGAGCTCATTTCACCCTCTCAGGCAGGGTAGGGCAAGGCAGACCCCAACCCACAGGCGACGGGCCTTTCTGCCCCGCCCCAGGTAATCCACTCAGCTGGGGAACGGTGACCTCCCCTCAGCCCAGAGGGGCTCTGATTCGGGAGCCCAGGACAGCGGGCAGGGTCCTGCCGGGCAGCCGGATGGGCACGGTGCAGGCACAGGCTCAGGGGCAGCACAGGACGCCTGCCCCGCCCACCAGCCAGGGGTCAGGCCTCTGGAGATCCCGGGGAGGGCGCCCTCCTCCACATAGGCCTGGGAAGAGGAGGGCGGGCGATGATGGTTGTTGTCGTTGACTCGCTTCTCCCACTTCTCCGAGCTCAGGCGGCAGAGGCCTGCCTCCTCACCAAGCAGGAAGCGCCAGGGGCTCTCCCCTCGGGCTGCCGGCCAGGCCTCCTCGGCATTTCTGGGAACCCCCTCCCCACACGCCCAGAAAGCAGGAAGGCACCTCTGCCCCGAGCCCAGGCTTGTCTGGTCCCAGGTGCCCCTCCTCTGGCTGGGGGCCGCTGGGTGTGGCTGAGCTGCAGGGGTGGGAGAAGGCTTCCTGGAGGAAGTGCCCGGGGCCTCGCGGGGCACCAGCCTGTGGGGACTTGGGGTGCTGGTGGTGAGGCCTCTTGGCAAAGGGGAGGAGGCAGAGGAGATGGGAACCAGGTGGGGGGCTCTGGGGTCCCAGCTGGGGGCAGCACCCCCTTCTCTCCTGCTGTCCCCTTGTCCATGGCCAGGTCCTGGCCTGTCTTCTCACTGAAGTCCCCAAGCCCCCAACCTGAAACCCAGGCCCCTGACTCCACCCGCGAGAGGAGACACTCTCCAGGCCAGCCACCACCCGATGGTGACAATCATAGACCAGTGACCTGGGGCTGCAGGAGGCCCCAGCCCTACCTCCAGCAAAGCCACAGGACCCGCACCCACTCCTGTGGAGACCTCAGAGGGAAGCGTGGCAGGGTCCCTGCCTGCTGGGGGCTGGGGGTGGGGGGTCTTAGAGGACTTCAGATCCCAGGAGCCCCTCCCTGGAAAAACCCACAGAGCAGTGCTGGCCCCACCTGGGAGCCCCGTCAAGCACTTCCTGTTCCCGGGCCCACGTGGAGGAGGGTGCCCTCCCAGGGATCTCCAGAAGCCGGAGACAGGCACCCTCCCCACTTTCCATCTGGGACCTGAAACTCCAGGGTCAGGGGCTCAGCATGTGGGCGGCAGCCCCTGGGCACTGGGACCCAGGTGGGTGCCCTGTCCCGGGACCCGAGTCAGAAGCAGCGAGTCTCCAGCCCGCGAGGGGGCCAGGTGTGGGGCGAGGGGCACCCGGGGGTGGCCTTGGACAGTGGCCTTTGGGGCCTGTGCTGTGGAGCATGCAATGGGGCTGGGGACTCTCAGCCCAGGGTGTTGGCACCAGACTGGCTTGGGGAAGTCATAGTGGGAGCCGCCACCGCCAGAGACCCAGGAAGTGGCCACTGGTCTCTGAGCCTCCACAGATAAGACTGGCCTGAGCCCAGCCGTGGCCACCCCCAGCCGTCACCGGGGCCATTGCCAGGTCAGGCATGCTGCCCCCAGCCCGACACCATGGGGAGTTGTGTGTCCCAGCCACCAGCTTGCTCCTCCCCGGCTGACTGCCCAGCCCCGTGCTCCTCCCCAGGGGGAGCCTGGCACCTGGAGTCCTCTGGACTTCAGGCACTGCTTCTGGCAGGTGGGAGGGGACAGCCAGTGAGGATCTGTCACCAGTCCTGAGGTGGGACAGGCAGCTGGGGAGAGAAAAGTGGCCATCCTGGGGGCATGTGGGGAGGAGGGCTGGCGGAGCCCTGAGCCTACCACCCGGCACCCGGGAGAGCCCAGCCAGGCTCACAGCAGAAGCTGCCATCTCCTTGGGCCATGGAGCTGGGCCGCGTGTCTTTACTGGGGCCGCTTGAGGCCCTGAGACCTGAAGGGAGACAGGGGCTGTGATGGGGAAGCCTTGGACTCAGGCACAAGACAGCTGCTCTCAGCAGGGCTCTCCTGGGCGCCACCGGCCACAACAGGGAGAGGCCTACAGACAGCCCTGTGCTGGGGGGCTGGGAAGGTGGCTGCTGCCTGAGGCCAGGGAGGGGGACCTGAACACTGAAGGCTAAGGCAGGGGTGGAAAGCTCCCTGGAGGAGGTATTCAGGCTGAGAGGCCTCAGAGCAGGTGTGGGCAGCCTCTAGGCAGCAGACGGCCAGGCAGGGCACAGATGGGAGAGATAGCTGCCGCTGGCTGTCCCATGTGTGGCCTGGCCCTGTCCCGGACCCAGCACCTGCCCCACACCTGTCAGAGGGCTCCCCAGAGAGCAGCCACCAGTTCCCAAGGCTGAGGTGTGGTTTTCATCAGCCACTGAAGCCTGAGGCATAGCAGAGGCACTTAGGCTAGGGCAGGGGCCAGGCAGGAGCCAGCCACAGCGTTAGGTAGCCCTCCAGGGCCCCCTTGAACTCCAAATCTGCCCTGGGCCAGGGTGACTGTCAGATGGATCTCAGATGGGTCTTATCGGGGCATTCACCAAGGAGGCTTCCTGGGGGAGGTGGGGCCTGGAGGACAGAGAAGTAGAGGCCACGTTGGCACAGAGCAGGGCGGTCCACACGAGTTGGGCATGTCCTAGGAACTGGGCAAGGGCAGGCGTGGGAACAGGCCGGGTGCCTCCTGGGCAGCTCTGGGTCCAATCCTTGCCCCCCACCATGTAGCAACACCCCTGGAGGACACGGGGCAGTGGGCGCAGCAAAGCCCCACGCACTGGCCCCCACCGCCTCCTCTGTGCCACCAGCTTTCAGGGAAGCCACGAAGGCAGCCTGGGCGGGGGCCGGACGCCCTCCAAGTCCACGGCCCCCATGCCCAATCAGCACGATCCTATTTCATAACCAGCCTGGATTCTGCCCCAGCTGAGGAAGGAGCATAAAACCCAATATATTTTAATTATATCTTTGAGGGCCATGAGCACAATCGTTTCCAGATGGGGGCCCCGCTGAGGGCCTCTCTGCCCGCAGGTTCTGGGCTAGGGGAGGAAGGGAGCACAGGCCACAGCCCACGAGGCCACAGGGCCCCGGACGCGGCTCCCGCCCAGCACTCGCCTCGGGGCCGCTGCCGAGCCGAGGCTGTGATTGGTCATGCTTTCCATCTGCAGATGGGGGAACTGAGGCTTGGGGAAGCCGGCTTGGAGCTGACTTGTCGGGATGGTACCGCCAGAAGCAGAGAGGCTAGTGCCCCAACTTGGAGGCCCTTCCAGACTGGGACATCTGGGGGGTGGCCTCGCCCAGGCCCTAAAACGGGCCAGCCAGCTAGAGACCAGAGTGTCAGGATCTTGGGTCACACGCCCAGGCCCCGGGGGCAGGGGAGGCGCCCAGGCCATGCCGTGCCCATGGATGGGCCAAGCTGCCATGCCCCTGGGATGGTGCCAACTCTAGCCACATTCCAGGCAAGCGGGGGGCACATCCCTGAAGCCACAATGGCCCAGGCTGCCGAGTGGAACCTCAGAGCTGGACAGGGCCCCCAACACCCATGCTTCAGCTCCATCCAGGCTGGGAAAGTGCCTAGACACCCCAGAGCCTTTTTCAGCCAGAGTGAAAACTGGGCCAGGCAGGGACCCAGTGGGGCTTCCCCGACCTGTTCAGGGACAACCTGGCCCCTGGCGGGGTGTGATACAGGCACAGCAATGGCGGCCCCTGGCTCCCACCCACAGCCAGGCAGAGAGATGGAAGGTCGCTGGGCGGTCAGCGATGGGGCCTTCGGAAGTCTGCTGGCTGATCAGATTTGCCCACTCGGCCTTCCCGGCTCTTCCTGTGGCGGAGGCAGGCCTGGCGTCTGCCCGGAACCCCTCCCTTCCCCAGCAAAGCTGCACCCCCACCCCAGGAGGGGCTGATGACTGAGCTCGAGTCCTGTGGAGGCAGGACAGCCACAGGACCCTGCCTGCGTGAGGACCCCGCATGGGTGGCGCAGCAAAGGCTGAGAGGGGCCGAGGCTCCATTCCTGCCTCTGTGCCAGCCTGAGCGGGAGCTCTGGCCCTGACCTGGGATAGAGGCGCCTGGGCATGGGCTCGGGGCTATGGAGTCCGCACCCCAGGCAGCCCCAGCTCACCCGCTGCCTGCCTCAGTGCCCCCACAATAAAATGGGCATACAGCAGAACAGAGGCCTGGCGACTGTACGGCGCGCCTAGGACAGGAGCCATGCCCACCGGGCACTGAGACCCTGCTCTCTCTCTCCTGACCCTGCTGTGGGTGGGGGATGATCCACCGCAAACCCCCACCTCTTGCTGCAGCCAAAGACCTAGAGGTGGCCCCAGCCCTGGCCTTGCTCCTTGCAATCCCCCACAGGGGCTGAAGGGATGAGAAGAACTTGGCCCTGGGGAAAGCCCGGCCCCCATGGCCAGTGTGGGAGCACCGGCGTGCCCCAGGTCCTGGCCAGGCTGTAGCCCGGCCCCCAAGGCCAGTGTGGGAGCACCGGGGTGCCCCAGGTCCTGGCCAGGCTGTAGCCCGGCCCCCATGGCCAGTGTGGGAGCACCGGGGTGCCCCAGGTCCTGGCCAGGCTGTAGCCCGGCCCCCATGGCCAGTGTGGGAGCACCGGGGTGCCCCAGGTCCTGGCCAGGCTGTCCAGGAAGGAGTCTGAGGGCCGGGCCGGTGGGCCAGTGGTGTCTATGCCATCCTCCTTCCTCTTGGTGCCCGCCTGGTGACCCCAAGATGGCCCAAGCGAGTGGAGGTGGGCAGGGGCAAGGACCTGCGATGCCCTGGGCTCCGTGCCTCTGGCCCAGGGGCACCCACAGCAGACGTGACCTCATCCTTGGGCCTCAGCCCGCTTGGAGCGGGAGGGGTGGGGGTGCCTACAGGGCCCCTTGAGGCAGGTGTGGGTGCTCATTCACACCGGGCTCCCCAGGGCTGGTGACCAGCTCCGTCCCACCAGAGATGGCCCCCAGGGCTGCTCCAGGCAGGGGGAGGTGGCAGCAGCACACTGCCTGTGCCAGGACCCTGGAGGCTGGGCTCTGGCTGTGGGTGCACCCCTGGGGCCCCAAAAATCACTAATGCCAGCGGCACAGGCAATGATGCAGTGGATCCCCTTGATGGGTCCCCCTCCCACACCTGGCCGCCTGCCCTTGGGGTTTCATTTATGGAAGGGCTCAGAAAAGCCCACACACCTTCCAGTGCCAGCTCCCAGGATTCAGGGAGATGCTGACTTCCATTTCAACTCCCAGCTCCACGTCCACGCCTCCCACCTGCCCACCCACTTCCCATCCACCCATCTCCCTCCAGCTCCATACGTCCACCCTTTCTATGCCCCCATAATCCCCCCATCCCCCCACCCAACCCCCACCCCCACCCTGTCTCCACTCCTACCTCATCCCCACCCCCACCCCAGCCCTCCCCCTTCTCCTGCCTTGAGCATGAGCATTCTGCCCTCTGCACACCAAGCGGCCACCCACAGACCTCTCGACTCCTCCAGGCCTCCGGCCACCGCCTCGTCACCTCGGTACCCCTCCCACCCGCCACTGACCCCCCCATCCTCCAGGGCCAGCCGAGTGCCCTTCCCCCAGGCACGCGGCCCATCAGCCCCAAGTCCTGCACCACAGTCCCCGCCCCATTCTGTCACTCCTCCTGTCCGTCAGTCCGTCCGTCCATCAGTAAACATTTACTGGCCACGTTCATTGTCCCAGGCATTTGGGGATGCAGCTGCATTCTCACCAAGCTCCCAGTCTGCCCCGGGGAGAAGGAAATACAGGCCAGGCAGCAGCTAGTGGTGATGGGCCTTCTGATGAAAGCGGGGGTGATGTGGGGGGCAGGAGGGTGACAGGAAAGAGCCAGTGGGGACAGCGGGCAGCAAGGCGAGAGGGCAGAAGGCTTGAGGGAGCCCAGTTGGACCTCGTGGGCACCTGCCGCGTGCTGTGCTGGTCTGAGAGCCAGAAGAGGAAGCTGAGGGCCCACTTGGGGCCACTGGGCATGGGCTGTGGGAGGGAACAGCGCTCCCATCTGTTGGGACCTGACGGGTCTCAGAGGACACTGCGTTCCCTGCCAGAAACCATCCCTGGGGCAGGGAGGGTAAGGCAGGCCCCGGCTGGAACGGGGCGGGGAGGGGAGCGGCACAGCCCCAGGTGCCTCAGCCTCAGCCTAGGGCTCTGGGGACGCCCAACCCGGACAGGCCTGGGCAGGTGGATGGAGGTGGGCTGATATCTTCATGACACCAGCAACTGCCCGGCTGATGCCCGCCACTACCTGGTGGCATCTGGCCACAGTGAGCACCGCAGAGCTCCAGCCATCCTGCATAGCTGCCTCAGCCCTGAGTCCAGAGCCACCATCAGGGAGGCCTCTCCTGTCTCGTGGTGAAGGGAGACTCAGTGTGACCTCGGTACGCCAGCCCCTTCCCTGCACGTCCCAAAGCCACTGGCTCAGAAAGACCCTCCCTTCGGCTGCCAGGGCCCTGCCCGAGTGTGGGGCACTCCCAGGCCCTGGGCCAGCGGAAGCAGTTCCGGGAGACTGCGCAGGCCAGGAAAGCCCAGGTGGCCTGGGAGGTCAGCAGCCACTGGCAGGGTCCACCCCAGTCCACCCCAGGCCAGCCCTGTGCCCTCCTTTGCTGGGGTCTGGGCCGCAGGATACACGGTGGGGTGTGAGGCGGCGGCAGGTGAGGAGGGTCTCTTTCTTGGCCTCCCTGTAGCCCCGGTCAGCTGAAATAGAACTGGAGAAACAAGAAGCTTGGCCGGGGCCCCCGGCAAGCAAGGGGGAGCGGCAGGCTCCTGGAGTGGGAAGTGGGGTCCTGGTGAGGTTCTGGGCCCACCACTCCATCCCCCTCCCTCTGGGTAGGCACAGAGTTGGGTGCGGGGGGGCGGGGAGAAGGCCCCTCCTTCCCTGGCACCCGCTCTGTTTGTCTCATTGGTGCCTACCTGTCCCCCAGGCCACAGGGCAGCTCACTGGGGAGAAGAGGGACCCAGGATCCTGAGGGGGTCAGGCCAGTTTCCACCCACCAGTCAGGCTCCCCAGAGCTGACCTCGGGCTGGCGCCCAGGGCCTACAGAGTCCCCTGCGCTTTCCCTGAGAAAGAAGGACCTGCCCAGGCTCTCAACAGCCCACCCGGGCCCTTCTGGGCTGGGTTTCCAGGGCCCTTGTCCCACCCTTCCCCAGCTCCCAGAATGCTGGCCAGATAGACTGTGACCGTGTGACCAAAGCAAAGACAAACTGTGGCCGCCCCGGGCCCTGATTAGCAACAAATCCCAGGAAGTTTCCGCCCCACTTTCCGCCCCATCCTGAAACCCCATCTCCGCAGCCCGACAGCTGTAATCCCACCAGTCACCCTTCGGGGCCGGGCCTGGGCCTCCAGCCCCACTGCACCTCAGCCTTCCCAGCTGGAGGGGGTCATGCCCCCACTTTAGGGACGAGTTGACCGAGGGGCCAGGAGCTGACCCCGCCCACGGAGGCCTCTCCACCTGGCGTTTGCTCTAACATGGGTGGAGACTCCCCACGGCTCCCAGCTTGGGAAGCCCTTCTGTGGCTGGGGCCGGAGCCCACGAACGCCTGGTGGCGCCCATGGGCCTGGTGGTAGGGGACTGTGAGAGAGCATGTGTTTCTTGAGGCCGCTCAGGTGCCCAGACAGCCTCCCAACTCTGGTGCCCCCAGGGTCCCCACCAAACTGGAATCTTCCCTCCACTCCCAGGAGGTGGGGCAGGCAGAGCCAGCCCAGCAGAGGCCCCCGGAAGCGTCAGGAACAACAGGAAAGGCAGCCGGGGCACAGGGACTTCCCACACTCGTAAGCAGGGTGACCCTGCACCCACCCCAGCTGGCTCTCCTTAGCCCTCCAGCTCCGGGAGCTCAGGGTAGGAGCAGGTAGGAGGGGCTGCAGGCATCAGCCTCAGGCCTAGGGGAAGTGAGATGACAGTCGACAGTCGGATGCTTCTCCAGCTAAGTGGTCCCTAGAACAGACGGGTACACTGAGGCAAAGTGTCCTGGGAGGGGCGAGAGGGTGACAGGCCCTGGGAGGACATTGTGGGCATCTGGTCAGTAGAGGCCACAGCAGGGTAGAGGGAGGCAGATACCCCGACCATGGCGGGGTGGACCGACCCCTGCCGCAGGGCCAGGGGGCCAGGCTGATGGCAGTAGCCCAGGGGTGTGGGCAGGCAAAGCTCTCACCCATGGTTGGTTGGGCTGGGTGCATCGGGCAGATGACTTAATCAACAGGCGGGCTTTGTCCCTGGACACCCGCCCCCTGCCCGGATCCTCCGCCTGGTCACACGCCTCCCACCCCCACCCGGCTCCTAGCAGCCTGCAGCCGAGCACGAGGAATCGGGGACGGCGGGGGGCTCTCCACCCTCGCAGGGCCTGGGAACGGCTCAGGGGTGGCCGTGGGGTGCGGCCAGGGCGGATCTGTCCTGGGCTGGGCTCAGGGGATGCCCGCCCAGCCTGGCCCGTGCCAGCCCCCAAGGAAGGCATCCTGGGAGTGGCTCCAGGCTGGCATCCTGGCAGAGGAGGCGCCAAGGCTGGGGGCCAGGGGGCCGGGGGCTTTGTATGCTGCAGGCCCCCTTCTCTTCCTGGGGCCCCCACCCTCCCTGATCCTGTCAGAGCCTTAGAAAGTGAGACAAAGGCTCCGGGAGGCCCCGGGAGGGCCAGGACACAGGCAGGAGATGGAGTTATAATGACCGAGCTATAATGGTGGGAGGGGAGGCGGCACGTTAACCCTGTCGGTCCCTTGCACTGGGCCCACCTGACCTCCAGCCGGGCCCCCTCCCACCATGCAGCTGCCCCTCCCCCGCCCCCATCTCCTGTCACTGCCCCCGGAGACACTGGGAACAAAGTGAAAATCTTGCTCCAAAGAGATGCAAGCAAAGGTGTTCCGGGCCCCCGGCACTCCACCTGGGCAGCCGGTCACCCATTCCTCTGTGAGGTGCCGGGCAGGGTGCTGGCTAGACACTGCCCATGCAACCCGGTGCGCCTTGTCCACCCTGTCCGCCCTGCCTGCCCTGCCTGCCCCGTGTGCCCCACCCACCCCGTGCACCCTGTGCACCCCGTCCACCTCATCTACCCCGTGCACCCCGACCACCCCGTCCACCCCGCCCACCCCGCCCACCCCGCCCACCCCGCGCGCCCCACCCAGCCGGCGCACCCCGTCCACCCCGTCCACCCCGTCCACCCAGCCCACCCCGTCCACCCCATCGGCCCCATCCACCCCGTGCACCCTGTCTACCCCATCTACCGTCACTTCCCTCTGCACTCTCAACTTTCCCGACTCCTGACCTTGGAGGAGCTGAACTCCGGCCTGGCCAGCTGTCTGCAGTGTGGGACCCTGTGCTCCTCCACGTGGGAGCCCCAGGGTGCCCGCTCAGTGGGGATCTGTACCCTGCCCCTCACAGAGATCTACCATGCAGAGGTGGGGGGAGCTTGGAGCCTTGGGGGCCACAGAACTGAGGCGGAGACCCTCCAGACCCCGCCACCTGCTCATTCCCTCATGTTCAGGGGCAGCCTAGGCCCCCAGCGGGCCTCCTGCCCACCTCCGTTTCCTTACCTCTGACTGGCTGGGCATGGGCTGGGATCTCAGGCTCCTTGGCACAAGTGGTTGACCCCGGGTCTGGAGCTGGGTGGCACAGGATGGAGGGTGTGGCATCTTGAGTGAAAGAAACCCTGAGGGAGAACCCCTGCCCCCCGACCCTCCACCCCTCACCCTCCCTCAAGACCTCAGACTTGCGTGGGACCTCGGCAGGCCCCTGGGTCCATTGAGCCTTGTTTGGTGGAGGGGCCAGACGTCCAGGGACCCAGTGTAGAAATCAGGAGTAGGTACAGGGGCCCAGTATGGAAATCAAGAAGCAGGTAGAAGGGTCCAGTCAGAGCCCCTGGGCCATCCACAGATGGCACTCAAGGGCCGGGGTCTGGAGGTGAACAGCCCCTACCAGGAGGCAAGCAGGCTGGGCCTGTCCATGCTGGGGAGACTGGGGGAGTGCCAGCCCTCACCCCAGGAAGCTCACAGCAGCCTTCAAGGTCAATGCCAAAGAGATGGAGGCCCAGAGAAGGCTCCTGCACTTGCCCCCGAGGTTCCAGGCTCCTGTTCAGGACCTGCTTCCTCTGCCTGCACCCCCCGACCCCGGCAGGCTCGGCACTGCGCAGGAGAGGTGCAGACTCCAGGACACAAGAGGTCCCCTTACCACGAGTCAGGGCAGAGGGCAGAAGGCAGGGCTTCTCTGTTCCTCTGCCCCTTCCCTTGGGAGCCCAAGCCAGGGAGACAGGAGGGTGTGGAACAGAGGGCAGTGTGCCTCACTGAGACCTGCAGGGGTCTAAACCTGGCAGAAGGGGAGCCAGGGCGGCACAGACACTGAGTGAGTGAGATGCGTGTGTCTGGTGCGAGGTGTGCATGTGAGTGAGGGCAGCCGTGTGTGTGCCCGCCTGGGAGCCCGTGAGCCTGTGAAAACCCACACAGAGTGGGTGGGGCCAGGGGCTGCCCGGGTGGACCTCTGAGGAATGCCGGCACTGAGGCCTGCACCAGGAGCGACAGCCTCTCCGAAAGGTCACTGCAGGCCATAGCACATGCCGTCCGGGTCCCCGAGCTGTGGGTCACTAGGACCCCCAACCTCCATCCTCTAGCGGAGGTCTCTCCCACTCCTAAGAGGCCTGGTCCTGGTTGGAGCACCTCACCCCTTCCCCACGCCCCCTCGGGTGGGGGTCCCGGGGTGGGGGTCCCAGGGTGGGGGTGACCTTAACAGGGGTCCCACACGCACTGGCCACTCAAAGAGCACGCAAGCTGCCATTCGGAGGGCAGAGATGCCTGGCCTGAAGTGCACATGCCTCCACCTGGGATCCCCAGACAGCACCATGTTTCCTGGGCCCTGACTCAAGCCATCGTGTCCTCGGAGGAAACCTGGGTCCCACTGAACAGAGAGAGAAACTCCAGCGCCTCTGCCTCGGCCTCGGTCTCCTCACCTGTGGACGGGCGGCCGGGCTGGGGAGGGGCCGGGCCATGGGGGTTGGAGAGCGGCCGCCGCCAAGGCACAAACGACACAGCTTGTCTTCACCCACCGGGTGCCGCGGGGCTTCCAAACGCCTGCATGAGGAACGTGGCCGGGCGGGAGCCTGCGGTGGCCGTGAATGGAGCCTTGAGCCGCCCCGGCCCCGGGGCCGGGATAAAGGGCCCCAGTCATGCCGCCCTGGCCCGGGCAAGTGTGCTAAGTTGAGGCTATAAATTACCCGCGGCCAGGCCAGCGCCACCGCAGGGCGGGCGGGCGGGGCGCCGGGAGGGGGCTCTGGCTCTGTAAATCGGCCCTTTCACCACTGGAGGCCGCGCACGAAAGAAAAACTTTGTTTTATTAAAGCAACATCAGGGCTGTGGCCGCCGGCCGAGAGGCGCCGGCAGCGAGGCTGGGCAGGCGAGGGCTCCTGCCGCACCCGGCTCGGAGAAAGGCCCCTTCAGGAATGGCTGTCTCTGGCCTCTGGCCGCGGGGCCGGGCCGGGGGCTCGGTGCTGCACCCCCGACCCACAGGCCCACCCTGACCCTGGCCCCAGAGCCCTCTGGGCAGCCTCGCCCTTGCCCCCAGACCCCACAGTACGAGCTGGCCTGTGCTCATCCAGGAGGTCGTGGCCTGGAGCGGGCGTCCGGGCCATCCACCTCCACAGTCAAGAGCCAAGTCGTCCCTTCAGGGGCTGGGCTGGGTGCCAGGATGGTTGGGGGCAGAGGAGGAGAAAGAAGAGAGACCCAGGCCCAGGGCTTGCCCCGCTGGGCTCAGGCCCCGCTCAGCAGAGCAGGCATTCGGCTCTGGGGGACTGCAAACACAGGCCAGCCCTCAGGTGCAGCCCTGGAGAACGGCGAGTCGGAAGGAGGGGCGTGGGTCTGGAGCTGCCTACGACAATATTTAGACAATTTTTTTTTCTTTGAGATGGAGTTTTGCTCTTGTTGCCCAGGCTGGAGTGCAATGGCACAATCTCAGCTCACCACAACCTCCGCCTCCTGGGTTCAAGTAATTCTCCTGCCTCAGCCTCCCAAGTAGCTGGGATTATGGGCATGCGCCACCATGCCCAGCTAATTTTGTATTTTTAGTAGAGACAGCGTTTCTCCATGTTAACAGGTCAGCCTGGTCTTGAACTCCCAACCTCAGGTGATCCGCCCACCTCAGCCTCCCAAAGTGCTGGGATTATAGGTGTAAGCCACTGCGCCCGGCCAATATTTAGACAATTTAAGTGAAACTGAATGAAAACCAGGCAGCTGGCGTCTGTCCCTCTCATGGCCATAGGCGATAGGGCCCTGCAGACCCCAAGGGCAGGTGATTGAGACCTGGGGGCCGAGTGTGAGCCTGGCTGGCCTCCTGAGCCTGCTCCCACCCACATCTTGCCCCCACAGGGGATCCCCCACCCTCTGTTCCTGTTCCTGTAGGGCCTCCCTGAGCACGGCCCTCTGCCCTTGAACCCCCAGCCTCCTTAGAGCCTCCCCTGCACCACAGACCATGGTGGGGGCTGCGGCCTGAGGCTGGTACCGCCCCGTAAGGTGTCCATCCTCCCCTCCCTCCTCCTCTCCTCGGGGCAGGCCTGAGCCCCCACCTCCAGCCCTGCGAGGGGTGCGGGCAAGATGGGTGCCTGGCGCCAGAGCAGGGGCCAGCAGGACATGATGGCCTGGGACTCAGGTACTGAGGCAGGTGGCGGGGGGCTGCTATGGGGCTGGGGGCATCTTCTGACTTCTCCTTGGAAGGTGTGGCTGGCTTTGGGCCCAGACCCCTCAGCTGAGAATGGGGCTGGGCGGTCAGGGCTGGGTTCACATTGTGTGTCTCTGGGCGCCGAAACCCACCTCTCTCCAGAGACCCCTCTGCCTGCCTCTCCCCACTGGGGCTGCCTTGTCCCTGGCCCCAGTGCAGCTTGCAGCTAGGACACTCCTGTCCCCCAGCCCTGGCTCTCAGATGAGTGGAGTCTCCATGGGGCACAAAGAGTTGGGTGGCACTGAAGCCTGGTGCAGGGAGGGGCCTGCCAGGGACTGGAACTCGATGTTTGGGGACAGTTTCTTGTCCCCAGGGTCCCTGGGCCACAAAAAGCTGCAGGGTCAATCCAGAGACCCCAAAGCCCTGGCCTCCTGCCCAGCCCACTTCACACTGCCACCCCTGCATCCCTGGGGTCTGCTGGGTGCTTCTACCTCCTCCTCCATCCTAGCAAGCTCCTATTCACCCCTGAAGACCCACGCAGAGGAAGCTCCCCTGACTCAGGCTAGCCTCGTCCCCTGCCCTCTGCTCAGGCTTGTCCCCTGCCCTCTGCTCCTGGGAGATGGCAGTGGGCAGGCGTTCTGCAGGCAAAGCCCATGGCGGGCCTGGGTGTGGACCCCCCTCTGTCCAGGCCTCCCTAGAGGAGCAAGCCCTGCACCACCTCAGCCCTGGGCTCCACCTCAGCCCTGTTGTGTCACGTGACTGCGCCCTGGAGGGATACTCAGAGGGGTGAAGATGAGCAAGGCACCTGCATTCCAGCAACGGAGCAGGCACAGAGTGGGGAGAAGGGAGGAGGGAGGAGGGAGGAGGGCGTGGAGCACAGGGCACTAGTGCTGCAGCCTAGTGGGCACCAGGGAGCTTTGGTTCTGACCTGGAGGTCACAGGAGCCACTGCCGGTGTGGGGTGGGGCAGGATGTGGGGGATCCCCTGGCTGCCGTGGGCACAGGGGACAGGAGGCCACCCAGGACAGCAAGGTCCCTGTGGGGACTGGGGCTGGGGTCAAACGTGAGGAGGGTGTAATTTCAGGCCTTTGTAGGTGGCCTTGGGCCTAGGTGCAGGCTCACACCTTCCCAACCTCCTGCCCTGCCCTGGGGCCCCTCCCTGACATGGTGGGCAGAGCCCAGGCTGGCTGGGGTGCCAGGTCCCACCAGGGTATTAGGGGGCAGGGCCTGGGAGGCCAGTACCCCTGGAATCACTCAGCTCTGGGCCTGCCACCCAGGAGATGAAAGGCCCTGCCCCTCTCAGGGCCCACATGCCCTTTGAAGGCTGTGGGAATGCCCGCAGGGCAGGCGAGTGCCAGGCGTGAGGAGGCTGCTGGGGCCATGGCGGAGGCCCAGAGGATGGCCCAGGCCTGCAACGCCTCCTGCTGAGTCCCGGCAACCCTCCCAAGGCCACATTGTCATGCACTTCCCAGCTCTGAGGTGCCAGTCGAGGAGGGAGGGGAGGGGCAGGGACGTGCCCCCCCTTCTAGGCCTGGGACCCTGTCTTCCATCTGGACTGCCTGTAGAGGCAGGGGCCCTGTGGGCGGCTGCGAAAGCAGGGTTCACCCACCCAGTTCGGGCCTTAGTGACCCGCGCTCAGCCACAGCCACAGGGCCCTTCAGCAGGTCGCCCGAGGCCCCTCCCCCACCTCCTCTCCAGTCCAGGGTCCGAGGACGGGTCTCCGGCCATCCCCGCCTCAGGGGTCAGCACAGAAGCTCCAGCCAGAGCCTGGTCCCTGCCCTCTTCAGACCAGGGCTGTAGGGGGATGTCCTGCCACTGGCAGGGGTCGGCCGCCTGCCCTCACCCTCCTGGCTCCGGCGGGCGCGGCTGGAATGTTTGCCTTTGCTGTTTGCCGGGGGAAGGGGGGGTGGGGTGAGCGCGGCCCCCCGGGGAGCCCTGTCCCGTCCAGCTGGGTCCGCGAGGCCAGTCGGCCGTGGAGGGGACCCTCCGGCTCCGACGGGGAGTTCCAGGGCCGGCGGTGGCACAAAGGGTGCTTCCTGCCCGCGGTGGTCCCTCGTCTGCTCCGGCCCCTGCGGCCCCGACTGGGAGACCCAAGCCCAGAGGCGCGCCCGGCCCCACCGCCCCCTCCGCCCGCCCGCCTCCGGGGCTCCCCGCGCGGCTCGGAGATTATGCAAATCCCCGGCGGCTCCTTAATTAAATCCCTAACGAGGCGCTGGGGCCGGGCCAGGGGCGGCGCTGAAAGCCGGGGTCACGCTCCAGAGGGGCCCGGCCCGTCTGCGACCAGGGGGCCCCCGCGCCCCTCCCGGCCTGGGAACCACGGCGCAGCCTGAGGGGGCGGGTCTCCCCTCCTCCCTCCCTCCCCTCCTGCCCCTCCCTCCCCTCCTGCCCCTCCCTCCCCTCCTGCCCCTCCCTCCCCTCCTCCCCCTCCCTCTCCCTCCTTCCCCCCTCCGCTCTGCCCCGCTCGCCCGGCCGCTCCCGGCCTCGGTGTCCCCACCGGGAGGCGCGCGCGGACCCTCCGGGCGCCGAGGGCTGGGGTCCCGGGCGCGAGGCCGCCGGGTCGGGGGCGGGGCCGGCGGGGGCAGCGGCCCCCAGCGCCCCGCGCTCCCCTTTCAGCCGCCTGTTGTTGGGCCAACAGCTCGGGCCGCAGCCGCCTGAAAGGCCGGGATTAGCGAACATTAGCGGCCTTTGAGCGGCGCCCGGGGAGCCCCTTCCGCCCGCCACGCCCGCGCCGGCCGGAGCCCCCCGCCCCGCGCCCCGCGCCCCGCTCCCGACCCCGCTCCGCCAGCAGCGGCCCGGAGCTGCCCTTTGTGCAGAGCTGGGGCGGCCCGTACCGTCGTGCCCTTCGGAGAGACCCAAGGGTGTTCTCCAGGTGGGAGGGGTGGTGCCCCCGCTAGGTCACGGCCGCCGCCCCCACCCCGGCCCACCCCGCCTTCCACCCCCACCCCAGGCCCCGGCTTCCAGCCCTTCTTCGCAACCCCAGCACCGCCTCCTCCCGGCAGCCAGCGGGAGTTTCCTGAGCTCAGCCCCAGGTCGCTGGGTCCCTGCACGCCTCCCGTCCTCCTGGAAGCCCTGGCTCCAAGGTTCCATAGGCAGGTTAGCACCCCTTCCCCACCCCCCACCTGGCCTCATCCTTTTCTCTCAAAGTAGTTTCTGGGCTCTGGGGCCAGAGGGGAGGCTGCTCATGAGATGTCGCTGTTCCCAGACAGAGCTCCGGCCCTCTCACATATGCGGAGCGCTGTCTGAACGCCCGGCCCTATCCCGGGACACCTGACCCAGATTACATTACAAAAAGGTGTTGTTATTACCCTCATTTTACAGGTGGGAAAATGAGGTGCAGTGAGGCAGCCCAAGGTCACCCTACAGCAGGTGTGGAGGGGGAACTTGACCTCAGCCCCAACACCAAGGGTGTACTCGCCCGTTCTCACCTGGCCCCGCCGTCTCCAGGGCCGCCTATTTAGGGTAATTGCTGGCCCAGGAGCCCAGGGGCTCTGCACATCTGCCCAGCCCTGCAGGGGCCTAGGGCAGGGGTCTTGGCCTGGACCACACGCGTGTGGCTGGCCCTGCGGTCCACAGGGGATGGCCTGGGCCGGGCTTCCCTCTCTAATCCTCCGTCTTTTCCTGCTCATGCTGGCCCCAAGCGCAGCTCGACCCTCGCTGCCGCCCAGGACCCGCTTCCAGCAACCCAGCCACAGGGACACGTGCACACATGCACACGCAGGCACACACAGGCACAGGCACCCCAGCAGGCGCCCCGGCCTCAGGAGAGTAAACATCTTCACCAGAGGAAGCAACAAGCCCTCTCCCAAGAGAAAAAATGTGGCCAAACCTGACCCAGGCAGGCCTGTGGGGGGCCGGCTGGGGGCCCCATTCCTGTTGCCACCCAGAGTCACGTTGGCCTCTGAAGTTTGGTGGTAAAACATTGACAGTCCCCTGCCCCCCACCCACAGGCCTGGCACCCACACGGGTTGCGTTCTGGGAGGAGTGTGGGGCCAAGCAGGCCAGCAGGGCTAGGCAGGTGGGCACCAGGTGGGCACCTAACAGGTGCTGTTGCCCCAGCGCATGTGTGGGTGGGCTGCAGTGAGTCCCCGGAGGGCTGTATCGGCGGGCCCCCTCTGCCCCCCACATGCCCACAGCCCCGTGTCTCCTGATGCCCCCACCCTGTGCCCAGATAGTTCAGGACCAGTTCAGGCAGGTGTGGGGCCTGTGGGGCTTCAGGGGGCGGCCTTGGCTCTAGGGGGCACCCGTTGGAGCCTATCAGTGCCCAGGGCAGAGGCTCTGTGGGTCCCGCCTGCCAGAGTCCTCTGTCCTAGGCCCCACGGTGATGACCCTGAGCTCAGGAGCCCCGTCTTTGCTGGTTGGAGGAGTTTTTGGCCAGCTCTGACCCCCTTGCCTCTGGAAAGGCAGAGTCCTCCGAGTCCCCCATGGCTTCCGCTCTCCTGGCCAGGACAAGGACAGGCCTGGCCGGATCCTGTGACTCTGAAGAAACCACAGGAGCCTGGGGTTTGCAGCGGGAAACCCGATCAAGTAATGACAGGGTTGATGTGGGGGCGACTGGCCAAGGGGGGGCCGCTCCACCATGGGGGTCCCATGGCCTCCACTTCCCACTGAGACCAGGCAGCAGGGCTAGTTCTCTGCCTTTGCTCTTGTACCTTCAACCCTGGAACTTTCAGCAGCTTCTGGGTCAGTTGGGACTGCTCTTCTGGAGTCAGCCCCGGGAGGGGTGTCAGGCCAAGGGGAAGGCCATGCCCCATGCCAGCCTGCCTCCTTGTCTCATCCCTGAGCCACCTCCAGGCCCAGGTCCCAGGTGCGGGTTGGGACAGCAGGGAAGTCAGGTGGAGTAAGGAGGAACCACGGTTCCCAGGGGCCTGCAGCCCTTCAGCCCCCCGAGGCAGGGCTCAGCTGGGCCTCCCAGAGGCCCTCCCTGAGGAGGCTGCCCCACTCAGGGTCTGGGCTGGACCCCTCAGGCCTGGTTTCTAGTACCTGGCCAGGCCTTTGGGCGGCTCCCAGGAAGTCCAGTGCAGAGGTGAACGTGCAGGAGTTCTGGAGGGTTCTGCAGTGGCTGGCCACACCCCTGCACCCACTAATAGACCAGGATCCACCCACAACCCTTTCCCACCACCCCAAGACACTTCATGGCAGGGCTGTGTTCGCCCCGCTTTCTAAAGGGGAAACCGAGGCAGGCACCAGCGTGCAACGACTACCTTGGTCACCCTGGCAGGAAGGAGGAGGGCTGGTGAGGAGGGGGATGTGGCCTCCCAGCACTCATGGGCGCGGGGCGCTACTGTGCAGGTTCAGGCGGGGCGGGCTCTGGGGTGGAACCGGGGCGGGCGCCAGAGCCTCCCTGGGCCCCGCGGCAGCCCGGGCGGGCAGCTTTAATTACCGCTCGCTGGGCCCATTGAGCCTCGTGCTAATCCGGGCCGCCACCGCGGGCAGCCCAGGCGGGTGTCCCCTCCCCCTGCGGCCCGGGCACGGGGTCCCCGGGTTCTCACGTCCCGCCGGCCCCAATTAAAGCGAGCTCGGCGGGGCCGCTGCTGTGCTAATGAGCTCTGTAGGCCTCTGGGCTCTGTGCCGGGGGTGCAGAGCGGGTGGGGGTGGAGCTGGCTCTGAGAGGGTGACTTGGGACCATTCCTGGGAAAAAGCCCCAAAGACTCCCCCACTCTGTGCCCACCCCCCAGGAGAAGCACCTGATGGGAGAAAGGCTGGCACAGTGCAAAGCCCTACCAGGGGTCTGCAGGACTCGCCCCCAGAAGTCAGGACACCCACCATCGGGCAGGGGTGGGGGAGGACGGCTTCCAAGAGGGCAGTGTAGCCAGGTGGGGGGCACCGGGCTCGGGGTTGGGTGGAGTCTGCCCACTGTCTCAGCTCCCTGAGGGCTTCCTCTCCTCCGGACACTGGTGGTCGCGGGCATTGGTGGCCTGGGGACAAAGGCCATGCTGGTGCATGTTCTGGCATGCACCTGAGGCTTGACTCCTGTGGGACACAGACACTAGGAGGGGCCCCTGGGCTTTTCACTCGGAGGAAACCTAACCCCAACCCTGACCCTGGGACCTGAGAGGCAAAGGGCAAGTGAGGGCTGAGGTCTGTACGGCCCAGGGCTCCAGGCTCTGCAGCTCTGGGTAGCAGAGGAGGCAGGGGAGCAGGACCAAACACGTCTCAGGCCCACCAGGGGTGCCCGGCCTCAGACTGCACTGCACGGGGCAAACTTGTGAGGTCCCTGGGGGCTCTGTGGGTTTGCAAACCTCTCCCCACCCAGGGCCTTCAGGTCACTCTGGAGCTGTGACCTGACCAAAGACTTGGGCTCAGGCTTGAGGCCTGGCCATGGCGATGGGGGGCTATGGTGACGAGGAGGCCCATGGCGATAGGAGGACCTATGTCAATGGGGTGGTGGCACAGCACACAGGACTCACCAGAGTGAGAAACTGGAGGGTCCCGGGAGGGTCCCTGGCCAGACTGCGTGCCCGAAGGCCATGAGGACAGCGGGTGTGGGCTGGGCAGGGGCTCTCTGTCTCGGGTGGCACGTCACTGCCGGGAGCACCCCCTCTACTCGCCTGGCCTGGTATGCTGTATGCAGCCTGGGAGTGGCCACCCCTCTCTGGGTCCAGTTGCCTGTCTGGAGGCCAGGCTGGGTGTGTGAGGACCCTGCGGGGGCTGGAAGTGTGGGCCAGGACCCCTCCTCCCCCACCCCAGCCGGCCCGATGCTGGGGCTCGCGGTTTTGCTGGGGCCTCCGGGTCTGGCTTGTGGCGCAGCCCCGCCCCCGCCCTCCAGTTCTGCACCGCAGCTCGGGGCCCCAGACTCCGAAGGGGGGTGAACGGGGGCCTTGGCAGGCAGAGGCCCCAGCTCAGCCCACAGAGGCCCAGAGAGGAGCCACTGGCAGTCTACGGGGGGCTCGGGGCAGGCATGGGGAGGGGCTGGGAGCACGCTGGGCCTCGGCTTCCTGGTGCCAGCAACTTGTGTCCTGATCCCTAACCTTTCCGACCTGACCGCTTGCAGGGGGGCCTGGGGCCTGCTCAGCAGGGCACTACCAGGGACTCTGCCCCGGCCCCTCTGTGCACACAGACACACGGGCACACAGGCACACGTGAGCACATGCCTGCGGGTGTGGGGCACACCCATGAATACATGGCCCCTGGGCAAACATAGGCCCCAGCCCTGGGAGGGGTCCCTGGGAGGGGCCCCGGGTCTGGTCCCTGGCAGGGTCTGGGCTCAGTGGGTGTTTGTGGTGCCTGGCAGCGGTGGAGGCCGAGAGTGTGCAAAGCAGCCTGCAAGCTGTGTGATGGCGGCCCAGTTTATTGGGGGAACCCAAGCCTCCGAGGCGGGGGGTCGGGGTGACTGTGACCAGCCACCTCTCAGACTGGACCACAGGGATAGGGACTTTACCCAAAGCCAGCTCTATGCCATGCAGAAGCGTGGTTACCCACACACTTGTGTCCAAAGACCCAGAGATGGTGCGGACCTAGGGACAGGTCAGTCCCTCCCCACCACCCCATCTCAAAGCATGGGAAACTCAGGCTACTGTCAGGGGGCACTTATGGCACCACCAAAAGATGCTTGTGGCCCTCTCTTCCCACGGCTGGGCAGATGGCCAAGAGTCAGGCAGGAGCTGGGGGATCTGGGGAGTTGGCCCAGGCCTCCACCTCCTTCCCCCACGTCCTCTCTGGCCACCTTGTTTGACTGGGGGATGAGGGAGGGGCCGGTTGTGTCCAAGGTGGCTTGTGTCCTGGAGAGGAAGGGACCCCTTGGGTCCCCCAAGCCTGCTCCACTCCCACCCCATGCCCCTCCCTCTGGGCCCCCTGATGGAAGGCAGGAAGGGGAGGTTATCACTTCCAACTGGCCCTCCCCTGGGCCCTGGCCCACCATGCCCACCTCTCTGCCTGGCTCGAGCCAGTGCCAGCCCTTGTTCCCTGGACAGCCGGTGAGCGCTGGAGGTGTTATCTCTGACAGGAGCAGAATGGACTCGTCGCGCCCGAAGCAGGTGTCGGCGCCTGGGATGGGGCCAACTGGAAATCCTACCCTGCTCACCACCCCCCACCCGCTGCAAACCTGGCGGGGCCGTCCCAGGAGACGCAGAGATTAGCACGACTCTTGTCCCTGTCCCTCCCCAGCTGATCTGCCCCAGATATGGGCAGGGGCCGGAATGGTGGGGCCGGAGCCGCCTCCAGAGAGAGATGGGCTCTCGAGGTTGGGTCAGGGCCGAGCAGGGCAGCTGGTTCTCTGGTGTTGGTCTCCCATTTGCCGGGTGGGGCCCACCCCTGCAGCATCTGAGTCTGTGGAGGCCCAATCTCAGATCCCAGCTCCCTTCCTGCTCAGATGGCAGCGAGATCTGGGTGAGGGTGGGGGCCGAGAGGGAGGCACGTTCGGGCTGGCTCACCCAGCTGTTCTCACACCGGCCTCCCTCTGGGCATGCGGGCCCAGACCATCCCCAGGGGCTGTCTGTGAGCTGCCAGCTCTGATTGGCTGCTGGCCTCTGCCCGCCACGGCCTCTACCCAGGGTCCTCAGGTCCCACCTCCCACCCCCGCTGCCCGCACTGGCCATGCACTTCTGCTCTGAGACCCGACTCAGCTGTGGCCCTCTCTGGGAAGCCCTTTTAAGCCCTCCACCCCAGGCCTCAGCCCCACCTCCCCTCCTGTTCTCATTGCCTGAGATGGGCCCTGTTGGCCCAGATGGAGGCTCCCCTCTGCCCCGTGGCTCTGTGCATAGGGGTGCGGGCAGCTGCCGGACCACAGCCCATGTCTGTTCTGACCCCTCATGGCTCAGTGTGGGTGATGGGGTGGTAGGCCCTGGGACAGGGGTGAGGGGATCTGAGGAGGGCATCTTCCAGCAGGCACAAATCCCAGCAGGTGCTCAGCTCTGGCCTGGGACGGTGGCTCTGGGCTCTAGGGCTCCTAAACTCACTGCTGGGCTTGTGGCCCTCTCCTCCGGGCCTGTTCTCCATGCCTAGGTGGACAGCCCCCAGGCCCTGCGCGATCCTCTGGTGCGGCTCAGCCGAGCCCCCAGCCTCACCTGTCGCTGGGAAGGCAGCTTCAACTTCTTCCTGGCCTTCCTGCCTCCATTCTCCTCCATTCAGCCTGGGCTGCTTCCTGAACCCCACGTCCTGATGGTGGCACACTTCCCTCGGAGAGAGGCCCCCCGGGCCATGTCCTGGCTCATGGGAAGGATGGGGGTGTTGGGTGTGCCTGTGACGGAGGTTTTTGACACGGTTGTGTGAGGCTCTGCTGGAGCTGTTCTGCAGCCCCGTGTCCAACTCCAGACCTTGGGGATTTACCCGAAGCCCCCAGGCTATCCACCTGCCTGCCCTTTCCTCCCTATCCAGCCATGTGCACATGGGGGCCTCACCAAAGCAGCTGAAGCTGCAAGAACATCGAGCCTACAAGGCCACAGCGGCCTCAGCCAGGCTACATCTCCCAGACTCATCCCTGGGCTCAGCGCAGCCTCTTGGCCAGGAGTCCGAACTGTGAGCCCCACTGGCCACTATGGGCCCTTTCCAGCCATGAGGGAACCCAGGCCCCAGAAGGAGGATGGGGTTCTCATTCTGCCCAGAAGAGGCTCAGGGTGGGCCGATATTCTCAAGAACCCCACCCTACCTGGGCCGCCTACAGACACTGGCCTGAGCGCATCAGACGGACAGAGCTTTGGTTTTAGGAAGATGCCTCTTGGGCCAAGTCGGAGGATGGGGCTGAGGTTGCCAGTGCTGTCGGGGTGGGCCACAGGGTCAGGGCAGAGGCTGTGGCCCTGGGGTGTCAGGCTATGTGAAGGCAGGCCACTTCTGAGCAGGGGGGGACCTTGGTGGTCCGTGGCCCAGTGTGGGGGCCTGGAGGGTAGTATTCACAGCAGAATAGGATGGCCTGGGACCCAACGTAGGTCACCCAAGGCACAGGGATGCCCCTCCCACTGCAGTCCAAGGGAGCATTGGTGCATGGGATGAGTAGACCCCACATGGGCAGGTTGCCCCCTGAGGTCCTTGGAGGGGTAGACCTCCAGACAAAGGCTGAGGACCAAGTGCAATATCCCCAGAGGGAGCTGCCCTTTGTGGCTTAATTAGGAGCTCCTGGGCACCAGCAGGCCGGCCCGAGGGGGCCTCTGACATGGTGGCTCACACCTGCAATCCCAGGACTTTGGAAGGCTGAGGCAGGAGGATCACTTGAGGCCAGGAGTTCAAGACCAGCCTGGGCAACATAGCAAGACCCTATCTTTTTTTTTGAGATGGAGTTTTGCTCTTGTTGCCCAGGCTGGAGTGCAATGGCACGATCTCGGCTCACTGCAACCTCTGCCTCCCAGGTTCAAGTGATTCTCCTGCCTCAGCCTCCCGAGTAGCTGGGATTACAGGTGCACACCACCATGCCCGGCTAATTTTTGTATTTTTAGTAGAGACAGGGTTTCACCATGGCCAGGCTGGTCTTGAACTCCTGACCTCAGGTGATCTGCCTGCCTCAGCCTCCCAGAGTACTGGGATTACAGGCATGAGCTTCCGTGCCCAGCCAAGACCCTATCTCTAAAATAAATAAATAACCCAGGGGACCTCTGAGCTCTGCCCATTCCCATAGCCGCCAGCACTCCCTGTGGGGCAGCCCCACCTGCAGATCTGGGGTCCCATGCGCCCTGCACCTCACATCCTGGACAGTGGGGCTCCCTCCTCACCCTCAACCTGCTCCTCCCATGGTGTCCCCAAGCTTCCTGCCCTCACTGCCACCCTTGCTTCAGAGACCACAGTCACAGTAGCTGAGAACCAGCCAGGAGTCTGGCTGCCCTGAGCCAGCCCACAAAGCCCATTGGCCGTGGATGAGCGGACATTGGACAAACAGCCACAGGCCCCATGCTCCAGCTGGGCAGGCCAGGCCACTGACATGCCCACGGCTGTGTCTCCGCGGCCCATGAATGGACCGTGTCTGTCTGGGCAGGCGCCGGGGGCTGGCAGGAGCAGCGCCTGGGACACAGAGGACAGTGCTGGGTCAGCGCTGCTCGGCTGCCCCGGGCAGGCAGAAACCTCCCACCCCTTCCCGACCCCCACTGGGCCAAGGGACCAGGACCTAGCAGCAGGTCTCACCACACACGCCTGGGGCTGTCCGCTGTGCTTCAGGCCTCCAACTGCAGCAGGCCTCCACCAGGAAGTCCTCCAGGAAAAAGACAGTCCCTGCCTGCCAGCTCCATCAGGCCCAGGCAGCCCCAGGCTCTGCGTGAGTCAGTGTGCAAGTGCAGAGGCCAGGGCTCTCTGCCTCGAGGGAGTTCAGACTGTGGTGTGCATGGGGAGGATGGCAGTGAGGGGCAGGAGGGCTCAACCCGAGTCCTTCCCCTTTTCATAAATGTGCCTCCGCCCCAACAGCGGATCAGTCAGCAAACCCATGTGGTTGGGCCTTCCAGCCACACCTGGCTCTAATGCTTCCTGCCCTCCCAGCCACCACCTGCTCAGATCGAGGTGGTCTCCTCTCGCTGGGACCCGTACCCAGCTCCCCTGGCATCAGAGCCCCCATCCAGCAAACAATCTTTTGAAAACCTTATGTAGGTCACATGCCTCCTCCATCAGCCGCCTGAGCCCCCATTTCACTCCAATAAAAGTCTCAATGGCGGCTCACAGTGGCCTCCTCCCCTGTCCCAGGGGCCACTCGGCTGCGAGCCCGCCCTGCTGTCCTCAACCTCGACCCTGGCCTCAGGGCTCTTGCAAGCTGTACCCTGGGCCCGGGTGATGCAGGGACCTGGCCACAGCCCATTCACTGGGTGTCTCTCAGCCCCACCCTCACTGGCCACTGTGCAGGTGGCCTGGGCCTGGCTGGCCACGTGAGCACAGCACTGCCCGCGCTAGGATGGCATCCATTATTCACCCACAGCGCTCGTCCAGGCTGGGCTGGGCTCATGTCTGCTCACGGGCATCTGCCACTCCTGGAGGGCACATAGCTTGCTGGGCCGGGTGGGCGACAGAGCCTGCGGTCCGCTCCTTGGGCCTCCGGCCCAGCCCCCCCATCCCACAAACACACACACCAGACTCTCCCCAAACACGAATCCATTTCCATTTGTGCTATTGATTGTCTGCGCGGACAAAGGCCCCTTTCAGACATGTCAGAGGTTCAGCAAATAAATAAATGAATGAAGTCCTGGCGGAGGAAGGGGTATGGGATGGGCTGGGGGGCGGCTGGCACCTCCTGTAGGTGGCCCGGCCCTCAGAGGGTGCCTGAGCTGGGCAAATGGCCCAGGGCACCAAGGAATGGGCCCCAACCTAGGGGGCTGGAGTTGTGTTTGGTGGGGTTTAGGGTGTAAGAATGGGAATTGGGGGTTTTACATGCTCCTGCAAAGGTGAGGCAGGCTCTGCGTGGAGTTGGGGTACCCGTTGACACACCCTGGCCGCTGTGGGAGGACAGACTCAGAGGCCCCAGGCCCGGACTGGGCAACAGTATGGTGGCAGGTCCCTGTGTGTCCTCAAAAGCTGGGTACATCCCCACATGCCCCTTCCTAGGGTTTCTGCTTGGACTCAGACCCAGGGACCACCCTTAGTCCAGGGAAGTAACCCACCTGGTGCATCTGAGCTCCACAGAGTGTGAGCTGGAATGGGGACCCCCATGAGCTGCCTTCCAGGGTGGGAGTCTAGAGCTTCACCTCTCTTCCTGGGACCCTCCAACTCCACAAGGCTGGAGCTCAGGGGGACACGTGCCCCAGGAGGCTCCTCCCAGCCCTGCCTGGGTCAGACCCCCTGAGAGCTCTGTGCTACCCCCAGCCTGGGCCTGAGGATGCCTTAGGGGTGGGCCCAGCATCCCACCCCAGCCTCTTCCACCAAGGGGGTCGGGGTACCCAGAAACCTTGAGTGCAGCCCTGAGCTCCTTCTGCTCCAGCCCCCATCCTGGGCTCCTGATGGCTGGAGTGAGGCCCTTGGGAGGGTGAGGGCTGCTCTTCACAGATGGGCGTGGCCCAGCTCTTCTTGGAGACAGCAGGCCATGGGTGGGGCTCCCCAGGCAGGTCCTAGCCCAGGCAGGGACCATGTAGGAGCTATCCATCATCCTTCCCCCCAGGGCAGAAAGGGCCAGAAAGAATCTGAGCTGGCAGCCGGAAAAGGGGGCTGGCCAGATCCAGGAGGACTTCCTGGAAGAGGGGGCTAAGGAAAAGGAATGCAGAGGTGGCTGGGCCTCATGGGAGCTGGGCTGGCCAGCTGCTGGATTGGCCACTCCAGTCCTGCCTGGCCAAGCCCCCAGGGCAGCGCTGACTCCTGGCCATTCTGGGGACAACAATAGCCGGCATTTAAATTCCAATTGAGTCGGCCAGAGTGGCCGCGGGCGTGAGAACGGGAGCCCCCACCCCCAGCCAGAGCCCCGCCCGCCACATTCCTGCCTCCCCGGAGATGGCCGTGGCCAGGGCCGTCGCCAGGGGGCCGGGAATGCAGCGCTCAATGGCTTGGGACAAGGGCCCATTGAGCAGTGACGGCCAGGATTGAGCCATCAGCGCCCCCCACTCGGGACCCCTCCTCTGTCCCTGCCCCTCCCCCCAGCGTTACTGGTGTCAGCTGCTCCAGGGACCCTGCTGATACCCTCCTGGGCTGGGCCCTGAGAATGCGTGGGCCTGGGGTCCATCTGACTGGCCGCTGGCCTCCACCTCACGTGCCCTCGCCACCTGGCAGCAAAGGGGCCTCCCGCCTCACGCCTCTCTTCTGCCTGAAGCCCCTGGGGATTCCCAATGTCCACCGGCATCAGAGGCCATGCTTCTCCAGCCACAGGGCCAGCTGCCCGCCACCTCCCTTGCACTGCTTGGTCCTCCCCTGGCCCGCCCCTGTTCTGTGGCACCCAAGAGGCCTTGCCTGGCCATCGCCCACTCTTGCCAGCCCCAGATGAAGGGACCCTTTTCCCTGCTCTGTCCAGCATCTGTCTCGAGCCTGGCACTCAGGGACACCTACCGTATTTGAGGGGTCCAGGTTTTCATGCAGCGTGGCCCCCAGGACCTCAGGGCATGGTGACCTCAAGCCAGCCTGTTGGAAGCAAGGGTGAAGGAGGCGTGGCAGTGGCCCCTTGCCCTGACCCTGCTCGAGCCCCGTGGTTGGAGGCCCATGCCAAGAGGCCAGCCCAGGCCACCGAGCCTGCATCCTACCTCGTGCCTGGGTCTCCCTCTCTCCTCAGCTCTGTGATGCCTGCCTCAAACCAGGGCCCATCAGTGTCCTTCCCCCACCCAGACAGGGTCCCGCCAGCCCCGAGCATGTCCAGCCCAGCATGCTTTGCTCAGGGCCAGCCCAGCATGCTTTGCTCAGTCCTCGCACTGTGTCTGCACTGTGTCTGGGCACAGTCAGGGCAGGAGCGTGTCAGGAGGACCAGGGAGCCTGGCCTGGCATAGGGCAGTCCCCGGGCTGGCGGGTGACATGAGGCACAAAGGCCTCAGCTGCTGGGGCCTCACTTGGGAGAGAGCTTGGAGCTGGGGGAGGCTGGCACCATGCCCAGGGGACAGGTGTTGAGGGGCCCACCTGAACATCTTCTTCTACTCTGCCTGGGAAAGGAGCTCTTGCCCCCATCCCCTGACCACCTGGATGGAGGGTTCCCTGGCGTGGGGAGAAGGGGGCATCCATGGCTGTAATGGGTGGTCTGCCAGGCCTGCCACCTCCCCTGGCGAGTGGCAGGACCCCAGACAGGCCCAGCGATGGGCCGAGGGGCAGGTCCTGGGCTTCCGAGTGCTCCCAGGGAATGGGGGCCGGGGCTCCAGGCAGCATCAGCCCCTGGGCTCAGCCTGACCACCCTCATGCTCAGGACCTGGCCCAAGCGCTGCTCGGAGATCCCTGGGGCAGGGCCCCATGCAGGGCTGACGCACCAGCCTCCCTGCACAAAGTGCCCAAGGGCCCCACCTCCAGCCTGGGCCACCATGTGGCCTTCGAGGGCAGGGCCATGGCCTATGGCCCAGATGAGCCCCCAGGGCTGGGAGCAGCCCCAGACACCCAGGAGGTGCTCGCTGGGTGGCTGGGATTGAATGAATTAGTGAAGAGCGAAGGGCCAACGCCTGATTCACAAGAGTCCTGTGAGGGCTGGTGGCCTGCAGCACAGGCCTCTGAGGTCCCCAAGCCTGACCCTCGCTGCCCTGGGGTTCGGGAAACACAAGCCTGGAGCAGGGCCCTCTGCTGGCCTCAGTCTCCACACCTCATCGGCTGGGTTGGGGGTGGGGCAGGGCCCATGGCCAGGCCCCAGGGTCAAGGACAGCTACAGGAGGTTCCTCTGGGAACTGCCTGCCCCTCGGGGGCCCAGCTGGCCTCGGTCCTGCTCTGGTCCAGGCCCAGGTCCTGCCCTGGGAGCTCACGTGCCCCGAGGGGCTGCCCACCTTTCAGCCTCCTCCCCAAATCCATGGGGTCATCTGATGCCTCCAGGCCTTTGTGGAGGCTCTGCCTGTGGTCAGGAGGCCCACACCTGGTGGGTAGGATTTGAGAGTAGATGGGGAGGGCTGAATAGCCCTGAGGGGTGAGGTAGGCCTGTGGGGAGAGGATGCGGAAAGGAAGTGTGCACCAGCAGGTCTGGGGAGCGAGGTGGTCAGAGAGGTTGTTGGGAAGCCCTAGCTGTGCTGAGCTGGCCAGAAGCCCGGGAGCTGTAAGAGTCCCGAGCAGGTGGAAGGCTGAGGTGGAAGAATTGCTTGAACCTGGGAGGCAGAGGTTGCAGTGAGCCAAGATCGTAGCACTGCACTCCAGCCTGGGCAACAGAGTGAGACTCCGTCTCAAAAAAAAGAGTCCCGCGCAGGAAGGGGACTGAGCCAACCCGGGTTTCCATGGGCCCTAGACGGTCTGGGAGAAGGGACTGAGGAACAGGCGTCATGGTGAGGCTGTGAGAGGGTGCTCAGATGTCCCGTGTGGGCGGCAGGGCCTGGACCTCAAGTGCGCTTTGAAAAAAACACAGCTCCAGCAGCGCCGTGAGCAGGGCTGGACCCACCACAGCCTCCCCTCATTCCCTGGGGCCTGGGCTGTGCCAGCTCCTCCAGGCCCAAGTGGCCCTGCTCAGTGTCTCTCAGCTCTGGGGTCCCTTGGCAGGCGTGGTGTCCAGCCCAGAGCCGGTTATGAGCCCATCGTGGCTCTGCCCTCTCCACTGCTCCAAGACACATCTGCAGGGTGGGGGCCAGAGTCTCAGCCCTGGGAGGGGGAACATGGGCACAGATGCCAAGGGTGGGGGCCGAGCCCTCTGTCAGCCCACAGAATCCCGCTGCATTGCTCTCTGCTGAGCATGGGGCACCTTCTTTCTCTCTTTGCCCTGCCTGCCGGGCAGCTCAGACCAAGCCAAGGGCCCAAGGGCGGTAATTCTCTCTCCCCAGGTTCTGCAGTGTTTTTATTTTCTGGGCCTAAATAAATCTGATATATAGGGCCAGGGGCGGTGGCTCACACCCGTAACCCCAGCACTTTGGGAGGCTGAGGAGGGCGGATCACGAGGTCAAGAGATCGAGACCATCCTGGCTAACACGGTGAAACCCCATCTCTGCTAAAAATACAAAACATAAGCCGGGCGTGGTGGTGGGCACCTGTAGTCCCAGCTACTCAGGAGGCTGAGGCAGGAGAATGGCGTGAACTTGGGAGGCGGAGCTTGCAGTGAGCCGAGATCGCGCCACTGCATTCCATCCTGGGCAACAGTGAGAGACTCCATCTTAAAAAAAAAAAATTACAATAAATAAATCTGATGTATAAAAGCTGTGTCTTCTCAGAAGCTTAAAGCTCCAGCTGGGCATGGTGGCTCATGCCTATAATCCCAGCACTTTGGGAGGCCAAGATGGGCAGACTGCTTGAGCTCAGGAGTTCAAGACCAGCCCGGGCAACATAGCAAAACCTCGTCTCTAAAAAAAATACAAAAATTGGCCGGGCGCGGTGGCTCACGCCTGTAATCCCAGCACTTTGGGAGGCTGAGCTGGGTGGATCACAAGGTCAGGAGATCGAGACCATCCTGGCTAACACGGTGAAAACCCATCTCTACTAAAAATACAAAAAATTAGCCGGGCCTGGTGGCGGGTGCCTGTAGTCCCAGCTACTCGGGAGGCTGAGGCAGGAGAATGGCGTGAACCCGGGAGGCGGAGCTGGCAGTGAGCCGAGATGCACTCCAGCCTGGGCGACAGAGGAAGACTCCATCTCAAAAAGAAAAACAAAAAAAACAAAAATTAGCTGGGTGTGGTGGTGCTCGCTTGTAGTTCCAGCTACTTGGGAGGCTGAGGAGGAAGGATGGCTTGAGCCTCAGAGGCGGAGGCTGCAGTGAGCCGAGATCGCGCCACTGCACTCCAGCCTGGGCGACACAGCCAGACCCTGTCTCGAGAAAAAAGTAAAAAAAGAAAAAAAACAGGAAGCATAAAGCTCCACTGTGCCGAAGTTGTGCAGGGTACACGTCTCTCTGTTCCCAGCCCCGAGGCCTGGATAGTATGAGAGGATCCAGCCACCCTACCCCAGTGCAGCCCTAGCCCCAGCAGAGCCACCACCCAGACCTGCAGCCCCGGGCTGGACTGGGGGTGGGGCAGCCCTGAGCTGGGCCCATGCTGTTCACAGGAACCAGCTGTCTGCTGTTCGACTGGAGTCCTGTCTCTCACAGAGTCCCCGGTCAAGCCTGGGTGCCCTCTACTGCCCGTGAGCCACACAGCAGGTCCGGGGGCTTCCTGCCGCCCCTCCTGAGCATGCAACCCCACAGGCGTGCCCGCCTGGGCAGCTGCTTCAGGGTCTGGGGGCAGCCCGAGGCGACGCCCAAGCAATAGCGGCCCAGCGCCTTCCAGAAGTCTCCAGACACTGAGGCCTCTCCTTGCAGGCCTGGTCGCAGCTTTATTGCCCCCACTCTATGGATGACTGCATGGGTGAGCCCACGGCCATGCAGGGAGCCCGGTCCTCCGGGCTGGGACCGGCCTTGAGATGGGATGCATGGCCAGGAGGCGGGCGATGGCCGAGGTGAGGGGCTCAGGGAGGGGGCTGGTCATGGCATTCAGAGCCAGGTTATGATGGGGCCTGGCCATTGACGACAGACGGGGTGATGACAGCGGGGCCCCAGGATGGAGCCTGCAGTCCACGACATTCAGAGCAGAGCATGGGGCATGCAGGAAAGGGGGCCAGAGGACCTGCTGGGTCTTTCCGGGTGTATGGTGCCAGCAGGTGTCCAGCGCCTCCAGCCCCTTGTCTGAGAGCAATGGAGACAGGTGGGGGGGGGGGGTGCAGGGCGTCTGGGTAGAACCTGAACAGAGAGGCCCTGGGGAACAGGCTGGCTGTCGAGTCTCCACCTGCCCAAGCCAATTTCTGGCACTACCAGTTCTGTGAGCTCCACAGTAGCAAGCAGTGGGGTCCTATAAGCTCTCTGGGCGGAGTGCCATGTCTGCACCCCTCACGGGCCTGCATGCACAAGCCGTGCAACTTGAGTCCAGGGCATCCTTAGGAGAGGGTGTGTGGGGCCGCCCTGGGGGTCCTGCCATGCTGTGGTGGGGTCACAATGTCAACGTTGCAGCGGGGGGAGGTCCAGGCACAGGACCATTTTGTCTCGGGGGAGCTAAGGGTCTTCCAGCAGTAAGGGGTGGGTGGGCAGGGGCAGGGATGGGGGCGGGATGGGGGCGGGATGGGGGTGGGATGGGGGTGGGATGGGGGGTCTCTTTGAGACTCACCAGCCCCTGGTTTTGGAGATTTGCCCGTCCCCCTGCTCTTCAGTGGGGTGGATCTGGGAGGACCGCAGAGCCAGCAGCAGCTGGTGGACCGACCCTGCCCAGCAGGTGCACAGATTGCCCCAAGGCAGGGCTGGAAGCCCAGGCAAGCCCAGGCCTCTGTGGGGCCAGGGAGGAAGTGGGGAATGAAGAAACTCTGTGGAGGGAGGTGCCTGCCCTTGGACCCTTGGCTTGGTCTGAGCTTCCTGGCAGCCAGGGCAAAGAGAGAAAGAAGGTGCCCCATGCTCAGGAGAGAGTGGTGCAGCAGGGTTCGGTGGGCAGACGGCTCAGCCTCTACCCTTGGCACCCAGGATGGGGGTCACCTGCAGCCCGTCCCTCTCTTCAGTCCCTGCCCTCCAGGAACCAGGTTAGAGGCTGGGCAGGGGTATGGGGCCCAGGGCTTCAGTCCTGAGGTGCCCGTGACAGTGTCCTGCAGTTCCTGCACCGCCAGGAGGATGAGCCTCGAGGGCTAATGAGCCCCACACGGCCGGGCCAGCCTCAAGGCCAAGGCACAGCTCTTGCGGAACCCTGGCAGCTTCTCTGAGGCAGCCATGCGGAAGATGGGGGTGTGTCCTGGTGCAGCAAGCTGGGGGTTGCTTGGGAGGCAGGACGAGCTTGACCCAAGGGAGGGTGCTTGATGGGCAGTCCTGAGGTGCTCAGCCAGGAAGCGACTATGATTGATTTGCTGTGCACCCAGGGCAGGGGCTGTCCTCCCGAAGCTGAGCTTCTTCACCTGTCTTCTGACTCACTTATCTCCCCGAGCCCCGGAGATACAAGGATCACAGGCAGGGGCCTTCTCCTGAGCTGGCCAGAGCTGGGCAGGACACTTGGGGCACGCAGCTTTTGTGGGCTAGCCTGGAAACTCGGCTATCCTGGACACCACACTGGCAACAGGTTGTCTGGAGCCAGGTCGGGGCATGTGGGGCCTGAGCCAAGGCTGTCAGCTGAAGCCTCTGACATTACTTGTGTCCCTAGGACAATCACACGTGAGAGCACATGCACACGTGACCATGTGAGCACACAGGCACGGGTTCGGGCCCCAGGCTGTGCTGCCACCTGAAGCCCCTGCCCTGGCTGTGGATGCCCATTTGGCTGGGCACAGCAAGGCGGCGGCCTTGGCACAGGGAGCCTGCCCAGCCTTGCTCTGACCCAGTTTTCCATGCCCAGGCAGGCGGGTGGCACTGGTGTAGTGGCTCCCAGAGCTTCTCTTTGGCAACACCAATCCCCTGGGCCCAAAGCAGCTCCACAGGGGCACCTGGATGGCTCCATGTGCCCTGGGCATGTCCTCTGAGAGGGTGGGTGCCCCCCTGGGATGTGGCCACCCAGCCCCAGCGGTTTCACACCCTAGAACCAGTGCCTTCTGCCTGTGGTCCCTAGGCACACAGCTGCCGCTGCCTGAATGCGCTCTGCCTGCCCTGCCTTCTGCCTCCAGATGAACGGACCTGTCATCCAGGGAGCGATCCCTGTGGCCCTCCACTCTAGACCTGCAGGCTGCTTCCTTGCCCACTCCTGGGGGTCAGTCATGGCCTGGCTGTAGACCAGATCCTTGAGGGGTGAATCTGGGGATAAGCCTCAGAGCCACAGGGCCTGGGCAGGCCTCAGAAGGCATCCCAGAGAAGGGAGGGTGGAAGGTCCCCATGGGCAGGGAGGCGCAGGGAGCAAAGGCTGCTGGGAGCAGGGAGGGGAGCTGGGCGGGCGGAAGGGCGGCCGTGGGAAGCCAGCCCTGGCCTGGCTGGCCTGATAAGCTGCCCCTTTGATCCACACTGAGGCAACACAGACCCCCATCCTGAGATAACCCCGGGCCTGGGACCCAAGGCTCTGGTCAACCCGCCCTCCCGAGTGTGCGCTGCCCTGCCCCTCCGGCCCTGACAGTGACCGGTCCTTGCTCAGCTGCAAGCTGGGTGGGTGCAGTCTGAGCCCAGGCCTGGCGGGCACTCCATGTGCCCCCACCCCAGGACCTGCTGGTCCTCACCCTGCCTTCAAAGCCTCCCCAGCCCCAGCCTCTGTGTCCAGCTCTCTGTCCCCTTTGGTTGGGAAGGGGCACCTCCCCCGCCCCCCAGTTCCCATCCCCTTCACTGTGCCCCTGGGAGGCCCCTGAGGCCCTCACTCCCCAGCTGGGGCTCAGCAGGTTTGAGGCCCTTTGGGCAGCCCTGTCTGACCAGGGCTATAGTGTGGCACAGGTGTGGGCACAGGTGTGGCATAGGCGTGGGCACCAGCTATGTGTGGCTTGGGTGCACACTGCGTAGGCACCTTCTCCCGGGCGCCTGCCTCTGCCTGGCGCCGGTCAGCACCCCCATGCCCTCGGTCCCTCCCCTGCCCAGGTCAGTGGACAATGAAGCTGTCAGCAGACTGGGGCCGGGGGAGGCAGGCAGGCGTGGCGGGGAAGGGAGGCCTCAGGAGGCGAAGATGTCTCTATTAGGGGCTGCAGACCTTGCTTCCACTGTCCTGCCCAGCCCTGGGGACTCCGAGAGCTGGAGGCAGAGGTGGCCCCAAGCTTGGGGCAGAAAGGGTCGTCTTGTCCATCAGGGCCCCAGTCAGCCTTGGGACTGGGTCCCTGGAAAGGCAGGCCCATAGATGGAGGAGCCCAGAGCGTGGGGCTGGCCACAGGTGGTCAGGGAGGGTGGAAGCGTGGCTGGGAGCTGCACAGGGATGAGGTGTCGACGGCGCTGACATCCCAGCCCTGCCAGCCTCCTAAGGCACCCACGGCCCACATCTCCCTGCTGAGCGGAAGCACTGGGGGACGCTCTACCCAGTGCCTCAGCAGACCCTCAGCCAACGGCTGTTAGAATATACCTCGTGTGAGGTGCGTCACGATACCCAGCTGTAAAATGGGGCAACCCTGTGGCTTCAACAGACTCCCCTTCCCAGTGCCTGCGGCTGAGCTGGAGTGGCAGGAGGGCTTCTGTGGGAGCAGGTGGCAGGAAGCATAAGGGCTGGGGGACCTGCAGAAGCTCCGTACCCCCGGGAGGCTGGGGCCAGAGCAGGCTTCTTGCAGGGGCGCTGGTTTCGGCCCTCACCCTGACTGCCCTGCCGGATCCGGGCAGACGAGGCCCCACGCACACCGCAGCAAGGGGCCCAAGACGCCAGCCAGGCCCTCACCTTGGCAAGAGGTGGCTTCTGTTTCTGACAGGTCAACAGCTGGGCTAGGGGAGGTCTCCAGGGACCAGCCACGCCCCACTTCCTGAGGGCTGGAGAGGGCTGGGGAGGGTGGCCCAGGTCTGCGATCATCAGGGCCTGGCCAGGGCCTTCTTTCCCAGATTCCCCCAGAGCTGGAGTCCCCAGAGCCACGCCCCTTCCCTGGCATGCCCTGGCGCCCGGGCCATCTCCTCCTGGGCACTTGCGGAGGTTGCCCCTGCTCTCCCCACTGCCCTCTCAGCAGGCGTGAATAGAGTCCCTCATAGCTTGGGAGACTGAGGCCCCCAGCAGGTGCCTCTTACCCAAGACCTTGGAACTGGGCGAGGTCCTCCGGGCCCACCAGGACCCGCCTCAGACATCAGGCTTTGCACTTGCAGCCCGGAGCCTCCCGACCCCACTCCCAGGCCAAGGGCCTCTGGCCGCAGCCTCCGCCATCATCTGCCGGCTTCTGGGGCCGAGCATCAGGGCCCTGTGCCCCTGCTGAGCGTGCCGGGTGGGGGCCGGGCTGAAGGCTGCACCTGGAGGCAGGGCTCCCGAGGAAGCCGCCCAGGGGGTCAGAGCCAAACAGCTGCCTCCTCTAGTCAGCCCCATGCAGCCTTACGGGGGCAGCGCCCTGCAGTGGCTGCGGGTGGGGCCGGGTGGGGCAGGGCTGCCCTCCCTCATGCCGCTGGGCACCTGGCCTGGGGCAGGGGGCTCTGGCCCACTCTCGGGTCTCCCTAAATACTGTGGCGAACACCCCACCCTTCCCAAGCTCAGCTGAAACCTCCCTGGGGCAGGGCTGTCAGATCAGGCCACTGAGCGCCTCCTGCTGCCTGTGGCTCTGTGCCTCAGTTTCCCCACCTGTCAAGTGGGTGTTGGTGATGTGGCTGGCATGAAGTTTCTGTCAGGAGCCACCAGCACTCCGCACCTTGCCATCCACAGGTTCTCAGCCACACAGGGTGTGGGGTTGCCCCAAGCCAACCCATTTGTGGGGGTGGGGCCGTCCCCACACCCCGGCTGGGCTGGACGGGATCTCCAGCCTCTCGTGGGCAGCTGCCTGCTGGGCCCAGTTGGCCACTCTGGACTCTTGGGCCCTGGCCGGAAGCACGACTGACGTTGTCCATGGTTTGGGGACGGGCAGGCAGAGGGTGGCCAGGCGAGGCCCTGAGAAGGGGCTCTGGCCGAGGCTGGCCAGGTGACACCCGGAGTGGCGGGCAGGGCTGAGAGGAAGGGGCATCCTGAAGAGGGCGGAGGCCGCGGAGGGAGGAGGGTGTGACGTGGGGTTGGACCGGCGGCCCCGAGGCCTGGATTCCTAATTCAGCCGGAGCCTGTGGAGTCGGGGCTTGTTTATTCTTGGCAGGAAGGCTGGTGCTGGGGGGGCAGAAGTGGGGAGTGAAGCCTTTTCAAAAAATAATAATAATAAAAACGCTCATTTAGAAGGCTCCCAAGGCGTGCTGAACTCCAAAAGGGTCTTGGAAAAAATGCTGAGAGGGTTTAAGTGTAAATGGACCCAAAACACCATAATTAAATTTCCTTTAAATTTACCAGAGTTTGGGGTCAAAGAAAAAATAAAACTTAGGGAAAATACACTTGAGGTTTCAGGCAAATGCCAAGTGCTTAGGAAAATAGATTCTGAGCTGCTCAGCGGCTACCGGCCTGGCCCCCGCCATCCTGGGAGCTGCCCAGCCTTAACCCCTCCCTGGCCAGCCCTCCACTGCCCGCCCCACCCACCCCTGTGGGGGACCCCACCACCACCTCCTGCTGCTTCCGCACAGTTCGAGCCGCCCTCCTGTGCCAGACTCCAGGCAGGGAGCTGGGCCTCCCCCACTCCCAGGCTGGGGCAGGAGCCCAGGGGGAGCCTGAACATTCACCCCCGCCCCCATCTCTACAGCTCTCTCTTGTGTCTGCAGACAGCTCTGGTTTCCTTTCTTTGCTCATCTGGGAGCAGCCACATTTTCCAAACCAAAGTCAGAACTTGAGGTCTAGTGGTCTGAGTGAACCAAACGGTAAAAAGGCCAGAATGTTTGAACTGGGACTGTCCTGCCATATCCAAGACGACAGGCTCCCAGCAGCTCATGACTCACGGTGTTACCCTTTTTCCTCAGCCTGCCAGGAAGCTCAGAGCTAAAATTAAGGGTCTTGCTAGCTGCGTTGGCTTAGGGATTTTGGAATATTTTTTCTTCTTCTTCACGTTCTTTAAAATTTCATTTCTGTTATAATGAGCAAATCAAGGTTTGTTTTTTTATTTTAATACTTTTCAAATTTTGTGAGAATAAATTTAAAAGGCAAAGTCAGGCATGGTGGCACATGCCTGTATTTGGGAGGCTGAGACGGGAAGATTGTTTGAGCCCAGGAGTTCAAGACCAGCCTGGACAGCATAGTAAGACCCTGTCTCAAAAATAAAATAGAAGGCAGAAACTACCCATAAACTATAATAGCTATAGCCCCACTAACAGCCCAGTCCAGTTCAGCAGGGCTACCCAGGGGCCCTTCTTCCTCCATCCCATGGTGGCCTGCCCTGATCCCTGGCACCCAACCCTGTGCCCTGACAGTGTGGAAGGGCACTAGTGGTTCCTGGGGAAGGTGGTAGGAGATGGGGAGCTCCGAGGGGAGATCGCATGGCTCCCAGGGGGTCCCATGGGCAGAAGGGACTTGATACCCACTCCGGACCTCCGTGTCCCCTGTCCTTCCACTCAGCCTCATGGCAGGGCCGAGGGAAGCTCCCCGCAGCAGCCCCAGCCCTAGGCCAGGTTCTGATCCCAGAGGGGAGCTGGGCAGGAGGCTCTCTCTGGCAGCTCGCCTGCCCTGGGTTCCAGGTCTCCAAGCCTCGGCCTCCCTGCCCACCTCCCTGTCGGGAAAGGCGGCAGCTGCCTGCCCGGAGTGCTGTGGGGAACAGGCGGTGTGGATCTGAGACTGTGCTGGGAATGTCCTCTCTGCCGAAGGCGCCTCTGCCATTTTCCGAGTACCTGCAAGGGAGACGCAGGAGACGCGGGTGTGAGCGGGGCCATGGGCAACCTGCGGAGGCCCTGCACCCAGGATGGGCCTCCCTCCCAGGCACCCTCTGCCACTCACCCACGCAGGCCCCAGCAAGCCAGGCTGCCCAGCTCTGAGTCACCGCCAGGGCTGGGCTGGGCCGGGCCGTCAGCCGCACGCGCCGCTTGTCTCGGCCCCTGCCTCCCATACTCACCTTCAGGGGGGACCCCTGGGTATGGGCCTCAGGAGGTGGGTGGGGGTGCAGGGGGAGTGGGTAGGGAGGTGTAAACCGGAGTCCAGCAGATGGGAAGTTCCTGTCCGGCCGGCACCTGCTTGGAGCCTCCTGCACATGCGGACCCTCAACAGGCTCCCCGAGTCCTCGCCTGCCCTCCCTGCCTCAAAGGCCCCAGAAGGGCCTACTTCATCAGGTGCCACGAGGATGAAGCCAGGTAATATTGCAAAGGGTCTGTGGAAACGCTTGAGCAAGGGCACTGTGATGAAATTGTGGCTACTGACAGCTAATGTGCAGAGTCACCGAAATTCAGGAGTCAAGCAGCCGGCCTGGCCTCACCTCAGTGTCGGGGGAATGCCATCTGCACCTGTGGGCTTGGAAGTGATCCATTTGAACAATACAATTATTCAGACAATACTAAACCGAGCTTTCAGGCAAGACCTCCCGTGGCCCTGACAGTCCTGGGGCAGAGTGGGCAGCAACTCCTTGCTGGTGGCCGTGGCGGCACTAGGACCCTTTTGAAACCAATTTGGCAAAATTAGCGGCACCACGGAAATGCTCCTGCCCTTTGACCTAACTGCTCCCAGACAGTGCCACTGGAGAAGCCATTCAGAATGTGGAGGGCGCCAGAGGAGGCAGCTGCCACGCAGTGCGTAGTGGGCAGAACGGCGGCCTCCAAAAGACATAGTCATGTCCTCACCCCTTGCAGCCTGTGAACGTGACCGTATTTGGAAAAGGATCTTTGCAAATGTAATTAAGGTGAGAATCTTGAGATGGGGGATCCTCTTGGATTATCCAAGTGGGCCCTATATCCAACGACAAGTGTCTGTATAAGAGATGGAAGAGAAGATGGCAGAGTGGGAAGCAGATGCTGGAGCAATGAGGCTGCGAGCCAAGGGACTTGGAGCCCTGGGACACTTGGAGCCCCCAGGAGCTGGAAAAGGCAGGAAAGATCTTCCCTGGAGCCTTCAGAGGCAGTGCAGCCCTGCCTACACCTTGATTCCAGACATCTGCTCTTCCAGACTATGAGAAAGTAAATTTAAGTCAATTAGTGTGCAGTAATTTGTGAGGGCAACCTAGAAATACAAGATGCTACTGAACTAAGGAATCCCCGGCTGCTACTGGAGGGAGAGGTGGTGGGCCTGGGCCAGGGCTGCGGGGACAAAGGGAGGGAGTGGGTTGTGAAAGTGCCTGGTCCCCAGTCCCTCCTCCTGCCAGCACTGCCCACTGGTCAAACCCACCCAGAAGCTGGAGAGCAAGGGACCCTCAGAGATAGGGTCTGTAGGATCAGGCTTTCAAGGACAAATGGGAGAGGGGCTGGGGAAGGGACACATGGGGACCAGACCCCTACTGGGCATTTCTGCCAAGGAGAGGATCCTGGTGAGGAAGAAAGCAGAAAGCTATGTGTTCACAGATGCACGGATGCTCCCCTCCCAGAGACCCGTGGCCGTGGGTGCAGAGGGAGTCAGTCCTTCTTGGAGGTACTGGGAAAGGAGCCTACAGCTCCACTGAGCCCTTCTGCCTACAGGAGGGGCCCCACTCAGCAGCTGTTCCCTGAGGGAGACCTGTCCACGCGTGAGCTCCTTCCCACAGTCCCATCCAGTCCCCCAGGGGAAGGGGCAAGACGGTCAGGTCAGGACCCACACGCATGCTGGTGCTTTCAGAACCTGATGACTTAGTTGGTTAAGAGAGCTCACACCTGCAATCCCAGCACTTTGGGAGGCTGAGGCAGGTGGATCAGTTGAGGTCAGGAGTTCAAGACCAGCCTGGCCAACATGGTGAAGCCCCGTCTCTACTAACAATACAAAAATTAGCCGAGTGTGGTGGTGCACACCTGTAATCCTAGCTACTTGGGAGGCTGAGACAGGAGAATCACTTCAATCAGGGAGGCAGAGATTGCTTGAGCTGAGACTGTGCCACTGCACTCCAGCCTGGGTGACAGAGCGAGACTCCCTCTCAAAAAAAAAAAAAAAAAAAAAAAAGAGCAGGGCCAATGTGCTGCTGTGCCTTGGGGAACGGTGTCCTGGGAGCGGACCTGGCTGGCAGTGACCTGGGGCTGTGCACTGGAGGGGGCTGGACAGTGCACTTGGAGGTGGGTGAGCCTGGGCCCCAAGACGGTCTGGGGACATGGGCTTGGCCAGAGCAGGAAATGAGGGTGGCCAAGGACAGGTGCTGAGCCACCGAGTCGGCACAGAGGGGTGGGCATGAGGGCTTCCTGGGAGCAGGGCCCTTCCAAGTCCCTGAGGTCAGCCCAGGGACACCCTGGCCTCTGGGAGATTCATGGTGGGGCTGTGCATGGGCTGGGTGGGGTCAGCAGGCAGCCAGTCACTGAGGGGCTTTCAGCGCCCATTTTCCTGATGAGCACCTCCAGTCCTGGAAGCCACAAGCCAGGCACGCAGCCCACCCGGCCGGCCCTCCCGGCCAGCTCACTGGCTCCCATGGGCCCCGGACCTCCTTGGGCTTTGCCTGAAGGTGGGAGCAGATGGCCTTTTCCTTGTGAGGGTGGACACAGAAGCCAACAGTCATGTGGGGTGAGGGGACCCAGGCACCTCCAGCGTCCCCCGCAGGGCAGCACCTTCCCCTCCTGGGAACCCACCCCTCTTCAGCTGGACTCTGAGCCCACCCCGTGGAGCCCAGAACCTCGGGCCAGCTCAGGCTCTGCCACCAGCTCTCTGTCATCCTCCCTCAGAGCCGGGCTGTGCTCCCCAAGCCAGGGGTATCCAGCCCCCGCTCTTCATCCTAGGCCGGGCAGGCAGCCAGCCCCAGGCCTGTGTCCTCCTTGGGGGGCGGGGGGTAGGGACCCCTCGCGCGGGGCTCTCAGGCGGCTTAGCTGCGTGCGGCCCCAGGTCAGTCAACGCAGCCTCTGCACCTCGCCGGTCAGGTACGCAGGCCGCGCCGGGCTGCCCCAGACCTGCGGCGCACACGGGAGGCTCAGCCTGGAATGCCGTCCTGCCCTCCTCCACCTGAGGAATTGCCGCTCACACCACAGGGTTCAGCTCCGCGGCATCTCGGCGAAGCCTCCTGACATCCCGACCCCCGCCGAGACCTCCCCTCTGAGCTCCTGAGCACAGCCCCAGGGGACCCGAGCTGCGCGCTATGCAAACACAGGCCTGCCCTCGCCCTCGGTGCGCCCCGTGCCCGCCGCCCCCTGGGCCGCCCCGCGGTGCGACTAGGGGCCTAGCCCGCCTGCCCCGGCTCCCACGCCCTCGAGACCGCCGGGCGCCCCCGCCCGGCCACGCCCCCTCGGATGCCCCGCTCCGCCCCGAGGGGGCGTGCCCTGCGCCCCCGCGAGCCGGGCGGGGACCGGGCGGGAGCGGGGCGGGGCCGGGGCGGGGCGCGGACCGTCCCCCACTGGCTGCGGCGCGCGGGGCAGCCCAGGCTCAGTGCGCGGTGGCGGCGGCGTCGCGGGCAGCTGGCGCCGCGCGGTCCTGCTCTGCCGGTCGCACGGACGCACCGGCGGGCCGCCGGCCGGAGGGACGGGGCGGGAGCTGGGCCCGCGGACAGCGAGCCGGAGCGGGAGCCGCGCGTAGCGAGCCGGGCTCCGGCGCTCGCCAGGTCCGTGCTTGGGGCCGGGCAGGCTCGCGGAGGGGTCCAACGGTGCTCGCGGAGGGGTCGGGGCGCGGCTGTCGCGGAACCACAGAGGTCCCTGCAGCGGGCCGGGCCGGGGCGCGGGCTTCCCGCTCCGGAAAGTTTGCCGCCGCCGCCGCCCTGGGAGGGCTTTGCAGCAGCCAGGGAGGGAAGGGGGAGGAGGGAGGGACCGCGGCGGGGAGGAGGCGGCCGGCGCCAGGCGGCCCGGGAGCCCTGGGCGGCGGCGGCGGCGGGCGGGGCGGCTGGGGGTCGGAGGGGTCGGGACGCAGGAGCCGGCCACCGCCGCTTTCGTCCCTGTCCGCCCCTCTAACGAGCTGCCTTCCTCCTCCTGTAGTCTCCCGAGCGGCGCCCGCCTCCCGCCGGTGCCCGCGCCGGGCCGTGGGGGGCAGCATGCCCGCGCGCGCTGCCTGAGGACGCCGCGGCCCCCGCCCCCGCCATGGGCGCCCCTGCCTGCGCCCTCGCGCTCTGCGTGGCCGTGGCCATCGTGGCCGGCGCCTCCTCGGAGTCCTTGGGGACGGAGCAGCGCGTCGTGGGGCGAGCGGCAGGTAAGAAGGGACCCACTAGGCACGGGAGAGGCCGGCCCGTGCGGGCAGAGGCGTTGGGGACGGGAACCGGCCCCGGGTCGGAGGGGCCGCCGGGTGTGAGTGACGCCCCGGGGTTAGAGCCCGGATTCCGCTGCCTCCTTGCCGGAGAGCGCGGCCAGAGCTAGCGCGGCGACTTGTGGTGCGCCCGGAGCCGCAGCTACCCTCCAAGTGCGAGGCCACCACGGGGAGCCAGGCTGGGGGTTGGCGTCCGCAGCCCCGATCCCCTGCGACTCCCTAGCCCTGGCCTGTCGGGAGGGCGCGGGGGGCCCCATTTCCACGATTCCCGCTGTTGTTATTCGGGTTCTGCGCAGACGGAAAGTTCCCATTGTTGGCGTCCCCCTCCCCCGGGCCCCAGTTTGTGGCCAGCTTCGGCCAAGGCGAGAGACCGGACTTCTAAGGGTGGGTGTGCGCGTCAGCGAAGCCCGGCCCCTGCCCGCCCGAAGAGGCAGCAGCCTCCAGCGTCCCCGCTGCCGACCCTGCCCCTGCCTGGGGGCCGAGGGCGCTTCCCCGTGGGTGCGCGCCGAGCTCCAGGCAAGCGAGGGGCGCGTGTCCCAGCGTCGCGGGCCCTAGACTGGGCTGGCGGTCCAGGTCCCGCGGGACGTCGAGGGTCTGAAGGGAGGTCCCAAGGGGCGAGGGGAGGGGAAGGGGCGCCCGGCCGGACCTGCACACGCGCCGCGGTTCCTCGTGGGCCGGGCCGAGAGCTCCGGTGCCGCCGCCGCGTACACCCGCAGCCGGCTCCGGACGGGCGAGGGGGGCGCGCACAGCTCAGCCCGGCGGCCGCGCGGAGGGAGGCCTTGGCCCGGTGAGCTCGCGCCCCACCCGGGCCGAGGCCCGAACAGCCGCTTCTTTGTACCTCGACGCGGCCACAGACCGCGCATTGATGGCGGCTCGGCGGCTCGCGGGGAGGTGTGAGCGACCGCGGGCGCGGCGGGCCGGGGAGGGCGCCTGGAGGGCCGAGGCAGATGGCGTCCGCCCCGCCCGCGCCCCCGCGCCCCTTTCTCCGTCGGCGGCTGCAGCCTCCCGGAACAATGTCATTTTTTTTATGAATGAAAGTGGCCCGGCGCTTGAATGTGCGTGTCATTCAGCGGCGTGACAGGGGCCGTCGGGAGGTCAGCGCGCGCTTTTAGCGTCTGCTCGGGCGGCCCCGCTTCCAGGGGTGCCGGAGGGGCGGCCGCGGGGGGAGCTTGGCTTTCGCATTCTCATTCAGATAAAGATATTACTCCCTACGGCCCGGGAATGTCAGCCAGCCCCGGGGAAGGGCGGCGGCCAGGCTGCGGAGCCTCTCCTGGACCCCCTGCGGGCGCGCGGGGCCTCCCCCAGTCGCTCCTGGAACGCCCCGCCCACCCCTCCCCCGGGGCGGCGCCCCCGCCCGCACTGGAGCTGGTGAAACAGGTAGTGAGTTGATCGGTCAATAAACTTAATCCGGTTCCTTAACAAGATGGGCCGGGCAGTAAAAATACAAAGACCTCGTGAAATGGACTGAGGTCTAGGCTGGCGCTTGCCCGGGAACATAAATTATGGAGCCTTGGCTCGCAGGGGTCAAGGGCGGTGGGAAAGGTTTTGGCCACTGGACTGCCCTGGCCACCCCAGGCCCTGCCAGGACAGCCCCCATCTCCCCAGGGGGCCGTATTCCTGGTTGGGACCTGGAGTGACCCCCCAGGGTGCAGGGAGGTACACAAGGTCGGCTCTCCCACAGTCCCACCCCACCCAGCAGGGGTCTGGGGGTGCAGGGCCTTTCCCGAAGGTGCTGGCTGCAACCTCCCCCACTCCTCCTCTGCAGGGCTGGACTTTGAGCCGCGTGGGCCTCTGGGTGGTTCATTAACCTGGGCTGAGCCTGGCCTCCAGGTCCTTGTGTGAGCCTAGGAACCCCTTGTTACCCACCCCCCAGCTCCCCAGCCCTCAGGTCTCACTTGGGGCTAGATCTGGGGCTGTGGCACCCCTTGTTACAGCTGAGCTTGAGTGGGAGCCCAGGGGCTTGGGGTCTCCTGGAGGACGGGGATCTAAAGTCACCTCATCTAGGGAGGCATGCAGCCCTCACCTGAGTGATTCAGGAGTGAATGAGCCAGGAGTGGAGCCACCTTTGGTGGGGTAGGGGTCAGCCTGGACCTCTAGGCTGCCAGCTCAGGCTCGGGTGCCCTCTTCGAACCTCAGTTTCCTTACCTGTCCAAGAGAACCGATAATGGCAGGCTGTTTGAAGGATTAGGCCAGATAACCCTGGCAAGCCCTCTTTAGCCTGCCCAGCCTCCAGATCCCTTTTTTCCGGACTTTATTGTGAAACTCCAGGTGGGGAGACAGGGAGGCTGGACTTTTGGGGGCCCCCTCCTCTTAGGCTATTTTATAGCTCCTACCTGGCAATACCTCCTGTACCCCAGAGAGCTGCAGAGAACTTCATGTGCATCCGAAACCAGAATGTGTTGTTTCCTGACCCCAGGCCCTCATCTCACCCCAAAACCCAAATAAACCCCTGGGGCAGCCAGCTCCGGAAGCGAGTCTGGATTTGATCCTTGTTCTCTGGGGTCAACCCGAGGGGCTTATGATGGAGCAAGGCTCCCCCATCCTCTCAGCCATGCTCCCTCACATGCACTGGGCCTCCACTGCAGAGACCCAGAGCCTGGAGAAAGGTTCCCCAGGCCAGAGTTTGGCCGTCCCCAGCACCCTGCCTAATGGACATCAGTCTTGGGGCCAGAGACCCAGGGCAGGGAGCGCCTCTCACCCCTACCCTCACTCCTGCAGCCATTTCAGGGCCTGGTGCCCTCCCTGAGCTCCTGGGCCTGTGGGGTGGGATTTTTACTTTGTGCCACAGTGGGGGAAACTGAGGTACAGGACCAGTGAGTGGCAGAGTTGTGGAGACTCTGGGACACAGCAGAGGGCTGTCGTTGGCATGTGGAGCCCAAGTTGAGGTCGGCACTGTGTGGGGTTGGGGCGCCGGCAGGAGCACGTGTTGTGGGATCCATAGAAGGGTGGGAGGTGGGACGCGTTGCCTCCTACCCCGCCTTGGGTACAGCAGGAGTTTTGTCTCCAACGTGTTTGGGCACCAGTGTCTGTGTGGTGTCAGTGGGGCCTCCCTTTTGTGGATCAAGAAAGAAAGAACCCTTCCTAGGGCTGCTGGGGGGCTATAGCTCTCCCCATGCCTGGCAGCTGGGTGGGGTATGGGGGCTCCACCCAACTGCTGACTTCCCAGTGGGAGTCAGACCCTGAACTTATAGCACCCACTCATGCCCCGTGTCACACTGTCCTTCACCTGGTGCTCGCCACCCAGCCCCTGCTGGGGTACCCTGGCCTCTGCTGGCACCTAGCAGGCAGGCAGTGGGGGGGGCAGTCAGGGCTGCACCCTCCCCACCACACACGGGCAGATGGCCACTGGTGTGGCTGGCCTGGGGCTGCTGTGTCCCCCGTCCCCCCGTGCTGGACCAGGCTGAAGCAAATACTTGTGTGGATGGCTTGACCTGTTGTCGCCACTCAGACCAAACCGGAACCAACCGGCTGTTGCCCTTGGGCCAGGGCCTGCAGCTGAGGCTGCCATAACCAGCCTGTTCTCGGCCTTCTGGGGGGCCTCGAGCAGCTCCCAGCTCTGGGTGGTCCCCACAAGACACTGGCCAGGACCGGAGGGCTGGAGGTCAGGCCAGGAGCCCCCCTGACTGCGGGGTCCCTACAGGGGCAGTCCTTGAGCTGTGGGTCCCGGTGGGGCGAGGGCTCCTTCGGATGCTTCAGGGGATGAGTGTGGGCCCTTCTGGCTGGCAGGGTCACCCTGGGCACTAGGCGTGTGTGGCTGGATCAGGTGGGTTGGGCAGAAGAGGGCCTGGCCGGGCAGCCAGGGACTGGTGTGGCCAGAGTGGGCAGCTGGGCCCCCGAATCTAGGCCACGCGTCTGCAGAATGACAAGTGATGGCGCAACCCGCCCAGCTGGGTCTGAAGAAGGAGGCTGCCTGGGGGACCACCCACCCCCGTCCCGGCCCCAAGCCCGGGACGCCTGCCTGCATGCATTGTCTGGCCCTGGCAGGGAAGCCTAGGGGCGATTGTCCCCCCAGCCCTGCCCATGGTGTGTCCTTGGGTCACAGGCTTTGGTGGCTCTGGGGAGCTGGGCAGCTACTGGGGAGGGACCCAGGGGCCACCTGCACATCTGCCCCTGTGGGTGGGCCCCCACCCCAGCTTCTCAGCCCCCAGGGAGGGGCCAGGGCTGCTGACCTGCCCTGGCTCTCACAGCTTCCTGCCCCCAGCCTGGTCGTCCTCTGTGAGGGGGCCCCAGTCCCCCTGCAGGCAGCAGGACTCCACCCCCCGGCCCCCTTGAGGGCCCGCCTGGGCCTCCCCACTCCCCGGCCTGTGAGACCCACTTGGCCGGACCCAGCGCCGTGTTTGTACTTTGCTCTTCTCGGTATGTTTTCCGTCATGACCGCCGTGTGGAGCTTCCATAGGAGCTGCAGGATACAGAACCTTGCCCACCCCAAGGAGCCCCCACCCCCGCCCCGGCCCCCTCGCGCTGCTCCGGCCTGTGCTCTGACCGGTGAACCCGCGCATCGCCCCCCAGACCGTCCACACGGCCACGTGACCCTGCACCTCCTTCCTTCTCGCCTGTTCTGTTCCCTGGCTGTCCATCTGAACTGCTTTTCAGGCTCATATGGGGTGCGGGGGCTACTGAGGACGGACCCCTCCTGGGGTGAATCTGCACCACGAGGGGGCTGGCTGGCCAACCCTGGCACCCCCTCTGAGCTCCATTTCAGTCAGAGGCCAGCAAAGGGCAGCCTGTCCCCTTTGCCCGCAGCACCTGCCCGTCGTGGTGCCGCCTGTGAGACAAGCATGGATTTTATGTTTCCAAGCAATTGAACAAATTAAAAGAACGAAGAGTCACATTTTGTGACACTTTGAGATTTGAATTCTCCGTGTCCATGAGTGAAGCATCATGGGGCCACTGCTGTGGGGTTGGCTGCAGGTTGTGTGGGGAAGGCGGCTGTCACACCGAGGCAGACCGGAGTCCTTGGGACAGACTGGTTGGCAAAGCTGAAGATAGAGACCTTTGGCCCTTTTGGGACACAGTTTCCAGCCCCTGGTCTGGTGGGACCCTGGATCTGGGTCAGAGCCTTCCTCACTCAGGGCCGCCGAGGCTTCCACTGCTGTGTCTGTAAACGGTGCCGGGTTTGGGGGTGCCTGCCTCATGGTTGCCCATCTTCCCCACAGAAGTCCCGGGCCCAGAGCCCGGCCAGCAGGAGCAGTTGGTCTTCGGCAGCGGGGATGCTGTGGAGCTGAGCTGTCCCCCGCCCGGGGGTGGTCCCATGGGGCCCACTGTCTGGGTCAAGGATGGCACAGGGCTGGTGCCCTCGGAGCGTGTCCTGGTGGGGCCCCAGCGGCTGCAGGTGCTGAATGCCTCCCACGAGGACTCCGGGGCCTACAGCTGCCGGCAGCGGCTCACGCAGCGCGTACTGTGCCACTTCAGTGTGCGGGTGACAGGTGAGCTCTGGGGCCACGCCAGCTACAGAAAGGAGCCGAGTGCCGGGCTCCCTGAGTCCCTGCGTGGGTCAGGAGCGGCTGGGGGTCTCTCTGGTCATTGGTGGAGAGGAGGGCACCCCCAGGAAGTGCTGCCCAAATGGGGGACCCTGCCCCATCTGGGAGGGGCACCTGGGGGCCTCCTGGGGCAGGTTGGGCATTGGTTGCGGCCATCTCTGCCTTGCAGACGCTCCATCCTCGGGAGATGACGAAGACGGGGAGGACGAGGCTGAGGACACAGGTGTGGACACAGGTAGGAGCAGGGTCCAGGGTTCAGGCCAGCCGGGGTGGGGCCCGCTGCCACCGCCAAGCCCTGCCCTTCACAGGCAGCTGAGGGACTAAGGCCCCGGAACAACCTCCCTGGGGTCACCCCGAAGGTCTGGTCCCCTCAGGATACAGGAGGGGCTGGGTCACTGACATGGCTCTAGATGCCCCACCCTGGTGGCAGGGCTGGGGTGCAAGGGGACACCGTGTTGCTGATGGGGAGACTGAGGCACAGGGCCCTGGGGGTTCCAGGAGCAGGAGGAGGCCAGGGCTGGCCTGTGGGGCTCTGGTGTTGGCTATAGGTGAGGTGGACCCCGCAGACATTAGCGCAGCAGGGCAGGGCACTCAGGTGGCTGCCGTGGGGTGGATGGACCCGGGGTGAGGGCGCCGGGGCACCTGCCACAACCAGTGGCGGGCAGGGTGGCTGGCAGGAGGGTGGCTGGTGGGTGGGCTGCGGCTGTGAGAGAGCAGTCGGGGACGATGCCTGGCGTCCCGGCCTGGAACGGTGGCAGGTGGACTTTGCCAAGTTGTAGGGTGGGGAGGTGGGGCTTCTGGTTTTGGAGGGAGCTCTGAGGGGAGTGCGTGCAGGTGAGGGTCATCGTGGCACAGACATGGGGGGCAGTTACGACTTGCGGACTGATGGTGTGTGCGCTGGGTCCCTGGGCCAGTGGGGTAAGCAGGTGAGGAAGGGAGGCTGAGTCCATGAGAGAAACAGCTGGGGGAACTCACCCTGGGGGTCTCCAGGAGGCCTGGGAGGGAGCTCAGCACCGTGGGGTGCCTCTTTCCAGCCTGTGTCCACACTGCTGCTTGCTGGGCCTCAGTGCCCCTGATGGGCGTGTGCCTGGAGGGGGCTGGCAGTGAGCTCACTGAGGGGAGGGCTGCTTCCCTCCTGGGGAATGCCAGCCCATCCTTGCCTGGAGTCCCGGCAGGAAGGCAGCACCAGCCCTGAGGAAGGAGAAAAACCAGTTGGGCTGTGAGAGGGGTGGTGGGAGCCCTGGACATCGAGATGGGAGGAGGCAGGGCCTCCAGGGTGCCACCGTCTCTGGGTGCCCGCCAGACTTGGAGCTCTGCAGAGGGTGGTGTAGGGTCTTGATTTCCGTGGGCCCATGCTGCCCAGCTGCCTCCAAGGCTCCTGGCTCTGCAGGCGACTGGGCTCCTCTCCTGGTAAACTGCTCCCAGGTCCTGGCTTGTCCACTAGATGGGCCTGCCCCCTGGGTCTTCAGTCTCCCCGTTGGTGGGCCTGGCCCTGGCACGCCTCTCTGGGCAGGTGGGCTCCCCTGGACAATGCCCTGTGCCCTGTGACTTCACAGGTCCGGGCAGAGCACCCTGGAGGGGAGGGGAGGGGACACACGGCCCAGCTCTGAGAAAGCCCCGGGGAGGGGACAAGATGTGGAGGCTCCTGGGAACCTCATCCCGCCCTCTTCCTACACAGGACGGGAAACTGAGGCTGGGGATGGGCAGGGGCAGCTCTGGGAAGGGGGTTGTTCAGAGGGGCCTCTGCTCCCACTCGGGTCATGGCCTTCACACGCACCTCGGCCCGCAGGGGCCCCTTACTGGACACGGCCCGAGCGGATGGACAAGAAGCTGCTGGCCGTGCCGGCCGCCAACACCGTCCGCTTCCGCTGCCCAGCCGCTGGCAACCCCACTCCCTCCATCTCCTGGCTGAAGAACGGCAGGGAGTTCCGCGGCGAGCACCGCATTGGAGGCATCAAGGTGGGCGCGGCGGGGTGGCTCTGGGCCTGGCAGGCGCGGTGGTTGCTGCCTCCGCTCACTCACCCGCCCGCGTCCCGGTGCAGCTGCGGCATCAGCAGTGGAGCCTGGTCATGGAAAGCGTGGTGCCCTCGGACCGCGGCAACTACACCTGCGTCGTGGAGAACAAGTTTGGCAGCATCCGGCAGACGTACACGCTGGACGTGCTGGGTGAGGGCCCTGGGGCGGCGCGGGGGTGGGGGCGGCAGTGGCGGTGGTGGTGAGGGAGGGGGTGGCCCCTGAGCGTCATCTGCCCCCACAGAGCGCTCCCCGCACCGGCCCATCCTGCAGGCGGGGCTGCCGGCCAACCAGACGGCGGTGCTGGGCAGCGACGTGGAGTTCCACTGCAAGGTGTACAGTGACGCACAGCCCCACATCCAGTGGCTCAAGCACGTGGAGGTGAATGGCAGCAAGGTGGGCCCGGACGGCACACCCTACGTTACCGTGCTCAAGGTGGGCCACCGTGTGCACGTGGGTGCCGCCGCTGGGGCTCCTGGGCTGGCCCCAAGGGTGCCCCTTGGCTGCGGGTTGCGTGAGGATTTGGGTCTAGGGGTTGGAGCTTCGGGGGCAGAAGCTGTGGGGGTGCTTGTGGGGCCAAGTCTCAGCCACCCCACACCTCAGGGCCATAGGCAGCTGCGTTGGGACCCGTTTCCGTGTCTGCAGAGGGCCAGCCTCAGCCACTGAAGTCCCTGACATGGAGCTGCCCACGGGCTTCTTGGGGGTGGGTGCGGCTTGGGCAGCAGTGGTGCCCCAGGACAGGAGGGCAGTGTGGCCAAGCCCTCCAGGCCCCCTCTGGGCCTCAGAGGCGGTGGCTGAGCCCCGACCTGGCCGATTGGCTCTCGTCAGCTGTGTGCAGTGGGGCCCGAGCTCACTGTCTGCCCGCCTCCTGAAGCCCTTAGCTTTGTTCCCATGGCTGCCGGGTGGGGGCCACTGAATTGGGACGGTTGCGACACTCAAAGCCCAAAGAGAAACATCTGTTCAGAGAGAAGACGGTCTCTTGGGGGCGGGGAGCAGGCGCAGGGCGAGGGTGGAGTCCAGACCCCGCCCAGAGAGGCCGCCTCGGGCCCTGTCCAGGGTGCAGGTTCTGCAAGAGCCCGGGGGAGGGCAGGCCAGTGACCAGAGGTTGTCTGAGGGTCTGGGCTGGGTTGTTGGGGTGGAGGCAGAGACGTGCATCCTGTGAAACCACAGCCACCGTGAAGTGCCTCCACGCCTCCTCCAGGCAGCCTTTGGGGCTGACGCAGCCCAGCCTCGATCTGTACCTTGGGGGTCTCCCACATCCTGCCTCGTGCCCGGCGGGGCTGCCTCGGGGGCGTGCCTGAGCCGGGTCTCTTGTCCCCGCAGTCCTGGATCAGTGAGAGTGTGGAGGCCGACGTGCGCCTCCGCCTGGCCAATGTGTCGGAGCGGGACGGGGGCGAGTACCTCTGTCGAGCCACCAATTTCATAGGCGTGGCCGAGAAGGCCTTTTGGCTGAGCGTTCACGGGCCCCGAGCAGGTAACGACTCTGTCCCATGCCGGCCGGCACAAGAGCTCCAGCTCCAAGGCCCTGGCCGCGCGCCCTGCACGCCCCGCACGCCCAGCCCTGCTCGCTCCCGCCCCGGCTCGCGCTCCACTCGGGGCCGCCTCGGCAAGGCTGGCAGCTCCAGCCTCCACGGTGACCGCCCGCTTCGAGCCCTGTGGCCTGCGCCGACCCTTCCCGCACGCCTGCGACCCCCACAGGAGGTGCCCGGTGCCCACCGGGCCGGCTCCGTGCCGTCTGTGAGCACCCCTTTGCGCCTCTCTCCACCCCTGCCCGCTGCCTGCTCGCTTCCGCAGCCTGTGTGTCCCTGTGTCCATCCTCCACCTGCACCCGCCCGGCTCTGCGCTAACCCGCATGCTGCCTGCCCGCCTGCCGCTCACCTGGGACAGAGGACTCGCCGGTGGAGGGGCCTGGCTTCGGGCTCAGTACCGGTGTACCAGGCGGAGGGCCCTCAGCCGCGTGGCGGTGACCAAGTTGGCGGTGGCTGAGGAGTTGGTGGTGGCGGCGTTTTCCTTGCAGCGGCTGGATCCTGCCGTGTGGACTCTGTGCGGTGCCCGCAGGGCGGTGCTGGCGCTCGCCTATCGCTCTGCTCTCTCTTTGTAGACGGCGGGCGCTAACACCACCGACAAGGAGCTAGAGGTTCTCTCCTTGCACAACGTCACCTTTGAGGACGCCGGGGAGTACACCTGCCTGGCGGGCAATTCTATTGGGTTTTCTCATCACTCTGCGTGGCTGGTGGTGCTGCCAGGTACCGGCTTCTGCTGCTGCTGCTGCTCCGCACTGTCTGGGGGACGCTGGCTCGGGACACGCCAAAGCTGCCAGGACGGACGGGAATCCTGTGACTTACGGCCGTCCCGCTTCTTGAGCCCTCACTCCTGGCCCTGTGCCCAGTGTGGGGACAAAGTTGGCCTGGCCCGGTCCTGGTCCCAGAGGGGCCCCCTCAGCCCCCTCGAGCCCACTTCCCATCTGGGTCCCCAAAGGCCTCTCCTGTGGCTCTGGTGTCTCCCGGGCGCCTGGTGGCGGTGTGGGACTGGCTGGCTCTGCTGGGCTCCTTCTCTCCAGGGTCTGGCCCTCTAGACTCACTGGCGTTACTGACTGCGAGACCCTCCAGACAAGGCGCGTGCTGAGGTTCTGAGCCCCCTTCCGCTCCCAGTGGTGCCTGCGGCTCTGGGCCAGGGGCATCCATGGGAGCCCCGTGGGGGGGGGGGCCAGGCCAGGCCTCAACGCCCATGTCTTTGCAGCCGAGGAGGAGCTGGTGGAGGCTGACGAGGCGGGCAGTGTGTATGCAGGCATCCTCAGCTACGGGGTGGGCTTCTTCCTGTTCATCCTGGTGGTGGCGGCTGTGACGCTCTGCCGCCTGCGCAGCCCCCCCAAGAAAGGCCTGGGCTCCCCCACCGTGCACAAGATCTCCCGCTTCCCGCTCAAGCGACAGGTAACAGAAAGTAGATACCAGGTTCTGAGCTGCCTGCCCGCCAGGCCTCCTGGAGCCCCACCTCGGCCCACGCTGGTCCTGGGCTGTGTGAGCCCTCTCTGCAGCCAGGCGGGCTCCCCTCTCCTCGTCTCTGCTCACCATGTAGAGCCTAGGGTACTTTGGGGCACGAAACATTCTAAAAATCTTCATTCAATGCTGGTGGAAGTCAGAACGCCCCCCCTTCTGGCCCAGCACTGACCCCCGGCTGTACCTCCACGCCCTGTCGCCCACGCGGCGCCAACCTGCCCCTGCTGACCCAAGCAGGTGTCCCTGGAGTCCAACGCGTCCATGAGCTCCAACACACCACTGGTGCGCATCGCAAGGCTGTCCTCAGGGGAGGGCCCCACGCTGGCCAATGTCTCCGAGCTCGAGCTGCCTGCCGACCCCAAATGGGAGCTGTCTCGGGCCCGGTCAGTGGTGCTGAGGGCCAGCGTTGGCTGTAGGGGGCTTGGTGGTGGGGGTGAAACAGCCACCAGTCAGAGGCCCGGCTGGGTTTAGGGGCCGTCAGGGATGTGGCGGATGTTGGGTGTGGCTGGGGTTCTGTGGAGATGCTCCTGGGACGGGTGTATGGCAGGGACTGCCCCTCTCAAGGTGCCCTGTCTGGAGGGGCAGCAAGGGCGGGAGGCTGTGGGTGACACTCTTCGTCCTTACGAGCAGGCTGTAGGGGGAGCATGGAGGGCTTCCTGGAGGTGGTGGCTCTGGGCCTCAAGGGCTGGGCCAGGCTGGGGTGGGGACCGTGGTGGGCTGAGAGTGGGCGAGTTTGCACACTCATGGTCCCTCTGCCTCCACTGCCAGGCTGACCCTGGGCAAGCCCCTTGGGGAGGGCTGCTTCGGCCAGGTGGTCATGGCGGAGGCCATCGGCATTGACAAGGACCGGGCCGCCAAGCCTGTCACCGTAGCCGTGAAGATGCTGAAAGGTGAGGAGGGGGCGGCCAGGGGTGCAGAGCAGGGCTGGGGGCGCCGCCGCCGCCTGACACAGGCCCCCCGCTCCGTGCACAGACGATGCCACTGACAAGGACCTGTCGGACCTGGTGTCTGAGATGGAGATGATGAAGATGATCGGGAAACACAAAAACATCATCAACCTGCTGGGCGCCTGCACGCAGGGCGGTAGGTGCGGTAGCGGCGGTGGTGCCGGCTGGGCGGCCCTCCTGGGCCTGGCAGCCCGTCTGAGGAGCCCGTGTCCCCAGGGCCCCTGTACGTGCTGGTGGAGTACGCGGCCAAGGGTAACCTGCGGGAGTTTCTGCGGGCGCGGCGGCCCCCGGGCCTGGACTACTCCTTCGACACCTGCAAGCCGCCCGAGGAGCAGCTCACCTTCAAGGACCTGGTGTCCTGTGCCTACCAGGTGGCCCGGGGCATGGAGTACTTGGCCTCCCAGAAGGTGGGCAGGGCGGCAGGTGTGGGTGGAGTAGGCTGGGCCCTGCCCTGAGATGCTGGGAGCAGCGGGGAGAGGTGGAGAGGCTTCAGCCCTGCCTCCCACCCCTTCCCCAGTGCATCCACAGGGACCTGGCTGCCCGCAATGTGCTGGTGACCGAGGACAACGTGATGAAGATCGCAGACTTCGGGCTGGCCCGGGACGTGCACAACCTCGACTACTACAAGAAGACGACCAACGTGAGCCCGGCCCTGGGGTGCGGGGGTGGGGGTCATGCCAGTAGGACGCCTGGCGCCAACACCGCCTTCCCACACCCTCCCAGGGCCGGCTGCCCGTGAAGTGGATGGCGCCTGAGGCCTTGTTTGACCGAGTCTACACTCACCAGAGTGACGTGTACGTGTCCTGCAGAGCTCAGGCTTCAGGGGTGGAGGCGGGAACTGGGCAGAGCCAGGACCCCAGCTGCAGTCCCCAGGCCTGTGCCCTGGAGCTCCTGGGTGTGGTTTCTACCCCTCCCTGGGGGCAGCAGCGCAGCCCTGGCCTATTCCCCTGGTGCCCGCCCAGGTGTCTGTCCTGGGAGTCTCAGGACAGCCTGACCTCACCTTCCCCTGCAGCTGGTCCTTTGGGGTCCTGCTCTGGGAGATCTTCACGCTGGGGGGCTCCCCGTACCCCGGCATCCCTGTGGAGGAGCTCTTCAAGCTGCTGAAGGAGGGCCACCGCATGGACAAGCCCGCCAACTGCACACACGACCTGTGAGTGGCATCCCTGGCCCTCCACTGGGTCCTCAGGGGTGGGGGTCCCTCCGGGGCTGGGCGGGGGAGGGACTGGCAGCCCTTCAGGCTGTTCCCGAATAAGGCGGGAAGCGGCGGGGCTCACTCCTGAGCGCCCTGCCCGCAGGTACATGATCATGCGGGAGTGCTGGCATGCCGCGCCCTCCCAGAGGCCCACCTTCAAGCAGCTGGTGGAGGACCTGGACCGTGTCCTTACCGTGACGTCCACCGACGTGAGTGCTGGCTCTGGCCTGGTGCCACCCGCCTATGCCCCTCCCCCTGCCGTCCCCGGCCATCCTGCCCCCCAGAGTGCTGAGGTGTGGGGCGGGCCTTCTGGGGCACAGCCTGGGCACAGAGGTGGCTGTGCGAAGAGGGGCTCGGTGGCACAGCGCTCACCCCGCCTCCCGCCAGCAGGAGTACCTGGACCTGTCGGCGCCTTTCGAGCAGTACTCCCCGGGTGGCCAGGACACCCCCAGCTCCAGCTCCTCAGGGGACGACTCCGTGTTTGCCCACGACCTGCTGCCCCCGGCCCCACCCAGCAGTGGGGGCTCGCGGACGTGAAGGGCCACTGGTCCCCAACAATGTGAGGGGTCCCTAGCAGCCCACCCTGCTGCTGGTGCACAGCCACTCCCCGGCATGAGACTCAGTGCAGATGGAGAGACAGCTACACAGAGCTTTGGTCTGTGTGTGTGTGTGTGCGTGTGTGTGTGTGTGTGTGCACATCCGCGTGTGCCTGTGTGCGTGCGCATCTTGCCTCCAGGTGCAGAGGTACCCTGGGTGTCCCCGCTGCTGTGCAACGGTCTCCTGACTGGTGCTGCAGCACCGAGGGGCCTTTGTTCTGGGGGGACCCAGTGCAGAATGTAAGTGGGCCCACCCGGTGGGACCCCCGTGGGGCAGGGAGCTGGGCCCGACATGGCTCCGGCCTCTGCCTTTGCACCACGGGACATCACAGGGTGGGCCTCGGCCCCTCCCACACCCAAAGCTGAGCCTGCAGGGAAGCCCCACATGTCCAGCACCTTGTGCCTGGGGTGTTAGTGGCACCGCCTCCCCACCTCCAGGCTTTCCCACTTCCCACCCTGCCCCTCAGAGACTGAAATTACGGGTACCTGAAGATGGGAGCCTTTACCTTTTATGCAAAAGGTTTATTCCGGAAACTAGTGTACATTTCTATAAATAGATGCTGTGTATATGGTATATATACATATATATATATAACATATATGGAAGAGGAAAAGGCTGGTACAACGGAGGCCTGCGACCCTGGGGGCACAGGAGGCAGGCATGGCCCTGGGCGGGGCGTGGGGGGGCGTGGAGGGAGGCCCCAGGGGGTCTCACCCATGCAAGCAGAGGACCAGGGCCTTTTCTGGCACCGCAGTTTTGTTTTAAAACTGGACCTGTATATTTGTAAAGCTATTTATGGGCCCCTGGCACTCTTGTTCCCACACCCCAACACTTCCAGCATTTAGCTGGCCACATGGCGGAGAGTTTTAATTTTTAACTTATTGACAACCGAGAAGGTTTATCCCGCCGATAGAGGGACGGCCAAGAATGTACGTCCAGCCTGCCCCGGAGCTGGAGGATCCCCTCCAAGCCTAAAAGGTTGTTAATAGTTGGAGGTGATTCCAGTGAAGATATTTTATTTCCTTTGTCCTTTTTCAGGAGAATTAGATTTCTATAGGATTTTTCTTTAGGAGATTTATTTTTTGGACTTCAAAGCAAGCTGGTATTTTCATACAAATTCTTCTAATTGCTGTGTGTCCCAGGCAGGGAGACGGTTTCCAGGGAGGGGCCGGCCCTGTGTGCAGGTTCCGATGTTATTAGATGTTACAAGTTTATATATATCTATATATATAATTTATTGAGTTTTTACAAGATGTATTTGTTGTAGACTTAACACTTCTTACGCAATGCTTCTAGAGTTTTATAGCCTGGACTGCTACCTTTCAAAGCTTGGAGGGAAGCCGTGAATTCAGTTGGTTCGTTCTGTACTGTTACTGGGCCCTGAGTCTGGGCAGCTGTCCCTTGCTTGCCTGCAGGGCCATGGCTCAGGGTGGTCTCTTCTTGGGGCCCAGTGCATGGTGGCCAGAGGTGTCACCCAAACCGGCAGGTGCGATTTTGTTAACCCAGCGACGAACTTTCCGAAAAATAAAGACACCTGGTTGCTAACCTGGCCCTGTGCTTTCTGTCTCCAGTTCTGGGATAGGGGAGGGAGGGGTCACTTTGCCAGGTGGTCCCAGTTGCGCGGGATGGATGCTGGCAGCAGCACCGAAAGTCACTGGTGGGCTGGGAGCCCCAAGAGCAAGGAATGTTTATGGGAGGGGCCTGGCGGAAGGGAGCAGGGTGCCTGGGGGTGCACTGCCCTGGCTGCTCCCAGCTTGTGGGTTCCTGAGGTGGTGGTGGTGGTGGGGAGGGTCCTTTCTCACTAGCTCTGAGGCAGACCTTCTCTCATCACCCCACTCCTGGCATCCGCCTTCCCAGTCAGCTGGGGAGCTTTCTGGGCATCCCTCTATGGAGCCAAAAGCAAGCAAAGCCCTCATGGGGCCCTGGGGGCTACACAGGCGGTCACTCTCCTCCAGATCAGCTCTCTGCCCTCCCAGGCCGGGCAACCAGTGCCCCCACTGCCTTGGGCTCCATCAGGGTCCCCTACAGTGATAAAGCACCTTTGGGCAGATGAGGTGCTGAGAACCCAGAGATGGAACCAGGCCCTTGCCCAAGTTCATAGCCCTAGCAGGGTGGGAGGACAACATGGTGAGAGCAAGTCTGGGAAGGCTTCCTGGAGGAGGTGTGCCGTCTCTCCTGACTCCCCACCACCCTCTTTGCTGTCCTCCCTTCTGCTATCCTCCCTCTCTTGTCCTCCCGTTTTTCCCATCTCTGCTGTCCCCACCTCTGTCGTCCTCCTCCTGCTCTCCTCCCCCCATCCCCTCTGCTCTCCCTACCTCTGCTGTCCCCTCTGCCGTCCTCCCTCTGCTCTCCTCCCCTCTGCTGGCTCAAGAGCAGGGTTTCCCAACCATGAGCTGCATGAACTCTAGCTTCTAAAATGCTCTGGCTACAAACTCACCTTTCAGGTCAGGGGGTACTGCTGGCCCGTTTCCTGGGCAGGCAAGGGTTTAACTCAACCCCATTCAGGGAAGCACGTGTGGGCGCAGGCCTGGTGGAAGTGGCCTTACAAGGGACTCTGCATCCCTAATGCCCCCACTTGCCCAGAAACCCTATGCTGGGCCCCAGAGGCAGGCCTGGCCATGGGACGCCTGGTGACAGTGGCAGGATGGGGAGGCCCACATGGGCCTGAAGGCTGAGGCCTGCAGGGCAGTGGGGGGACCAGGCCAACAGGCAGGCAGTGCCAGCATCCACACCAAGGCAGGCAGAGCATGGGGCTCGAAGCGCGGGCCGGGAGCGCCCCCTAGCGCTGGCTGGGCAGTGTCCCTGCTACAAACCCAAGGCCCCTCTCCTGTCAGGGCTCTGGTGGACCTCTGGTGGGCACAGTGGGATCCTGAATGGGTGCTGGGGACCAAAGGGCTGGGCCACCGGGAGAACAGTGGCCCATGAAGGTGCTGGTGGGCCAGCCCCCTCCTCCTCAGCGTGCTTCCTTAGCGACCCCAGATGGCAGGGCACAGTCCCTGAAGCTGCCCCACCAGGGGCTCCCTGGCTGCCTCCCCCTGTCCCATAAGGTGAGCCCATGAGAGACCCCAGCTGTCAGCACAACTGAACCTCCGCCATCAGGGTGCCCTCTAGTGGTTGGGTGTGCTCTAGGCTGGCAGGGTCCCCGCCCTTGCTGTCTGCTGATGGCTGAGGGGGACATGTCTCATGGGAGGCCCAGCTTCCAGGACACAACTGGTGGCTCCTGGGGTCACCAAGGGCACCTGGTTTGTTCACAGCTCTTTGGGCTGCTGTCCCCATGAGGGAGCACCTCCCACCCCAGCTGTGGGTCCATCATTTCCTCTGATTAATTAGGGCCTAGGGGTCAAGGGAGGCCCCGAGGGAGGACTCTCAGTGTGAACAAACCAGCAGCCAGGGCCGCAGAGAAGCCTGTGAGGTGCCCACAGGGCCTGGTCCCAGTGTGGGCAGAGCACCTAAGGGATGGCTTCTGTCCACTGAGAAGGGTCGGGAGCCAAGACACCACACTGCTATCCTGGCGCTGGAACCATCCACGCACTCCTGCAGCCAGGCCACGCTGAGGCAGGTAGGCACCCAGAGGTCCGGGCTGGGGGCTGCTCTCCATGGCCCCAGGCCATCACACATCCCTCAGGGCGTCTGGGCCCTGCCTGTGGGCTGGACTGCAGGCTGAAGGCCCTGCCTCATCCAGGACTCCCTAGGGCAGTACTCGGTGCTCTTTCCCCTCAGCGGCCTGAGGAGTCTTTCAGAAGAGCTGGCCCTCCTGGGTGACACCTCGGCGAGGGTCCCAGCCCCTAACCCCAGGACTCCCAAGAAGTCACTGAGGTCCCCAGAGCAGGGAGAGCATGACCAGGTGGCAGGGCCACTGGCCTGGAGAACGTCCCACACTGTTCCATGAGCAGCTCACGCTGTCACAGGACCTGGGGACGTGGGTCTCCTGACCCTGCAGGCCCATCCTGCAGAGCAGGAAGCGTGAAGCCAAGGGCTGAACCCATGGAGGGCGGCCCAGCACTCAAACCCCCAGGGATGGTGAGGCTCCTTCTGGAACTGGCCTCACAGCCACACGCGCCCCAAGGCCCAGCCCCTGCAGCCACGTGGACAGCTCTGCCGGCTTCCACTCGCTCCTGTGTGCCCAACGGTTCAGAAATATTATTACTCTGCACTGTTACAGGAACACAGATTTGATGTTTTAATAAAAATACGATTTCTACAAAAGGTGCTTAACACGGCCCAGGACGGGCTGTCCGGTGGAGTCAGCCGTAGGACCCCTGAAGGATTTACAAAGACAGAGCCGGCTCACCAGCACACTCCTGCCAGCACCGGGACCCACTGCGAACAAAGACAGAGCCGGCTCCCCAGCACGCTCCTGCTAGCCCTGGGACCCACTGTGAGCCACTGCGGGGTGTCCTTCATTTAAAAAAAGTCTGGACTGTGACACTGCAGAAGGAGTCTGAAAGCCCAATTCCTGAATCCCTGCGTTAGAACTGAGAGTTCAGGCCGGGCGCGGTGGCTCATGCCTGTAATCCCAGCACTTTGGGAGGCTGAGGCGGGTGGATCACCTGAGGTCAGGAGTTGAAGACCAGCCTGACCAACATGATGAAACCCCATCTCTAATAAAAACTTGCCCGTAATCCCAGCACTTTGGGAGGCCGAGGTGAGTAGATCACGAAGTCAGGAGATCGAGACCATCCTGGCTAACACGGTAAAACACTGTCTCTAATAAAAATACAAAAAAATTAGCCAGGTGTGGTGGCGGGTGCTTGTAGTCCTGGCTACTCGGGAGGCTGAGGCAGGAGAATGGCGTGAACCCAGGAAGCGGAGCTGGCAGTGAGCCGAGATCACGCCATTGCACTCCAGCCTGGGAGACAGAGCAAGACTCTGTCTCAAAAAAAAAAAAAAAAATTAGCTGGGCATGGTGGCGCATGCCTGTAATCCCAATTACTCAGGAGGCTGAGGCAGAAGAATCGCTTGAACCCGGGAGGTGGAGCTTGCAGTGAGCCGAGATCGCACCACTGCACTCCAGCCTGGGTGACAGAGCGAGACTCTGTATCAAAAAAAAAAAAAAAAAAAAAAAAAAGTGAGTGCTTAGCTGGAGTGAGGAGGAAACACTGAATTCCTAAATCAGGAATTCGTTTCATTTTCACCAGGCGCAGATATCCTAGCTCCTGAAAAAGGCCAAGACCGAGGGTCTGGCCCTGGGCAGGTGTAAGAAAGGACTGTTTTAAGAAGCTTATTACACAAAGCTCATATTTCTGGATCCACCACTGCTTACATTTGCACCCAGACACCACTTTTAGGTGCAAGAAGAAAGGTCAGGACATAGAGAAAAATGCACACAGAACGATGAGGGAGAATGACGAGGGAGAATGACGAGGGAGCAAGCCTGCATCAGAGCACGGCTGATGTCACGGAAGCCACCAAAGGCACCCACCAGAGCCTTCCCCACCTGCAAAGCCCCTGCAGCACCCGGAGGGCAAGCTGGCTTTTGGAGGCCATGCGGAGTCCAGGGCAGAGGGGACAGTGGGATGGGCTGCCTGTTGCAGTGGCTGTTCACGTCAACAGTGCTCAGCCAAGGCAGTGAGGACGAGGATGAGAGCCGGGGCAGCTGACTGGGCCCGCGATGCCGCTCACAGGAGAGGCGTCTGCACACACCTGGCAACTGCAAGACTTGTTCTCAAGGGTAAGTACACTTGGACAAACGAACACCAGGCTACTTACACAGGGTGAGAGAATTCATAAATATTAGTTAAGGATCTAAAACAAACTTCTCAAATAACTGAAAGCTGAAAGCCTCTGGAAGCCAACTGTCCCTGCACAAAGGTTTACAATTGAGAAATATCTCCTGTTCCTATTTTGTCAAGTTTCTTTAATGGCTGAACAGAAAGAAGCTTCAAGTAATGGAGAAGGCATTGTCTGAGTGCAGCTGCTTTCCTGGACGCCTGTGCCGTTCCTGTCTTCCAAATCCTATGCTTGGAGGCCCCTGGAGGTACATTTTTGCCAGGAACCAACCTGACCTTAAAAAGATGAGTGTGACACAGCCGGCTGGGCAGGAGGATGGAGGTGCCACAGGACACCACCTGCCCACGCCCTGGCCAGCCTGGCCATGCTGCCGAGTGCGGGGAGGCCACCCCACCCAGAGGGCACAGGGCAAACCCTAAGCACGGGGGTATTGCCCTTGAAGCCCCAGGGGATGCCCTGTGCCGGATCCTCATGCCTCATTGACTAGCCTGCTTGCTGAAGGAGCCCAGGGGCCTGAGCCTGCAACACTGCAAGGGGTGAGAAGGGCATGCTGCTGTGGGCGCACTGGACTCAAACCTCACATTAGAAGCTACAAAGAACCCCAAATGCGCTTCAGAGCCCCACCAACCCCCAAGCCAGGCTCATCCCTGACACAGTGAATCCACTGCAGCCCCCGTGGGAAACTCTGTGCCAATTGACTGCTTAAAGAACTGGGGGAAATAGAAAGCCGAGAAAGAGCTCCGATACACAAGGGAAACCGCACGTGAGAACCAGCACTCCCAGCAGGGAGACGTCACTCTCCAGAGGCCACAGAGATGGCAGACACCTCTGTCTCCACAATGACCCACATCCAACTGAAAGTGTGCAGGAAGACAGGTCTATTGACACTGAAATCTAGAAATCAAGGTCCACAGGCGAATGGAGGCATCTTCAGCCCTGAGGAGGCCAGGCTGTGTCTCCTGACGCCCCTGAGGGTGGGCACAGCAGCCAGCTCTGTGTGGGCGGAGTCCACGTGGTCCTCATTCTCTTCCCTGGGGACAGGGCAGCACAGTCAGATGCTGAGACTGAGGCCACACACATGGGGGCGCCTTCCTGCCTTGGCCCAGCCCAGCTGCCTCTGGAGCCAGGAGGCCGTGGCAGCCACACCACAGTGTGGATCCAGACACGATTCTGTGGAGGGGTTCCGGGATTCCAGACAGACTGAATCTCCGTGGAATGATGAAAATTAAAATTTACTTGATTATGGAAGTCTCTGATTTATTCCAGCCAAAATATTAGATGAGCCACTGAGAATCACCACAAAGCAATCGCCCTCACGGCCCTTGCCAGGGTGACGGCACAGCAGGAGGACAGGTGCCCAGGCCAGTGGTTCTAGCTCTTCACCTCTGCGACCTCCTTCTCTGCCTTCTCTTTGGCCTTCTCCTTCTCCTCCACCTTCTCCTCTTTTTCCAGTGTTGCTACAATCTCAGCCACCTGGCTGGTGGAGATGTGAACATCTTCTTTGTCCACCAGCTCAATCACCTACACACGTGGGAAAGGGAGAGGCTCAGGTGGCTGCGCCCTACAGCACAGTGAGGCAGAGGCGGGGCCAGCGCCGTCAGTCGCCCCAGCTGGGGTGGCAGCAGCATGCACGCAATCACTGCCTGCGGGCCCCAGGGTCCTCAGAGCACCAATTCCCCCAAGGGGTGCCACAGACCCTGGGGAAGGGGCTCAGAGTGGGAGGACAAAGGAGCCAGGGGGCTGCCTTGACAGGTGGCAGACAGCACAATGGGGCTGCCAGGGTCAAGTTCCTGCTCTGGCCAGGAACCTGGGCCATGGCTTCCCAGGGCAGAGTGGGGTGACATGCAGGGACCTTGTCCCCACTCTGCCACCCAGACTAGCAGGGAAGGGAAGGGCAGCTGTGCAGTAGATACATGATCCTTGCTTCCAAACTGAACTGCAAGAAACCAGCCAACACTTCTGTTAGACGTCTGGAAAATCACTAACCTGATGCATGCACCGGGAGCCACGAGGCAGCTTCCCCTCAGAGATGTCAGTGATTGGGAAAATTGGTGTGCGCACTCAGGCTAGAGCCCTGCCTTCCCTCCAGAGACTGGATCCTGGGCCAGGGTCTCCGGGGCTACCCTGGAACCTGAGTGGCTGCACTTGGGAGCTCAGCCCAGCAGTCACCTCTCAGCCTTGGGGCGGTGCCCAAGCTGCCCCGCGGCTCCCCTGTGTAGTTGCCTCTCAGCTTTGGGGGCCCCCGGCAGGTGTGAAGTGCCCCCAGGCTCCCTGTGCAGTCGCCCCTCAGCGTCGGGGGCCCCTGAGAGGTGTTTGCTGCACCCCCCCGGCTCCCCAGTGCCACCAGCTGGGGGCGGGGTCCAGGGACATGCGTAGCCACTAGGTGCGTTTTCTCTCTCAACACTTGAGTTGTAACTTCAATAATTTCTCACTTCTGATGTTTCAAATGAGAGCAGCGGCTTAAAGGAGCAGTCGCAGTGACAGACCCAAACCCCTGACAGGAGGGGGTAGCTGCCCAGGAGGGTGCCGGACATGCAATGAACAGTCCCCCTGCCCCACCCCACTCCAGAGCAGGTGGCGGATGGCCTGCGTGGTCCCCAGCGAGGCCCACCTTGACGAGGTCGTCGATGTTGACCTTGCCATCCTTGTTTTCATCCAGTGCTGCGGCCAGGCTGGTGAGCTTGCTTTCGGGAATGTGCTTGACTTGCTTCATGGCGTTGATGAGCTCAGCGACACTGATGACGTTCTCCCTGTGGAAGCACAGCCTGCATGTGGCCACGGGCAGGCGTCCTGCCACACAGGGCCTCACTGCCCACACCTGTGGCTGCAAGTGGTCAGCACTGACACAGGCGGCTCCGCGTGAGCCAGGCAACCTCCAGCACGGACCCCCAAGGTATGATCCCATCCTGCATACAATGCCAAGAGCTCCCAGGGCCAGCGTGGACACAAACACAGAAACACCACCAGGTCCAGGGTTTCCACGGGCATGTCTGCCCCTCAGTGGCTGCCCCTCTGGGGCCATGGCTGCTGGGCTGTTGTCCTCAGGCCTGTGGCCACTTGGCAATACGTTCACGATCATGGGGGCTGTGGTGCCCTGGGCAGATGAGGGCCTCCAAGAGCAGGGACGAGAGCATGAGCAGGGTGCCACGTGCAGCCCACCTACAACACTGTGGGTGTGGAGGTGGAGATTTGGAACCTGCAGGGCACCAGCAGTCACCCAACAGCTGTTTCATTCGCCCAGAAGGGACTCACAAAACGGCAGCTCCCTCAGCCACTGCTGCGCAGGAATCTGGGACATGTCGGGCACAGAGAAGGCCGACTGCCCGAGCTGGTGTCATTACTGAGCGTGGGTGGGGTCAGGAAGAGGGAGAGGCAAGAGAGAGCCTGGTAATTAGAGGAAACAGAAGCCAACAGAGGTGGAGGTTGGAGCGGGAGGAGAGGGGGCTGTGGGAAGAGGAAGAGGGGCCAGGAAGGGACGAACTGCTCTCGGAGAGGCAGAGACTGACATGCCAGAGGGTTCCTGGCTGGGACTGCTGGTCAAAGGTGGAGAGGCAGCCAGGCAGAGGCTACAATGTGCCCTTTGGAGCCAGAAGGGCCCAGCTCGGATCCAGCAAAGGGACCAGCCTCCCTATGTGAGTCTCCGATCCCTCTCCCGCGCCCACCACCCCACTCACCCCGTGGGCATGCCGTTGGCCGGGGCCAGCTTGCCAGCCTGCTGGTCCATCTCCAGCTGCGAGATCAAGCCATCGATCTGCCCGATCATTTGCTGCACCCTTTTTGTCAATCTCTTGCTGGCTTTAGATTCTTCCACGTACTTTTCTTCACCAGTCTTTGAAAGTTCCTTCTTGATCTCCTGCAAGTCCTAATAAAATTATTTTGGTTGTAAAAAGTTTGTCTTAAAAGAAAAAGGGGGTCAGGTGTAGTGGCTCACGCCTGTAATCCCAGTACTTTGCAAGGCCAAGGCGGGCGGATCACCTGAGGTTAGGAGTTCGAGACCAGCCTGGCCAATGTGGTGAAACCCCGCCTCTACTAAAAATACAAAAATTAGCTGGGCATGATGGCAGGCACCTGTAATCCAGTTACTTGGGAGGCTGAGGCAGGAGAATCGCTTGAACCCAGGAGGCAGAGGCTGCAGTGAGCCAAGACCATGCCAACGCACTCCAGCCTGGGCAACAGAGCGAGACTCTGTCTCCAAAAAAAAAAAAAAAAAAAAAAAGAATCTGGTTGGGCACAGTGACTCATGCCTGTAATCCCAGAACTTTGGGAGGCCAAGGCAGGAGGATCACTTGAGGACAGGAGTTCGAAACCAGACCAGGCAACATAGCAAGACTTTATCTCTACCAAAATTCAAACAAAAAATTAGCCAGGCGTGGTGGTGCACACCTGTAGTGCCAGCTACCCAGGAGTCTGAGACAGGAGGATGGCTTGAGCCCAGGAGGTGGAGGCTGCAGTGAGCCAAGATCACATCACTGCACTTCAGCCTGAGTGACAGAGCGAGACCCTATCTCAAACAACAACAAAAAAAGGTAATAAATTAACTTGTAAAGGTAATTAAACCCATTAATTCAAACCAGAGAGTTATAAAATTGTATTTCTATCATACAAATTTCTTATTTTTGTACACTGCCTTGCAAGCAAAAGACATAGAATCTATTCTGAATCTCAATTTCCTTCACATTTGTTAAAGAAAAATTAAGTGAACTAATTAATCAAGGAAATTAAGTGTCTTTGTTTTTTGAGATAGGGTCTTGCTCTGTCACCCAGACTGGAGTAAAGTGGCATGATCTCAGCTCACTGCAGCCTCCAACTCCCAGCCTCCCACTCCCAAGCAATCCTCCTGCCTCAGTCTCTGGAGTAGCTGGGAGTACAGGCACACAACATCATGCCTGGCTAATTTTTGTATTTTTTGCAGAAATGGTGTTTCACCATGTTGCCCAGGCCGGTCTCAAACTCCTGAGCTCAAGTGATCCTCCTGCCTTGACCTCCCAAAGTGCTGGGATTACAGGCCTGAGCCACCAGTGCCCAGCCTTAAGTGTCTTTTTAAATTCCAAGTTGTTTTTTTCCCACGAGTAAACACCATGAGGAAGAATGGGGAAGGCGAGGGGAGGGGAGGGAAGGAACAGGCTGAGCTGGTGATAAGCACCTCACATCCAGTGGAGAACCCACATGGCATGAGGGCTGTCATAAATCTAGAAATGGCCAATTATTTTTGCCAATTGAAAAATCAGTTATCATTCCCAACAGAGCTATGAAAACAGTTTTTAAAAAATCGTATTAGGGGCCGGGCACAGTGGCTCATGTTTGTAATCCCAGCACTTTGGGAGGCTGAGGCGGGTGGATCATGAGGTCAGGAGTTCGAGACCAGCCTGGTCAACATGGTGAAACCCTGTCTCTACTAAAAATACAAAAAATTAGCCAGGCATGGTGGCACATGCCTGTAGTCCCAGCTACTCAGGAGGCTGAGGCAGAAGAATCATTTGAACCCAGGAGGCGGAAGTTGCAGTGAGTCGAGATCACGCCACTGCACTCCAGCCTGGGCGACAGAGCTAGACTTCGTCTCAAAAAAAGAAAAAAAGAAAGAAAGAAAGAAAAAAAATCGTTATTAGGAAGTAATATTTACAAAAAAAGGGAAACAAACCACCATGGAAGAAAAGAAAAAAGCCACTTTCACGTAATCATGAATAAGATCTCGTCAAGTGACCAAACTCTTCATGAGACACCTTCCCATGTTTAGAAACTAAAAGATGTGGCCAGGCACGGTGGCCACGCCTGTAATCCCAGCACTTTGAGAGGGCGAGGCAGGTCGGTCACCTGGGGCCAGGAGTTCGAGATGAGCCTGGTCAACATGGTGAAACCCCGTCTCTACTAAAAATACAAAAAATTGAGCTGGGCATGGTGGCACATGTTTACAGTCTCATCCACTCGGGAGGCTGAGGCACAAGAATTGCTTGAACCCAGGAGGTGGAGGTTGCAATGAGCTGAAATTGTGCCACTGCACTCTGGCCTGGGCAACAGAGCAAGACCTTCTTACAAAAAAAAAAAAAAAAAGGTGCACACACATCTGTGGCCAGAACGGCACACAGCCACATTACAGAGGATTGGTCCAGCCGGAATGGCTGTGGAAAGGTTACTGAATAAGGTTTATTTATAACGTGCTTTCCTCTCCAAATACTCTTTGGCCAGCTTATCAAGTATCTGACGGAAGTATTATGTATACTTTTGGGGCCAGTACAGCGATTTTACTCTTCTTGCAGTCTCAGAGTCCAGGGAGCAAATCCCACCCACCTCGCTGTAGTCCTGCACATCCTCCTTCAGCAGCTCCAGCTCCTCCTTCTCCTTGGTGAGTGACTTCTTCTGCTCCTGCAGCTTAGAGCAGGCATCGCTGAGGATGTCGATTTCCTCCTTCGTGATCTCTTCCTCCTGGGATAAAAATGGGCAAACAACAAAGCCTGAGCCAAGGGAAAGAACTGGCCTGTTCCCAAGTGACCAGCTGCTCTGTTCATATTATACGGGCAGCCCAGGGCAAGAGTCTCACTGGACAGTCATTGGTAACAAGAGACCCGCGGGGTTCAGGTTCACTGCTGCGCTGGCTGCTGCACGCAGTCACTGTCTGCCCTCATATGCCAAACCCCATTTGTTTAAAGCGCGTCATCTATGAATTGACACGTGTACTGTGAAACTTCACTACAGTCAAAGAGTCACCTCCAAATGCATCTTTGTGCCCCCACTGGGTCCCGCCACCGACCCCCAGGCAACCTCAGGTCCTGCCACTGCAGACTCGGGTGCACTTTCTAGCATCTTAGATAGACGGATCATCCAGCAAGCACTCTTTTTGTCTGACTTCTCTCACTCACTTATTTTGAGATTTGCCCCTGTGGTCGTGTGTTTCTTGTCTTGTTTTTTGAGACAGGGTCTCACTCTGTTGCCCAGGCTGGAGGGCAGTGGTGCAATCATGGCTTGCTGCAGGCTTGATCTCCCAAGCTCAAGCAATCTCCTGCCTCAGCCTCCCCAGGAGCTGGGACTACAGGCACACACTGACATATCTGTCCAACTTTTTATTTTTTGTAAAGACGGCGTCTCACTATGTTGCCCAGGCTGGTCTCAAACTCCTGGACTCAGACGATCCTCCCACCTCGGCTTCCCACAGTGCTGATATCACAGGTGTGGGCCCCGCGCCCAGCCTCTCTGTTTGGTTTTTCTTTCCCTCAGCAACATTTTACAGTACTCCGTGGACAGCACTTGCATATCTTTTTCCAAATTTATCCCTAAGTAGTTCATTTTGGGGGGTGCCATACTGTTCAAACCTTCTCTGACTACTCATTACCATAGTGAAGCACAATTGATTGTTCACACCATTTGTGAATAAAGAGTTTTCCTTTTTCCTTTCTGATCTATATGGTTTTGTTTTCTGTATTCAACTGCCCTGACTGAAACCCCCAAGCTGATGCTGAGCTCAGAGTGAGGACAGACAACCTCATCAGCGTCTCACCACTGAGGGTGACGGCAGCTGGAGGTGTTTCTGCAGATGCTTTTGATTGGGCTGAGAAAGCTGCCTGCATGTGCAGGACATCTGCATATCAGGAACAGATACTGGGTTCTGCCACAGGCTCTTTCTGCAGCTACCAAGATAAACATTCCCAGCTTTTCTAATTTAGTCTGTTAATATGGAAATTACATTTTAAAAATTTTGGCCAGGCACAGTGGCTCAAGCCTGTAAACCCAGCACTTTGGGAGGTCGAGGTGGGAGGATCACTTGAGGTCAGGAGTTCGAGACCAGCCTGGCCAACATGGTGAAACCCCATCTCTACTAAAAATACAACAATTAGCTGGGTGTGGTGGTGGGCACCTATAATCCCAGCTACTCGGGAGGCTGAGGCAGGAGAATCACTTGAGCCTGGGAGGTCAAGTCTTCAGTGAGCCAAGGTCATGTCTGCACTGCAGACTGGGCAACAGAGTGAGATCCCACCTCAAAAGAAAAAAAATTCAAGCCAATTTGCATTTTTTGGACAAATCCCATGTGATCATGATTCTTTTTACAGAATAGTTCTATTTGATTTGCTAAAAAGTGAAATTTTTTTTTTTTTTTTTTGAGACAGAGTCTCACTCTGTCACCCACTGCAAGCTCTGCCTCCCAGGTTCACACCATTCTCCTGTTTCAGCCTCCTGAGTAGCTGGGACTACAGGTGCATGCCACCATGTCTGGCTAATTTTTTGTATTTTTAGTAGAAATGGGGTTTCACCATGTTAGCCAGGATGGTCTCGATCTCCTGACCCCGTGATCCGCCCACCTCGGCCTCCCAAAATGCTGGGATTACAGGCGTGAGCCACTGCGCCTGGCCAAATTTTTTTTTTATGGCTGGGTGTGGTGGCTCACACCTGTAATCCTAGCACTTTGGGAGGCTGAGGCGGGAAGATCACTTGAGGTCAGGGGTTTGAGACCAGCCTGGCTAACATGGTGAAACCCCCTGTCTACTAAAAATACAAAAATTTGCTGGGTCTGGTGGTGCACGCCTGTACTCCCAGATATTGGGAGGCTGAGGCAGAAGAGTTGCTTGAACCTGGGAGGCTGAGACTGCACTGAGCCGAGATGGCGCCACTGCACTTCAGCCCGCGAGTTCAAGATGGAAGGTACCAGGAGGCGCCCCAGGTAGGCAGCACAGGCGCCTGGAGGCTGCACCTCACAGGCTCGCATGGGGAGTCTGAAGATGCTCCAAGCCCAGATCACCCCACAGGAGGTGACAGCAGGTTGGGCCTGTGGAGGAGGCTCTACCTTGAGGGGCCACATTGGCTTCCACACCCCTTCACTGTCTGGGCAAGCTGGCAAAGGGCCCTGAAACCTGCCGACTGGCATCTCTACCTGCCACACTGTGGGCCAGGGTGCTAAGTTCACGGCAGCGTCAGCTGCTGTGCACCCAGGCACAGTGCGGAGCCCGGCCGGACTCACTCTTTTCCTAACCACCAAGCCTCCTAGGGGCCCAGTGGCCTCATCCTCAACCCCTTGCACCATCTCCTCTCACTGAGGGCTATAGATGCCCCAGCTAACCTGTCCCCATCCCTGCCCCACAACTGTCCACAAAGCCAGGCCATGCCCTCCTCAGCCTCCAGGGCCCCAGAACCTGCCTCATTACCTTCAAGCCCTCCAGCACCGGGGCAGTGTCCTTCAAGGTCTCTGACTGCAGGACTGTGTCAGGCATTTCTGGCTGTGGCTCGGTCCCCGGCCTTTGGGGAGCAGCTACCACACGTTCGGGCTCAAAATCCTTCTGAAAGGCAAGGCGACACCAGCCCAGCGCCCGCCATCACACAGAAGCAGTCTTCTTGCTCCCCGAAGCTCAGAACATATGGCAGAGGCCACACTGGGAGCAGGCCTGCAGGTGACATTGGGCAGCACACCTGCCACAGAAGGTCCCTAGGGAGGCTCCATGCAGCTGCCAGGTCACCTGGGGCCCTCTCCAGAACAGGCTAGAGCACCTTATCCATCTCTGGTCTCCCCAAGACTCCCCCAAGCTGCCCTGTCACTTGCAGAGCAGGAGGCTGAGCCTGTGGGTGGGCACCATGCATGTGACCCAAGAGGACCACAGGGCCCGCGTTGAAGAGGAGCCCAGAGGCTGGGGGAGCCTGCAGCTCCTCTGCCAGCGCCCCTCACAGCAAGTCCCTGAGGAGAGGGTGGGCACTGCCATATGCTAAGCTTGCCCCTCTGAGACGGCTAAGGTATATCTCCCATGAGCACCACTGTGGCCATCGGGGAGTCCCCATGTCAGAGTTGCAGCCCTCACACCCGGGCACCCTGCCTCCCTGACCACTCCAGGAGGAAATAAACATGCAGGACAGAGCTGCAGGGCAAGCATGCGGGAGGCCAAGACTGTGGGCGTGCGGGGGTTTCTAGGGAGGCTGGCTCAGGACAGCCCCACGCGGCACGGAGCAGGACCACCGCTTACCGCCACCTCCGAGCGCTTCTGCAGCTCCTTCTCACGGTGCTCCTGCTGGATGGCCGCCTCCTCCTGCAGCGTGGCCTCCAGCTTGGCCTTGTTGTCCACCTGCTCGCCCTCCACCTCGGCCACTTTCACCTGTGCTTCCTTTGCCTTCAGAAGAGGGTACATCTGTGGGTGAGCCCAGAAGCCACCAGAGGCCCCTGCTGCCCCTCACCTCTGTCCTGTGTCCTGTGTCCCCTGCCCCGTCACCACCTGGGCTTCACACACACAGGACAGAAGGCACTGCCGAGGTGCTGCCCGCAATTGCTGGGAGGCCCCTGGGCCGCCCTCTGCGCTCGCCCGATGACTCCTGACATGTGGGAAGGAGCATAGGCGCTGCTGACACAGCTCCAAGGGCCGCGGCCCAGATCCACAGCAGCCAACACGTGGCCAGGTCGGGACCACTGGCAACTGTGCCACACGGGGGATGGCAGGCAAGGGGCTGGTGAGGAGGGATGGAAGGAAGGGGACAGGTGGCTGGGTGGGGGCACTCGCGAGGGGGTGGGAGGCAGGCTCCTCGCCCATGGTTGAGGAATGAGTGCGCTTGCACACCTCCCCCCACCCCAGAAGAGCGGAGCCACCTATGAAGAGATGAGGTAAAAGGGGTCTCCGACAGCACGTACCACAATCTCTGGGAGGGTCTGCAGTGTGGACTTGAGCTGGTCGGCTGGAGAGAGGGTGTCCGGGAGGTACATGGCCCGGGACAGGATGAGCAGCGATGTGGGGATCTCCTGATGCAGGTGCAGGTCCAGCCACTGCAACCAAGGCCAGGTTCAGCAGATGGGCAGCCCCCCAACCCTGCTGGCCCCACAGCAGGTCCGCCCATCTCATCACCAGAATAGCTCTCAGAGAAGACAGTGTCTCAAGTTCTACAAGGTCTGTTTGTTGCTGTGCTGCGTGACCCGATGACGGCGTTAGTAAACAAAACACCAGAGAGGCTTGGGGGTCAGCAACCCCCACAGCGAGGACCCCAAGGGCCTCAGAACAGGGCACCAACTCTTCACTTAAAAACACCCCAGGGGCCGGGCGCGGTGGCTCACGCCTGTAATCCCAGCACTTTGGGAGGCCGAGGTGGGCGGATCACCTGAGGTCAGAAGTTCGAGACCAGCCTGGCCAACATGGCGATCCCATCTCTACTAAAAATACAAAAATTAGCCAGGTATAGTGGTGTGCACCTGTAGTCCCAGCTACTTGGGTGGCTGAGGCACAAGAATTGCTTGAACCAGGGAGGCGGAGGTTGTTTCAAGCCGAAATCGCGCCACTGCACTCCAGCCTGTGTGACAGAGCAAGACTCTGTCTCAAACAAAGAAACAAGACCAGCCCAGGTCAACATATACGGGCCCGCAGAGGCAGTGTCACTGAGGCCGGTCAGCACTCGGGCCCTTGCAGGCTCTGCACAGGCCAGGTTCCGGGGCTGGCTGCTTGAGTAACACCAAGACAATCTCCAAATGGGCAAGAAAGACCGTGACAATGTTTAGAGACAAACTGAACACGGGGCAAAACATGAGAACAAACCCTAAGAGAAGAAAGGCAACGCTGAGGAGAAGTGGGTAGAGAAAATATGAGAACAAACCCTAAGAGAAGAAAGGCACCACCGAGAGGTGGGTAGAGAAGGAAAAGTGTGAACACATGACACTCGGGCCCCCAATGCGCCACACTCCCCTGGGGGCCGAGGGGCCTGGGCAGGGACAGCACCTGCCCCCCTGCTCAGACACCCCTGTGTGTGTGGCCCATATCCCCACGGAGCTCCAGAAGGCTGGGCAGAGTGCTAGGGAGGTCAGCACCCATGCCAGACACAGAGAAGGCTCTGCTGGGGAATCCGATGGAAGACGCGGCTGTGGAAGGCAGGGGGTGCCACAGGATCACGCCATAAATACTGTCTGTGTCGAGAGGAGAAGTGTGTACACACACCTTCATCTACACTTGCAGGTTGTGTGAAAAACCCGGGAGGAGGATGACTGCCAACAAGGGCATGCCAGTGCCAGGGCACCGGGAGGAAACCGGCTGGAGCCCTGCACCCCTTAACCTTTCCATGTAAGAGTGAGTGGCTGGGGCTGTCACTTTCCGACCTACAAGCCACTCAATTTGATGGCATTGGGAACCAGGCACCAGCACAGGGCGTGGCCAAGAGAAGGGGCGGCTCCAAAGTCAGACCGTGCCATGCCACCCAAACCTTCCATGGCCCCAGTTCAGAAAGAGTCAAAATGTGAACACGTCCGACATCTCAGAGGTGAACTCCAGTCCTCATCTGACTACAGATAACCAAAATAGTAAGTTATTAAGGTCTTTAAAATCAACTAAAAGCAAACAAGAAAAATCAAAGCAATATTCAAAAGGCAATGAAAGGTGCGAATGCAGGGGTGTGAGTGCGGTAGGAGCAGAAGGGCGAGAAACAGCCCAAACATCCTGGCCGTCCCCAGAGAGGTCACAGTGTCGCCTCGCCAGGCCGGCCCAGAGTTTGGGAAGAGCCTCCGAGTGGCCTTTCGAGGCTGATGTTTCCCTTGAGCCCGTGCCGGCCTGGCACCAGGCCAATATTCACGCACCTGCTTCAGCTGACCCCTCAGGCGGTCTTCCGTGACGCCCAGGGCCCGCATGCCTCGTGCCCGACACGCTGCCTGCAGCTCCTTGACATTCAGGCTGTCCACCCCTTCCTCAGCAATCAGCTAGAAAACAAAGCAGTGAATTATCATCTGGGACAGTTGCTGGTGGGTGACAGTGTCTGTGTGAACACCCTCCAGAATAAGTGGCTAACAGATTTTGCCAAGCAAGAATCAAACCACGGCCACCAAAGCCCAGTTCTAGGTTAGAAGTGACTGGAAGCCTGTGACGGAGGGTCAGGATCTTGGGAAGTGCAGAACGGCCACGGTCAACCCCGAGACAAAGAAGTCCACCTCCAACCCTCTGTCCTGATGGCAGAACCAGCCCCACCCTGGCCACTCCTGCCACCTGCTGTTTCTCCTGATCCCCCAGTCCCCCATCTGCCAAAGTGTGCCCAGGATGGAAAAGAAGGAGGGATGGAAGGCGAGGGAACCAGACACTCTGAAGACACATCTTGACCTCATACCCAAAGGGCCCCTCTCTTCTGCTCAGCCCAAGGTCACTGTGACACCAACTGGAAAAGCAAACAGGAGTCCCAGAGGTAGAGGACACCAAGGCATACAGGGAGCAACAGGTGAAGAGAGACACGGAGAAGTAATGACAGCTACTGCTAGGCAGATGCCGGCAACAGGGCTCCCATGCCAGGACTCTGCAGTAGGGCCCCCCATCTCAGAGTTCACTCCACATCACAACCACCCTGTGGGGTAGACAGTACCACCACCTCCACTTCTAAAACCAAACTTGACGTAACTGTGGACACACATCCAGTTTTAACAAGTAACAAAGCTCCCATGCATCAGATGCCTCCCCTAGCATAATGTCTCACCAGCAGCACTGCAATTAGCACATGCCACCCACCCAGTCAAGACAGAGGCCACCTTCCCCAGCTCCCGGTGCTGCCCGTTCACAGACGCGCTTGTCTCCATGTCTGCTGCTGTCACCTGGAGTGCTCTCTGAACAGGATCATGCAGGAGTCACCTCTGGGGTTCCCTGAGGACCCACTGGGGGTGCTATGGGTGTGCCGGGTTAGGCCTCTCACTGCCATGCGGCATTCTGCAGCATGCGTGCCCTCCTTAGCCGAACCCTTCGCCCACTAAGCTGGGCTCCGCCAGTTGATCAGGAATGAAGATGCTTTCTGTCTGCTTTCTTCTCCCTGTCCTCCTGGGGGCTGGCTGGCCTCCGTTTGATTTCGCTCTGGTGGTCTGGAGTCTGTGCAGCATTTTCAGTGTTGCTCTGGGGATCACGATACACAATCCACGGACGCAGCTCACTGTAGTGCAGTGGAGTCGGCGCTCCACCCACGAAGGCAAGTGCTGAAGCTTCCCCTCCGTCTGTTCTGAGTCTCAGGTGTCGCCTCCACTCGCATCGTCGCCTCCACCCACACCGTGGAGCCCGTCCCTCAGCCCCGCTCACTGCAGAAGGCGCAGGGAGAGGGCAGCTCGCCATGCCGACCCTCGCTCTGGTTGCTGGGAACTCTTCCTGCTGCGCCGAGGTACTTTCTCTTACTGTTTCCTTTCTGGTCGAGGAGCTTCCCTCAGCCCTTCCTTTAGGGGAGGTCTGCTGGTGACACAGTCTTAGCTTCCTTCCCTCTGATACTGCCTTGGCTCCCCATCATTGCTATATTTTTGCTGGTTATAGATCCTGGATTGACAGTTCTTTTTTTTTTTTTTTTTTTTAATTTATTTTTTTATTGATAATTCTTGGGTGTTTCTCACAGAGGGGGATTTGGCAGGGTCATGGGACAATAGTGGAGGGAAGGTCAGCAGATAAACAAGTGAACAAAGGTCTCTGGTTTTCCTAGGCAGAGGACCCTGCGGCCTTCCGCAGTGTTTGTGTCCCTGATTACTTGAGATTAGGGATTGGTGATGACTCTTAACGAGCATGCTGCCTTCAAGCATCTGTTTAACAAAGCACATCTTGCACCGCCCTTAATCCATTTAACCCTGAGTGGACACAGCACATGTTTCAGAGAGCACAGGGTTGGGGGTAAGGTCACAGATCAACAGGATCCCAAGGCAGAGGAATTTTTCTTAGTGCAGAACAAAATGAAAAGTCTCCCATGCCTACTTCTTTCTACACAGACACGGCAACCATCCGATTTCTCAATCTTTTCCCCACCTTTCCCGCCTTTCTATTCCACAAAGCCGCCATTGTCATCCTGGCCCGTTCTCAATGAGCTGTTGGGCACACCTCCCAGACGGGGTGGTGGCCGGGCAGAGGGGCTCCTCACTTCCCAGTAGGGGCGGCCGGGCAGAGGCGCCCCCCCCACCTCCCGGACGGGGCGGCTGGCTGGGCGGGGGGCTGACCCCCCAACCTCCCTCCCGGATGGGGCGGCTGGCCGGGCAGAGGGGCTCCCCACTTCCCAGCAGGGGCGGCCGGGCAGAGGCGCCCCCCAACCCGGACGGGGCGGCTGGCCGGGCAGGGGGGCTGACCCCCCCCACCTCCCTCCCGGACGGGGCGGCTGGCCGGGCAGGGGGGCTGACACCCCCACCTCCCTCCCGGACGGGGCGGCTGGCCGGGCAGAGGGGCTCCTCACTTCCCAGTAGGGGCGGCCGGGCAGAGGCGCCCCTCACCTCCCGGACGGGGCGGCTGGCCGGGCGGGGGGGGCTGACCGCCCCCCACCTCCCTCCCGGACGGGGCGGCTGGCCGGGCGGGGGGCTGACCCCCCCACCTCCCTCCCGGACGGGGCGGCTGGCCGGGCAGGGGGGCTGACCCCCCCCACCTCCCTCCCGGACGGGGCGGCTGGCCGGGCGGGGGGCTGACACCCCCACCTCCCTCCCGGACGGGGCGGCTGGCCGGGCAGAGGGGCTCCTCACTTCCCAGTAGGGGCGGCCGGGCAGAGGCGCCCCTCACCTCCCGGACGGGGCGGCTGGCCGGGCAGGGGGGCTGACCCCCCCCCCCACCTCCCTCCCGGACGGGGCGGCTGGCCGGGCGGGGGCTGACCCCCCCACCTCCCTCCTGGACGGGGCGGCTGGCCGGGCAGAGGGGCTCCTCACTTCCCAGTAGGGGCGGCCGGGCAGAGGCGCCCCCCACCTCCCGGACGGGGCAGCTGGCTGGGCGGGGGGCTGACCCCCCAACCTCCCTCCCGGATGGGGCGGCTGGCCGGGCAGAGGGGCTCCCCACTTCCCAGCAGGGGCGGCCGGGCAGAGGCGCCCCCCACCCCCCGGACGGGGCGGCTGGCCGGGCAGGGGGGCTGACCCCCCCCACCTCCCTCCCGGACGGGGCGGCTGGCCGGGCGGGAGGCTGACACCCCCACCTCCCTCCCGGACGGGGCGGCTGGCCGGGCAGAGGGGCTCCTCACTTCCCAGTAGGGGTGGCCGGGCAGAGGCGCCCCTCACCTCCCGGACGGGGCGGCTGGCCGGGCAGGGGGGCTGACCCCCCCCCACCTCCCTCCCGGACGGGGCGGCTGGCCGGGCGGGAGCTGACCCCCCCACCTCCCTCCTGGACGGGGCGGCTGGCCGGGCAGAGGGGCTCCTCACTTCCCAGTAGGGGCGGCCGGGCAGAGGCGCCCCTCACCTCCCGGACGGGGCGGCTGGCCGGGCAGGGGGGCTGACCCCCCCCCCACCTCCCTCCCGGACGGGGCGGCTGGCCGGGCGGGGGGCCGACCCCCCCACCTCCCTCCCGGACGGGGCGGCTGGCCGGGCAGAGGGGCTCCTCACTTCCCAGTAGGGGCGGCCGGGCAGAGGCGCCCCTCACCTCCCAGACGGGGCGGCTGGCCAGGCGGAGGGCTGACCCCCCCACCTCCCTCCCGGATGGGGCGGCTGGCCGGGCGGGGGGCTGACCCCCCAACCTCCCTCCCGGACAGTTCTTTTAACACTTGAAAAATAATGCTCCACTTCCTCTGGTCTCCACAGTTCCTGATGAGAAATCCATTGTCATTCAAATTTTCCCCTAATGGTAAAGATGCCGTTCTTGGCCAGGAACAGTGGCTCACGCCTGTAATCCCAACATTTTGGGAGGCCAAGGTGGGAGAATCACTTGAGCCCAGGAGTTCCAGACCAGCTTGGGCAGCCTAATAGTAAGACCTCATCTCTACAAGAAAAATAAACAAAACTAGCCGGTGTGGTGGCACAGGCCTGTGGTCCTAGCTACTCAGGGGGCTGAGGTGGGAGGATGGCTTGGGTCCAGGAGATCAAGGCTACAGTGAGTTGAGATTGTGCCAGTGGACTGCACTCCAGCCTGGGCAACAGAACAAGACACCATCTCCCCCAAAACCCAAAAAAAGACCTGGCATTCATAAATGAAACAACGACACACACACACACACACGATGCCTTTCTCTCACTGCCTTAAAAACCCTTTGTCTTCAGGGTTCATTAGTTTGACTCTGACGTGACTTGCTGTGAATTTATTTGGATTTATCCTACTCAGGGTTCACTCAGCTTCTGAAATTTGCAGATTTACATCTTTAACTGAGCCTGGGAAGTTTTCAGCCAGCCATTATTTCTTGAGGTACTTTTTCAGCCCTGCTCTATCCTTTCTCCCCCGGAACATCAGATAACACAGATGGTTGACACTTGCTATAGCACAGGCTGTGGGGCTCTATACAATGTTTTCTACTATTTTCTCTCTGTTGTTCAAACAGGTAATTTCTATCATTTTATCTTAATGTTTACTGGTTCTGTCTTTTATCTTATCCATTCTGCTGTTGAGCCCACCCAGGTTTTGACTTTAGATATTGTACTTTTCAGTTGTAATTTTTCATTTGGTTCTTCTTTTTCAAATTTTTTTGAGAGACAGTCTCCCTCTGTTGCCCAGGCTGAGTGCAGTGACACAATCACAACTCACTGCAAGCTCAATCTCCCAAGCTCGAGCAATCCTCCTGCCTCAGCCTCCTGAGTAGCTGGAGCTACAGGCGCAAGTCATCAAGCCCAGCTAATTTTTAAATTTTTTTGTAGAGGTGGGGGGTCTCACTATGTTGCCCAGGAAGGTCTCAAACTACCGGGCTCAAGCAGTCCTCCCACCTTGGCCTCCCACAGTGCTGGGATTATAGATGTGAGCCACTGTGCCTGGCCTTAGTATCTTCTCGCAATATCTTTTAATATTATTAATAACATATTTCTTTTCTTTCTTTGCCCAGATCTGTTTTTCACATGTTCTGCTCTGTTGTGGCTTTTGGAGCTCTGCGCTGGTGGCTGTTTGAGGCCCAGGTGCAGGGTCTCTAACTGTCATCTCAGGGTTGGTACCAGGCGTTGCTTTTTCTCATTCACTGATACCTTCCTGCTTCTTGACTCTAGATCTGACTTCCAGTGTGTCGCAGCTGACCTCCTCCGGTGCATGGTGGCATGGGCGGTGGGTATTCTAATTTGCACAGAGTTTGCAATTGATGATCTGGCATCTACCAATCCCAGGACCAAGCTAACAAGGCCAAAGCTGTTTCCACTTCCCTATGGTCCAGCTTTCATGGGCCAACCACAAACCCTAACGTCTGTGTTTCCCTTCCTGCCCAGTCAGACATGTCTCCACCTACTGCAGACAAGGAAGGCAGCCATCGTCCCCCCCAGCTTACTGCTCCCCATGGGTGTGGAGGTTTTGTGGGGCTGAGTGACAGGGGAGCTGTGGGTAACACATTTCTCTCAATGGCATTGACCTCTCCATGTTGTCACTCACTCACATCCATAAGCTAAATCCCAGGCATATTTTAGAAGTGGTGGGAGCGCTGCCTCGTAAGAAGTGCAGGCTCCCCATCCAGCCTCCACAGACATCTGCGGGACAGCGGTGCTGCTTGCTACCGCTGGGAACGGGTGGGTGGGAGTTCTGGCTCTCACAGGTGTCTCCCCCAGTAGGAGGGCAGAAGCATCTCAGTACTGTTTCCCACCTGGCTCCCACTGGCACCATGGTAGACGTGACCTTGTTCCTGCTGGGCAGTGGTCAAAGTCCCAACTCTCCGCTGGGCCCCCAAGGCCACCCCAGTGGTGGGGAAGTGTGGCGGATACACTGTCAGATGAGAGGAAAGCTCAAGCCCCCCACCTGGTCTCCACTGACACCACAGGGGCTGGCCCCCTCAGCCTTCTCTGACACCATCACCACCAGGGCTGGGGTGCCTGTTGTGTCCCGGCAAGGGCGGGATACAGGCTCCCCACATGGCCTTGCCTTGATTCATGGAAATGACTGGCCCTCAACCTGCTCACCAGAGATGCAGGCAGGCTCTTCCTGGAAGAGTTCAACACTGCCCTGAACCTCTTTGTCTTCCACAGACAATGCCTGCATTCAGGAAAAACTAAACACTACAAACAAAATCAGAAGGGAGAGCAAAAGAAAAAGGCCTACGGACCACCCAGTTATTAGAGTAATCAATGTGAACTAGAGTTAGTGCATTCAAAAAGACAGATGACAAGAGGAACAGTTTTACCTGAGAACTGAAATCTTAAGAGCTCCTAGTATGAATAAAAGAGTAACCAGCCGGACACAGTGGCTCATGCCTGTAATCCCAGCACTTTGGGAGGCCGATGTGGGCAGATCGCTTGAGGTCCAGAGTTTGAGGCCAGCCTGGCCAATGTGATGAAGCCCTGTCTCTACTAAAAAATACAAAAAATAGCCGGGTATGGTGGCGGGCGCCTGTAATCCCAGCTACTCTGGAGGCTGAGGCAGGAGAATCGCTTGAACCCAGGAGGCAGAGGTTGCAGTGAGTCGAGATCTCGCCACTGCACTCCAACCTGGGCAACAAGATCGAAACACCGTCTCAAAAAAAAAAAGGAGTAATCAGACCTAGAAGGAGGGCAGCGCCCTGAAAGCACAAAAGGGCGTGAAGCACAGAGGCAAGCACGTGCGATGGACAGGACAGGGCAAAGGGGCAAATGGACCCTCGATGAAGACCCTGATGTGAGGAGAGAGGCACAGAGGCACTGTCATCAATAAGCAGGATGAACACAAAGACAGACACAACTAAGCAAGTTATTATAAATCTGACGAAATCCAAACAGAGAGATCATCCGAGAAGGTGCCAGAGAAAAGACATCCATCTTCAAAGGATCTGCAATCTGCAAGTGGCAAGACTCCTAGTGAGCTTATTTTCGATCGTTCAGCATCTTCCAGAGTTTCTACAATGAGGACATGCTGCTTTTATCATCAGGAAACGAAAAGGTAAAACACCAGAGCTGTGGCGCGGAGTATGGCCAGGCTCACCTTGTCGTCTGCCTTTATGGAGCGCAGCCGCATGGTAAGCTGGAAGCGCAGGAAGTTGTTGGTGCCGATGGACTGTAGCTCCAGCAGCTTGCACAGGGCCACCAGCTGCGGCCGTGTCAGGTTGTCCAGGGTCAGCTCATCCTCAAATAATTTGGAAAAACGCATGATTTCCTCATTGCTGGGCCTCTCCCCTGTTTCCCGGATCTGCGGAAGTGGTCACAAGGGTCATCCCCGGGACACGCGCCCACCCGGCTCCCTCCCACGACCAACCACATTCCCAAAGGGTGCTGCCTCTCATCCTCAGGGACTCAAACCACTGACTACTTCTTCTTTTTTTTTTTTGTTTGAGACAGGGTCTCGCTCTGTTACCCAGGCTGGAATGCAGTGGTGTAATCTCGGTTCACTGCAACCTCCACCTCCTGGGTTCAAGGGATTCTCCTGCCTTAGCCTCCCGAGTAGCTGGGATTACAGGCTGCGCCACCACACCCAGCTAATTTTTGTATTTTAGTAGAGATGGGATTTCACTATGTTGGCCAGGCTGGTCTCAAATACCCGACCTCAAGTCACCTGCCCAGCTTGGCCTCAAACCACTGACTTCTGACTCCGGTGCTGGGCTAGCCTGGGGAAAGGTGGCGTCTGGCCTGTGGACCTCTCCTGCCTGAACCAGCAAAGCTGAGGCTGCTGTCTGCTGGGGGAGACGCCCGGGCCCACAGGCTGCTGCATGCAGGTCCTGTGATCCTCTCTCTGCCACAGAAGTGGCCGGGACCCTGCTGCTCTGGGGCAGGAAGAGGTGCACCTGTGTGCACCTACATCTCCCACGGATGACTGCCTGAGCCTTGGGGGAGGGGTGGCCATCTAGCTCTTTAGGGAGAGCTAGAGTCCCTTAGCGTGGATCACTCAGGGCCCTTTGGGTGATCCTCTGCAGTTCCTACCACCTGAGGGACAAGCCACCAGCTCAGTCTCTGCCAAGAGCTGGGCTAGGAGGGTACCTAGCAGAGGTGACAGATGAGGGAGGACGAGGCTGACTTGGTGCCCAACTCAAATCGTAACATGCAGGATGCCAGCTCTGAGACACAATTTCAGGTGTGCTCCTGGGGGCGGCCCTATGCAGCACACCCCCGTGCAGGTGACTGCAAGCACATCCTTCTTGGCAGCTGGGCGGCCCAGGAAAGGTTGGGACGGGCCCCTCCTGCTCTGCAAGGCACGATGTCCTGGGTGAGGCTCCCAAAGCATGGCTCCCCCTAAAACATCTTGCTGGAACCACCACCCACTCCCTGGGGGGCTCAGCAGCCCCATGGCTGTGTCGCCTCCTCCCGAGAGGCTTCTCCGTGGTTAGGCCTCAGCCTGGCAGTCTTTTCTGTCAAGGGCCAGACAGCAAGTATTTCTGGCTTTGCAGCCATGGAAACCACTCGCCTCTGTGCTGCAGCGGGAAAACCCCACAGACAACGCACACGCATGGCTGGAGTTTCTAGGCCCTGGTTTAAGCTCTTCCTGCACTTCAGACACATCCTTCTCACTCCAAAGTGGCACAAGTCCCTCAAGCCAACAACACCGGCCTCGTGAACCCCATCTAGTCCTCAGGGATCTCGGTCCGTGGCAGCTGCCGTCTCCCCATCCTCACCTCACTCACCACATGACCGCAGGAAACCTCAAGGGCCGCTCCTCCTCTCCAGCCCCCACTGCTCCCACAGTCCAGGCCTCTGACCAGCCCCTGGGACCTGGGATCTTCTTGACTGACTCCAGCCAGAGGGCAATGCCCAGCAGAGGAGCCCGGCCAAGCCACCCACACCTCACACCATCAGGGTCTCAGGCTCCTCATGGGTCAGATTCTACTGCTCCTGGACAGCTGCAGGGTGATGAGACACAGACGCCCATAATTCTGAAGGCTGACGAGGCGCAGCCACCACAGCTTAACTCACTGGGAGCTCGTGGGGGCAGACTCCTGACACTCCACTGGCCCCCGACTGAGCCTCCTGGGTAAACTTTCAAGCGCCAGCCAGCACCTGGGGGAGCTCCACTCTGCTGAGCACAGCGAAAGGGAAACAGAAAATCAGGGAAGGCTCCCTGGTGAGGTCACAGGGACTCAGACGTATCACAGCACCTTCTGGAAAAACACAGAGAAGTCTTTGGTGGCGCTGCCCTTGGCTGCCTTGTTCTTCAAGGCCATCTCCTCGATGGTGTCCTGGAGGAACTTGGCCAGCTCCAGCTTGACCCGAAGCTCCTTCTTCAGCCTCTCCTCCTGCAAGGGCAGAGAGGGCACTGCATTCCAACTGCTCAGACTGTGGTTCGGGCAAGGAAAACATCTCACGCCTGTGCCCGACCCCCACTCCCAGAAACATTTCACAACACACTGACTCTCATCTAAGTGCAATACATTCTCAAACTCTTTTATTTCATGGTTTTAAAAAGTACCCGTGTGGGCCGGGCACAGTGGCTCATGCCTGTAATCCCAGCACTTTGGGAGGCCAAGGTGGGTGGATCACCTGAGGTCAGGAGTTTGAGACCAGCCTGGCCAACACGGTGAAACCCCGTCTCTACTAAAAACACAAAAATTAGCCAGGCATGCACACCTGTAATCCCAGCTACTTGGGAGGCTGAGGCACAAGAATCGCTTGAACCCAGGAGGTGGAGGCTACAGTGAGCTGAGATTGCACCACTGCACTCTCCAGCCTGGGTGACAGAGCGAAACTCCGTCTCAAAAAAAAAACAAAAACAAAACAAAAACAAACAAACAAACAAACAAAAACAAACAAACTCGTGTGATTCCCTAAAGCAAGGATCGGCACACTTTCCGTAATGGGCTAGACAGGAAGGCGTCTGGCCTTCATGGCTGTGTGGTCTAAAACAAATGCTTAACTCTGCTGGTGCCTCACAGACAAGACACATGACTGGGCATCGCAGGTCCCCACAGGGCTCTGCTGAGAACAGGCAGGGTCCTGATCTGGCCTGTGGGCTGCAGCTGGCTGACCCTGCCCTAGAAGGACCTCATGACTCCCCTATAGCACCGGTAGGGGAGTGTTCCTGGTCTAGAAAACCTGTATTTTAAAATACATTGAGCTGGAAGCAGTGGCTCACACCCATAATAACACTTTGGGAGGTCATGGCAAGAGGATTACTTGTGCCCAGGAGTTTGAGACCAGCCTGGGCAACATAGCAGATCTTGTCTATAAAAAACAAAAAAAAATTAGTCAGATGTGGTGGCTTAGCCTGTAGTCCCAGCTATTCGGGAGCTAAGACAAGAGGATCACTTAAGTCCAGGAACTTGAGGCTGCAGTGAGCCGTGATCGCACCACTGCACTCCAGCCTGGGTGACAGGGCGAGACCTGTGTATGGTGGCACACATGCCTATAATCCCAGCTACTTGGGAGGCTGAGGCAGGAGATTCGCTTGAACCCGGGAGGCAGAGGTTGTATGCAGTGAGACAAGATCGCACTGCTGCACTCCAGCCTGGGTGACAGAGCGAGACCCTGTTTCAAAAATAAATAAATAAATAAATAAATAACGAAATAAAGAGAAACAAATCCAAAACCCAGCATCCACTAAATAATTATTGCACAGCACAAGGACAATATGAAGATACATAAAGTCTCAAAAATATCTAGCACCTGAAAAGTCACAAACAAGGAAGCCATCACAATGAATTTCAGACTCATTCTAAAACAAGCAGTTGGGATGCTGCCCTTACCTTGAGTGACTGAGTCTCAAATGTGGATGGCAACATGTTGGGGAAGAGCTTCACAGCAACAGGCAGCAGAAACTCCATGAACGGCACCACCACGAACACAAGGAACGGCACCAGGCGGAAGAGGTCAGCGCAGATCCGGAGAAACTGGAAGGGGCGGAATCCATCAGAGGGGAGCAGAGCACATGTGGGAACAAGGGCAAGGGGTGTGAGCATTTCTCCTATAATGGTTTATAGGCACAACCTCAGGCAGCGACTCACAGGACCCACTGAGGACTCTAAGTTCCAGAACCACTTAGCAGACCATTCCCAAAACCCACTTCTTTCTCAGGGTCCAAAGCAGGTACCAGCAGCCTCCAGAAAAGCAGGGTATGGTGCTGACACCAAGGGCCACTGGGTGCTCCCAGCGATCGAGTCCTCCGAGGACACCGGCCAGCACTCTGGGCTCGGGGGCCAGCAAGTGAGGGCTGCAGGCTGAGGACTGGGCATTACTAGCGTGGTGGAGAGTCACCAGGATAGGCTGAGCCACACCTTCTCTTGGAGGGTGCTCTATAAGGAGGGCTTCTCTTGTGTTTCCTAAGACTATACTACAAAGCAATCATTAGGAAAAAACCCAAGTATTTCATTGACATAAACAAACTAGTACTTGATGCCATTAAAGAAACATCCAATTTGAAATAATCAGAAATCCCTGTGAAGCCTGAACAACTGCTGGAAAACAGCGCGGGTGATGCTGCCCCTCCTTGGTGCTGCTCACAGGGGTCCCTTGGCCAAGGTGTTCCATGTAGTTCCTACGTTTCCTGCGTTTCCACTGGCAACAAGTGAGCGTTCCCAGGGAGACGCCCTGAGAGCAGCAATGTCCTCCTCCTCATCAGCCTCTCTCCCGACCCCGCGCTCATTGAGCCAGCCTCCACTCTCATGGGCACAAAACAGTGGCTGCCTAACTCTCCTATCTTGTCATCTGCAGGAGGGGAGAACCCTGCCTTCCTATACATTCATTTTTCTGTTTTTTTATCGCACTGGACCCATGGACTCCTGTATTTTTTGACTGATTTACAATTTACGGCTGTCTTTATTCCCAAACGGTGCCATATTTGGGCAGGACATATCCTTAAAGCTGGCACATGTGTTTTTTGATATGCCTCATTAATTTTTTTAGCAGTTCTACTGAGGTGTAATTTACATACCATAACATTCAACTATTTTAAATAAATTTGATGATTTTTGGTAAATTTATACATTGCAAAACCATCACTAAAATCCAAATTTACAAGTTTTTTTTTTTTTTTTTTTTTTGAGATGGCGTCTAGCTCTGTCACCCAGGCTGGAGTGCAATCGCCTGATCTTGGGTCATTGTATCTCCATCTCCCTGGTTCAAGCGATTCTCCTGCCTCGGCCTCCAGAGTAGCTGGGATTACAGACATGCGCCACCACGCCTAGCTAATTTTTTTTTATATTTTTGGTAGAGACAGGGTTTCACTATGTTGGCCAGGCTGGTCTCAAACTCCTGACCTCAGGTGATCTGCAGCACTGGCCTCCCAAAGTGCTGGATTACAGGCGTGAGCCACCACACCCAACCAAGAAAATAACTTCTTAAATGTTTGTAAACACAAAAGCAGAACTGCAAATCCCAACCTTTTAGAGCACATTTCAGTGCACAGGATTATCTTTTTTTTTACTTTTTATTTTTTTGAGATGGAGTCTCACTCTGTCTCCAGGATACAGTGCAGTGGGCGCGATCTCGGCTCACTGCAACCTCTGCCTCCCGAGTTCAAGTGATTCTCCTGCCTCAGCCTCCTGAGTAGTTGGGATTACACGCGCCCGCCACCACGACCGGCTAATTTTTGTATTTTTAGTAGAGACAGGGTTTCACCGTGTTGGCCAGGATGGTCTCGATCTCTTGACCTCATGATCGGCCCGCCTCGGCCTCCCAAAGTTCTGGGATTACAGGTGTGAGCCACTGCGCCCGGCCAGGATTATCTTTAAAAAGGAAGGCCTCCCAGCACTTTGGGAGGCCGAGGCAGCAGGACTGCTTGAGGTCAGGAGTTTGAGACCAACCTTGGCAATATAGTGAGACCCAGTCTCTACGAAAAATTTAAAAATTAGCCTGGCATGACAGCGTGCGTCTGTGGTCCCAGCTACACTGGAGGCTGAGGTAGGAGGATCCCTTATGCCCGGGAGGGCTGAGGCTTTGGTTAGCCATGAGGTTGCAACTGCACTCCAGCCTGGGTGGGGGAGCGAGAACCTGTCTCAAAAATAAAAATAAGTAAATAAATAGTAGAGCCACAAAAACGTAATATAAACCCCAAGAGCTAGAAACCATGAGGTGTTCTTGGGAGGAAAGGATGGAGCAGACAGGAGATGAGGCTGCACCTGGGAGAGAGTGGACTCGATTCCCACATAGGGCTGCACTCTCTGAGGCCCATGGTGTCCCATGGCTCTCACAGAAGCAAACAATATCTGTGCTGAAGAAACTAGCTCACCACCTACATCACACAAGGTTTACCCCTCTGAAGTGAGATTCCATCTCTTTTAAATTAAAAAATTAATTTAAAATAAACTAATTGAGCTTCTAGAGTTAAAAACATAGGCACTGAAAATAAAACCTTGGTGGCTGCATTAAACAAGATTACTTCAGCTGAAAAGAGAATGAATAAAATAGAAAGAAAACATCTAGATTGCAGCCCTGAAACAAAGACAGAAAATGGAGAATCTTTTCAGAACCGTGAAGGACAGCAGGAGCTGGTGCACCAGAGGACAAACCAGGAGCCCCGAGAGCCTGGGCACTGGTGAGCGAGCAGGTTCTATCACAGATGGCAGATGTGGAACCTTGGGGTCAGAAGCACGGATCCCAAAAATAAAAACAACTCACCCAGAGGGACACGCGCAGCCCCTCCAGACAGACGTTGAAGCAGTTAAGACAGAAAGGGCCTGCACCTGCAGCAGAGGTGCACCTGTGCAGATGCAGACCCCTCCCAGGAAACAGCAGTGGAGAGCCAGGGCAAGGCATCAAGAGGGTGAAGGCATCGAGAGTGGGTGGAGCTGTGTGCTGAAAACTGCTGCTGGGAAAGAGTTGAAGCAGGAGCAGACGGTGTTGCAATTCAATTCAGTGGCGAGGTGCGCCTTTCCATAGGTGTGGTTAGTTATGACAGGTATTGGTTCCTGGCTCTACTGCCCTTGTTACAGTCTTGTGATAATGTTAGGTGTGTCAGGCCTTGGGGGCAGGCCTCTGACCTCTCTACCCTCCTTTCACCTGCCCTAAGGCAGGTCACTAATCTTCCCAACTTCCTGACTATGGGTTTTAAGACCCTCCCTAAAGAGGGTTCCGTCCTATTCCCTGAGGGAAGGAATGCCCAAGAGGACTGGGTTCAAGGAGCTTCCAGAAAGCTGAACACGGTAGAGGTTCACCGGGGGTTGCACCCTGGGAAGCATGGAAGATCCATGCCCCTTCCCCGTACATACCTTGCCTTACGGTCTCTTGACCTGCATCCTTTGCACTATGCTTTATAGTAAACTGATAAATTTAAGTGTTTCTCTAAGTTCTGTGAGCCGCTCCAGCAAATTAATCAAACCCAAAGGGGTGGGGGTGGGTGTCACACCTCATGTAGCCCATAAATACGTATACCTACTATGTACCCACAAAAACAAAACAATTTAAAAACAAAGAGGGGGCCAGGCACAGTGGCCCACGCCTATAATCCCAGCACTTTGCGAGGCCAAGGCAGGTGGATCACTTGAGGCCAGGAGTTCGAGAGCAGCCTGGCCAACGCGGTGAAACCCCTCTCTACTAAAAATACAAACATTAGCCGGGTGTGATGGTATATGCCTGTAGTCCCAGCTACTCAGGTGGCTGAGGCAGGAGAATCACTTGAACCCAGGAGGCGGAGGTTGCAGTGAGCCGAGATTGTGCCACTGCACTCAGGCCTGGGCAACAGAGTGAGACTCTGCCTCAAAAAATAAGGTTGGGCGCGGTGGTTCACGCCTGTAATCCCAGCACTTTGGGAGGCCGAGGTGGGCAGATCATGAGGTCAGGAGATCAAGACCATTCTGGCTAACACGGTGAAACCCCGTCTCTACTAAAAATACAAAAAATTAGCCGGGCGTGGTGGCGGGTGCCTGTAGTGCCAGCTACTCGGGAGGCTGAGGCAGGAGAATGGTGTGGACCCCGGGGGGCGGAGCCTGCAGCGAGCCGAGATCGCACCACTGCACTCCAGCCTGGGCGACAGTGAGACTCCATCTCAAAAAATAAATAAATAAACAAATAAATATAAAAATAATAATAATAAAAAAAAAACGAAGCGGGGGTGGTGGGAACCTAACTTGAAGCCAGTCTGTCAGAAGTTCCGAGAGGCCTGGACTTGAGACTGGTAGGGGGCACCTTGGGGACAGAGCCCTCACCCTGTGGGATCTGATGTTATCTCTGGGTAGACAGTATCAGAACTAAATCAGAGGACACCCAGCTGGTGTCTGCTGCGTGGTCTTCTATGTTGATGACTGTTGTGGTGGAGGGTAGAGGAAATACACAGGTAAACCAAGTTTTTCCTAGGCAATAGGTTTTACCGATTTTTATTCTCTACCAAACAGAAAGCAAGCACTAAAAATATTTTTCAAGCAATCTATAGAGTGAAAAGAATTTGGGCACGGCCCAGCACGGTGGCTCACACCTGTAATCCCAACACTTTAGGAGGCTGAGGTGGGAGGATCATTTAAGCCCAGGAGCTTGAGACCAGCCTGGGCAACAAAGTGGGACCCTGGATCTATAAAAAACAATTAGCCAGGTGTGGTGGCACATGCCTGTGGTCCCAGATACTCGGGAGGCTGAGGCAGGAGGATCGCCCATGCCCAGGAAATTGCGCCACTGCACTCCAGCCTGGGTGATAGAGCAAGAAAGAAAAGAAAGGACTAGACATGTCCCCATTACCTGCCTGCGCTCCCGGCGGGTCAGGCTGTGGCCGTTGAGGATGCGCCAGAGCATGCGTGCCGCGATCTTGGTGTCGATCCATAGCAGGCGGAAGCCATGGTAGTAGTGCTTCAGCTCGTCCAGCACCCGCTGCCCCAGGGACTTCTTCACCACCACCTCTGCGGGGGGGCTGTACACCGGGCCGCCTTCCTCCAGCTTCTTGTTCTTGTCCTTCAAGGACTTGAGGGACTTCTCTACTACCGAGTCATCGCGAACAGGGCGCGAAGAGTGCCAGCCACGCACAGGAAGGCACTGAGGTCCCACAGCCACAAAACCCACAGAGGTAGAGGTCCATGGCGCTCTCGACACTATGCGAAGGCACTCGGGCCTCAGAGCCCAACAGCCGAGGTGATCGCCTCTGGAGGATGTGTACACAGGGTGGATGGGAGTGCAGCAGCCAAATGGAACATTCCTTGAAAAGGGAAGAGTGGAAAACAGTAGTAAGAGCCAGCACTAGCCTTTGACAGCTCAGCACCGAACACCAACAGCAGCAAAACCCACATGCCCCGTGCCATGCCATGTCACAACCACACACAATCCCACCTACTTCCTGACGTTTTGCACTGCCCGCTGGGGAGCCCTTCGGAAGGGAGGCCAGGACAGTGTGCAGCCCCCTCAGCCCCACACCACGTCGGACAGGAGCATGGGCGGGCGATCCCCACAGAAAGGCAGGCAAGTCAGACACAAACACAATCAGCAAAGGCTGGATCCCTGGGTGGGTCTCCCAGGCCCACTCCCAGAGACTTGGGGAGGTAGGGTGCATTGCTTTGGCACTTCGTGGGGGAATGGAGTGCAGAGCAGAGACTTTGTTGACTTTGGAGGTCCTCTCCTCCAACAAGTGACTTTCTGGAAAGATCCGTGGCTCTTGAACAAGTCCTGCAAATCAGTAAGGGTGCTCGCTGACCTCAGACCTCTACACTAGCTGCCCGCAGGCACCAGAGCAAAACAACAAAATCCAAAGAATAAGGGCCAAGGCCCATCTCCTCCTCCTCTACCCACCTGCCCACTCTGTCCGGCACCAGCAGGCTCCAAGCCCAGAGCCTCACACCTGCCCCCCCGCCTGGACATCCCTAGCTCATGCCCTTGCTTCACTCAGACCTCCCTGACCACTCCACCGCTCTTGCCTCTCATCCACAGTGCTGCCTCCTAGCGGGTGCCCTGCTGACATCTGGCCGTCTTAGAGACCAGGTGCACACTGTGTGCACCACATTTGCTTTCTCCCAACTGGAATGTAGGCCACCGAGGGCCAGAGAGCAGGCTCGAGGCCTCACAGGCAGCAGTGGGAGGCTGGCACTAACCCAGACCCATCTCGGTCCACGCTGCATCGGCCCCAGTTGCCGCCTGTGCCATATCCACCCACAGAAAGGCCTTGAGGAGGCCACTGCAGCCTAAGCTTCTGCAGCATAGACCATGCCTGGCCCAGAACCTATGGTTTGTGTGCAACACAGAGACCATCATCTGACCGCAGCGTGGTGCCACACCACCATTTACAGTCCAAAATTCAAACAGCTGACCTGCGCGAGGCCCATTCAGCCTCACGATCTCCTGCGTGTCTTGCCTGGCACACTAGAAACTCCCCTGCTGATTGGACACAAATCCCCCCGGGTGGCCCGAGCTCACCTAAAAGGCCATGTGTGTCGCATAACTTCACATCAGCTCCTCCTGCTTCCATCAGCTCTCTGTGCATGGCCTGACGCCAGCAGCAAGGCCCGAGCTCCGGAGCAGACTGTTAGAGCTCAAATTCCAGCTCCATTACTTACTGCTGCGTGACCTTAGACTGAGTAATTTAACCTCTCTGTGCTTTGGGAGCATTCCTCGTGAATTTGTGTGTTAACAGATACTAAGTACCAGGACGGTACCTGCAACATGGGAACACCCACCAACGACGTGGCTCTCGTGATTACCACCGCCTTGCAGCCTCGGAGAAGCCACCAATCAGGGCTGGAAGCCAGGCGGGGAACTCTCTGGACCCGCTGCTTGTTTCTCAGATGGGGATCCTCGGCTTGCAGCCCAGAGAGGGCAGTGCGGCTGGTGCAGGGCACTGTCAGCCCAGGGCAGCTTAGAGCGAGCACACACCAGGATCAGAAGCCAGAGCAGCAGGGGCTCCACTCTGCACCAGTAATGGTCTGGGGACCTCCCCCAAAAACTCTCCCAGGCTCAAAATCTTCCCTCAATTACAGACATGCAAACCCAACACTAACCTCACGGAGAGGTTCTCAAGAATACGGGAAATAGACACGTGGAAGGTGCCTGGTGGACACCAATGAGGCCTGGGAGGGGTGGGAAGGGGGACAGGCACCCCACCTCGGTCACCTCCCCAATCCCTGTGAGGGCAGCTTCAGACTCTCTCCAGGCGCTGGCCCAGCCCCAGCCACCATGTCTCTAGGTTCTCCTCAGCTCTGGGGTCACCTCTGAGCCAGGAAGGGGCCCCTGAATCCATGCAGTCTTGAGTCAAGGCGTGCCGAGAGCCGAGCCACACAGAATGCAGCAGAGCCCACGCAGGCTCAGACTGCCCCCTGGCCAGGCTGTGTTCCTTCTGTGAGGTGGGCTCACCTCCCTGTGTGGGTGATGACAGTGCCCACACATGGGAATACACCTCCTCCCTGCATCAAGCTGAATTACACAACTCCACAACCCTCAGTTAGCAAGGACGATGGTGGCTTCCACAAGAAGGCATGATGCCAGCAGTCACGGGGTGTCGACAGGCAAAGACGAAGACTCGGAAAAACAGACCAGGCAGAGAAGCACACGATGGACTCAGTGAAGGCAGGGAGCCATCCAGAGTTGGGCACACCTGCAGGGGCCTGGTCCTCACCACAGTAACATCCCCCGGCAAATCCCATCAGCATTCACGCTAAGTACAGATTTAGAAATAAAAATAGCCTCACATCAGCTGAGGTTTCCCCACTGAGTGAGATTCAAGTTTGCTGGGTCTCACAACTGCTGTCTTACAGTTTGCTTACCCAAAGTCTGGGTGCTGCTTCTCTGCCTTTGTTTCTATGAGAAAGAAGGCTGGAAGCTGCTACATAATGTCCACGATGTTCTCTTGGATCGAAAATACTCCAGCAGGGCGCAGTGGCTCACATCTGTAATCCCAGAGCTTTGGGAGGCCAACGTGGGTGGATCACTTGAGGCTGGGAGTTCAAGACCAGCTTGGCCAACATAGTGAAACCCTGTCTCTACTAAAACTACAAAAATTAGCAGGCGTGGTGGCACACACCTGTAATCTCAGTTACTTGGAGGGCTGAGGCGTGAGAACTGCTTGAAGCCGGGAGGTGGAGGCTGCAGGGAGGCAGAGGCTACAGTGAGCCGAGATTGTGCCACTGCACTCCAGCCTAGGTGACAGAGTGAGACTGTCTTAAAAAAAAAAATGCTCTATCAGCTGGGCACCATGGCTCACACCTGTAATCCCAGCACTGCACGAGGCCAAGGCAGGAGCGCTGCTCAAGTCCAGGAGTTCGAACCCAGCCTGGGCAACATAGTGAGACCCTGTCTCTACAGAAAAAAAAAAAAAAAAAAAAAAAGGCCAGGCACAGTGGCTCACGCCTGTAATCCTAGCACTTTGAGAGGCCGAGGCGGGCAGATCACGAGGTCAGGAGTTTGAGACCAGCCTGGCCAATATGGTGAAACCCCGTCTTTACTAAAAGTACAAAAATTAGCTGGGCATGGTGGCACACGCCTATCATCTCAGCTACTCGGGAGGCTGAGGCAGGAGAATTGCTTGAACTTGGGAGGCGGAGGTTGCAGTGAGCTGAGATTGTGCCACTACACCCCAGCCTGGGCGATAGAGTGAGACTCTGTCCCCCGCACCCCCCGAAAAAAATGATCCACCTACTCACCCTCAGAGATCTGGGCCATTTCATCTGAGGATTACCTGCATCTGTAAAATAACTGTTTACAAAAACTAATGTAAATGGTTACCATTTATAGCTACTTATCTGGTGACTACAAGGCTCACACCTGTAATCCCAGCACTTTGGGAGGCCGAGGTAGGTGGATCACCTGAGGTCAGGAGTTCGAGATGAGCCTGGCCAATGTGGTGAAAACTTTGTATTTTTGTACTAAAAATGCAAAGGTGTTTATATTGTGTGACCAAATAAAAAGTAAAATTTTTTGGCTGCTGAAACATTACCACCATCCATAATTCTTTTTTCTTTTTTTTTTCTTTTTTTTTTTTTTCGAGACACAGTTTTGCTCTGTCATCCAGGCTGGAGTGCAGTGGCACAATCTGGGCTCACTGCAACCTCCACCTTCCAGGTTCACGAAGTTCTCCTGCCTCAGCCACCAAGTAGCTGGGATTATAGGCATGTGCCACCACGCCCAGGTAATTTTTGTATTTTTAGTAGAGATGAAGTTTCGCCATGTTGGCCAGGCTGGTCTTGAACTCCTAACCTCAAGTGATCTGCCCGCCTCGGATTACAGGCATGAGATTACAGGCATGAGCCGCTGCACCTTGCCTCATCCATAATTATTATATTATTATTTTTTTTGAGACAGACTCTCCCTCAGTTGCCCAGGCTGGAGTGCAGCGGTGTGATCCTGGCTCACGGCAACCTCCACCTCCTGGGTTCAAGGGATTCTCCTGCCTCAGCCTCCCAAGTACCTGGGACTACAGGCGCGCACCATCACACCCAGTTATTTTTGTATTTTTAGTAGAGATGGGGTTTCACCATGTTGGCCAGGCTGGTCTTGAACTTCTGGCCTCAAGTGATCTGCCCACCTCAACTTTCCAAAGTGCTGGGATTAGAGACGTGAGCCACTGCGCCCGGCCTCATCCATAATTCTTGATAAGTAGACAAGTCCATCAAAACAGCTGTACAGTCCTCATTGTTTAAATTTTTAAGTAGATGTTCAAAATTGGGAACTTTAAAAAAAGTTACGTGAATAAAGTACAGCTTTTATGTTTTGTTGTTAGCCCAGGCTGGAGTACAGTGGCGCCATCTTGGCTCACTGCAACTGCCACCTCCCGGGTCCCGGTTCAAGCAATTCTCCTGCCTCAGCCTCCTGAGTAGCTGGGATTACAAGAACATACCACCATGCCCAGCTGATTTTTGTATTTTTATTAGAGATGGGGTTTCACCATGTTGGCTAGGCTGGTCTTGAACTCTTGACCTCGTGATCTTCCCGACTCAGCCTCCAAAAGTGTTGGGATTACAGGTGTGAGCCACCGTGCCCGGCCAGCATTTATGTTTTAGTATGAAATTTAAATGCTAAAAAGTTGCTTGACAAATTCAACATCCATTCCTAATAAAAAGAGTAACAGACAGAACAAAGATTACTTAAACCCAAAAGCTAACATCATATGTCACAAACACTAGATCCTGTATTTTCTGCTATTGTGATACCGCATGACTGACTACAGCTGTTCTGACACAGATCTGGCTACTGAGCTAAGAAATGAAACCACCTCAGAAGCAGAAGCCCTGGGAAAGAAGAGGCAGATGATTACTATGTACTAAGATCACAGCCATAAACTAAACCTGGGCTGCTACAAGAGCTGAACAAATAACAGGAAAGGGGCCAGATACAAGAAAATTGTACAACTTAGCAACTTACGGGACAGCAATGATCACTTAGAAAAGATAATGAAAAGAATTAATGAAAATAATAAACATCTGGGAATTATCTAAAATGCAATGCATGTGGCCTATACAAAGAAAACAGGCCGGGTGCAGTGGCTCACACCTGTAATCCCAGCACTTTGGGAGGCCAAAGGCAGGAGGACTGCTTGAGTCCAGGAGTTCAAGAGCAGCCTGGACAACATAGTGAGAACCTGTCTCTACAAAAAATACCAAAAAGAAAAAAATTTAGCAAGGCATGTTGGTAATGCCTGTAGTCCCAGCTACTCAGGAGGCTAAGGTGGGAGAATGGCTTGAGCCTGGGAGATCAAAGCTGCAGTGAGCCATGATTGCACCACTGCACTCTAGCCTGGGCAATGAACAGAATGAGATCCTGTCTCAAAAAAAAAAAAAAAAGTAATATTCCTTCCCAACTGGTTTAATGACACTTCAGATACAATCCCAAAAAGACTGTTTTAGAAGTAAAATGGTTCAGCTCATCTAGAAGGAAGGTCCAGACTGACGAGGTTTGGGGGAACTGGTCCCCAGGGAGGAACAACTGCTGGAGAACTCACTAAAGAAAATAACGGGAGCAGCTAGGCGCAGTGGCTCACACCTGTAATCCCAGCACTTTGGGAGGCCGAGGTAGGTGGATCATCTGAGGTCAGGAGTTTGAGATGAGCCTGGCTAATGTGGTGAAAATTTTGTACTTTTGTACTAAAAATGCAAAAATTAGCTGGGTGTGGTGGCGGCGTCTCTAATCCCAGCTACTAGGGAGGCTGAGGCAGGAGAATCGCTTGAACCCGGGAGGCAGAGGTTGCAGTGAGCCGAGATTGCACCACTGCACTCTAGCCTAGGTGACAAGAACAAAACTCGGTCTCAAAAAAAAAAAAAAAAAAAAAAAATTAGCTGGGTGTGGTGTGCGCGCCTGTAATCCCAGCTACTTGGGAGGCTGAGGCAGATAACTGCTTGAACCCGGGAGGTGGAGATTGCAGTGGGCAGAGATCACGCCACTGCATTCCAGCTTGGTGACAGCGCGAGACTCTGTCTCAAAAAAAATAAAAATAAAAAAAAAAAAGAAAATGCAACCTTAAGGAAAAAGACATAAGAAAACCAATTTCTTTTCTCATCCAAAGTTATAATAAAACGTTATTCGTGGACCTTAAAGTTGCAGTTTCTGCCAGGCATGGTGGCTCACACCTATAATCCCAGCACTTTGGGAGGCTAAGGCAGGCAGATCACGGGAGGTCAGGAGTTCAAGACCAGCCTGGCCAACATGGTGAAACCCCGTCTCTAATAAAAATACAAAAATTAGCCAGGTGCGGCCGGACGCGGTGGCTCATGCCTGTAATCCCAGCACTTTGGGAGGCCATGGCGGGCGGATCACGAGGTCAGGAGATTGAGACCATCCTGGCTAACACGGTGAAACCCCATCTCTACTAAAAATACAAAAAATTAGCCGGGCGTGGTGGCGGGCGCCTGTAGTTCCAGCTACTTGGGAGGCTGAGGCAGGAGGATGGCATGAACCCGGGAGGTGGATCTTGCAGTGAGCTGATATTGCGCCACTGCACTCCAGCCTGGGTGACAGAGCGAGACTCCGTCTCAAAAAAAAAAAAAAAAAAATTAGCCAGGCGCAGTGAGGCATGCCTGCAATCCCAGCTACTCGGGAGGTTGAAGCAGGAGAATCACTTGAACCTGGGAGGCGGAGGTTGCAGTGAGCCAAGCATGTGCCACTGCACTCCAGTCTGGGTGACAGAGCAAGGCTCTGTCTCAAAAAAAAAAAAAAAAAAAAAGAAAAAAAAAAAGTCGCAGTTTCCAAGAACCTACAGACATTAAATGAGACTTGCTGTACATCAAAATACTGACACTGGGCACTTTGAGGGCACAGTTGCCAGTGCCCACTCCAACTGGGAGTCCAACAATTAAATTCCATTTAATTCCTGTTAGGGGACAGGAAGCCTTCTGTCCCCAGCTCTCCAAGTGCAACTGGGCACTGAGGTTAGGAATGTTTCTATACTGTCTATAGATTCACTGAGGCATGTGACAATCATTTTCAAAATGGAAAGATAAAGGTTTAAAAGAAACAAAGAACAGGAAAGTAGGATACACTGTTTCCCTCAAAAATCAAGAGTCACTCGTGACTCTCCACCATTTTCAAACCCTGTTTTCAAACAGACAGGTGCAGAGTGATACTGATTTACTCACAGGCAGTTCCTCAACCCCAGGGTGCTGGCACAGCTGAGATGAGCAGGATCCCCTGGACTACCTGTAACAGGAACAGGGGAAAATAAATGAGTAGTAAATCAGGGATTTATACTGATACCTTTTTTTGTTGTTGGTTTTTGGAGTTTCGCTCTTGCGCCCAGGCTAGAGTGCAATGGCGTGATCTCGGCTCACTGCAACCTCCACCTCCTGGGTTTAATTGATTCTCCTGCCTCAGCCTCCTGAGTAGCTGGAATTACAGGTGCCCACCACCATGCCCAGCTAATTTTTTTTTTTTAGTAGAGACAGGGTTTCATTCACCATGTTGGCCAGGCTGGTCTCAAACTGCCGACCTCAGGTGATCCGCCCGCCTTGGCCTCCCAAAGTGCTGGGATTACAGGCATGAGCCACCGTGCTCAGCCTTTTGTTCATTTTGATTTATTTGACTTTGCCCAGGCTGGAATGCAGTGGTACAGTCACGGCTCCCTGCAGCCTTGAACTCCTGGGCTCAAGGGATCCTTTTGCCTCAGCCTCCCAAGTAGCTGGGACTACAGGTGTGCACCATCAGGCCAGGCTAATTTTTGTAAAGACGGGGTTTCGTTTTGTTGCCTAGGCTGGTCTCCAACTTTTGGCCTCGAGCGACCCTCCTGCATTGGTCTCCCAAAGTGTTGGGATTACAGGCGTGAGCCACCACTCCCAGCCTGAAACCTTCTTTTAAGTCTGAAAGAAGGCGGGGCGCCGTGGCTCACGCCTGTAATCCCAGCACTTTGGGAGGCAAAGGCGAGTGGATCACCTGAGGCCAGGAGTTCAAGACCAGCTTGACCAGCGGTGAAACCTCATCCCTACTAAAAATACAAAATTAGCCGGGTATGGTGGCACATGCTTGTAAACCCAGCTACTTGGGAGGCTGAGTCAGGAGAATAGCTTGAACCTGGGAGGCAAAGGTTGCAGTGAGCTGAGATCGCACCATTGCACTCCAGCCTGGGCAACAAGAGTGAAACTCCGTCTCAAAAAGAAAAAAAAAATCTGAAAGAGTACAGATCTCTTTTGTAGAAACCTCTGTAAGTTTCTGGAAGCCAGTTCTGAGTGTTGGAAGGTTTCAGAGCACTGCTAAGTGAAGGGTCTGCCCCAGTTATGAAAACAGTATCTCAAAGTAGTCCTAAAAAAAGATGGGAAGCCTCAAGTAGATCCTGACTCCAGACACCCCAAGAGGGAAGCCAAGCAGGCCAGCCCTAGGGAGGGAGCACTCCTACCGGTGGCACCATCCCCACTCACTTCAGCTGGCTCTGGTGGAAACATGACCTCTATGCAGACAGCCCTATAGAGCAAGCAATGATCCCAAGGGGCAAGAGCTGTAAGAATTACTACAACCGGACCGGGCGCAGTGGCTCACGCCTGTAATCCCAGCACAGACGTGAACCCGGGAGGCGGAGCTTGCAGTGAGCTGAGATCGCACCACTGAACTGCAGCCTGGGCGACAGAGCAAGACTCTGTCTCAGAAAAAAAAAAAAAAAAAAAAAGAATTACTAGAACCACAGGCCGGGCATGGTGGCTCACGCCTGTAATCCCAGCACTTTGGGAGGCTGAGGCGGGTGGATCACCTGAGGTCAGGAGTTCAAGACCAGCCTGGCCCACATGGTGAAACCCCATCTCCACAAAAATAAAAAAAAATTAGCCGGACATGATGGCAGGTGCCTGTAATCCCAGCTACTCGGGAGGCTGAGGCAGGATAATCACCTGAACCCTCCGGGAGGCAGAGGTTGCAGTGAGCTGAGATCGCGCCATTGCACTCAAAAAAAAAAAAAAAAAGAGAAGAACCACAAAAACACCAAGAGTAAGCCATTTCTTGTATAAACAACAGTGATAAGTGTACAGCACATTTTTAGGATTTCAACATGTTTTTGATGCTTTCCCTAACTTGCTCTAGTTCCTATAAGCATAAAGTCAGAGTTCATTCGTATTACTGACATTCAGAGCCCATTGTGATCAAACTTCATGCTGGGAACAAGACAGGAATAGGAGCAGCAGGGCCAGAGGCACCAGCCCACGGAGGTGCCAGGCCAGGCTGTGCAGAGGCTAGGCGGTGCCGGGAGCCAGCAGGTAGCACCCTGAGATGCCCAGTGACCTTGAACCTCCAAGCAGTGGGGTTGCAATGAGTCAACAGCCAGGGAGCAGCAAGTGCAGCTTTAAGATGGGGGGAGCTCACTCCAGCCGGCAACGAGAGCCACCGTGAGAGGACGAACAAGATGGGGAGGGCAGGCACTGACCCTGCTCCTAGTGGACCGATACGTCACTTCACCTCATTTAACAGGAGGCAACTCTCCTGGTTCTGTGGGGAAGGAAATTCCTACTACGTGCCACATTTAGGGCTTGTAACAGTCCGGTCTGTGAACTGGGAGCTGGGTTAAGGGGAAAATGTTGGCTATGTTCTCATACACAGCAAGTTACATTTTAAGTTAAAATTCAAAGCACAGCACACGTGAGCATGCCAAGGCCCTTCTCACTCCAGCTGAGACTAGCTTTGGCCCCCACCTTTCTCCACATGAAGAGGGCCCAGCGCATTCTCCGCTATCCTCCCCACACCATGGCACCTTCAGCCCCTCCACCCCTGCCCCGGCCAGCTCCTGTGCCTCAAGGGCTCCGCCCGGCAAGCAGGCAGGCTGGCAGGTCTCCCAGAGTTCCCTGATCTGTCCCCCAGTGACCCTACCTTCTCTCTAACACTGCCTGTCCCACTGGCTCCCTTACTAGGCTCTCCCCAAAACCTGTTCTGACGGCTTCTGTCCCCAGCTCTCCAAGGAACCCCCAGTCAAGGCCGTTCGGGGTGATGGGGATCATTGCTCCACGTCCCTCACGAGCACAGGTGTCATCTGTGCCCAGGCCCTGCTGGGAGCCCTTCTGTTCTTTTTTCCAACACCAACGAATTCTCCAACTGGGAGTCCAACAATTTAATTCCATACTGACACTACCCAGAGTTAGTGCAGACCTCACAGGGTACGGGCTCAGTCCCACAAGACTGCCCCCACTCCATGTGCCCAGGCTTACCCAACTTCAGCTGACCACACATTTGAGGGTTCCCATGACCGCCTTGGTTTTGATCATTCACAAGAATGACTCAGATGTCAGCAATGGGCTCTACTTACTGTCACAGTTTATTATAAAGGGTACCTGGTACCTAGGAACAACCAGACAGCATGGCCAGGGAGGTCCCGAGCACAGGATCCTTTGTCCTGTGGAGCTAGGTGGACGCCAGTGGGAAGCCTCACCAGCCTCCTCACCCAGAAGTTCTCATCAAGGCTTCATGACTGATTACAGTATTGGCCCACTGGCCATGGGGACTGAACTAAATCTCCAAACCCTCTCGCCTCCCTGGAAGGGGCAGGAAGTTCCCACCCTCTAATCACAGCATGGCCAGCACCTCAATCTATCTAAGGGCCTGCCTGGAGTCACCTCATCAGCATAAACTCAGGTGCAGTGATAACGAATAACAGAAGACACTCCCAAACTCACGCCTGTAATCCTAGCACTTTGGGAGGCCAAGGCAGGTGGATCGCTGTTGAGCTCAGGAGTTAAGCCTGAGCAACAGAGACCCTGTCTACAAAAATGTTAAAACATCAGCTGGCAGGAGGATCGCTTGGAGGCTGTGGTGAGCCATGATCAAGCTACTGCACTCCAGCCTGGGTGACAGAGCAAGACCCTGTCTCAAAATACAAACAAATGAAAAAAGACACTCCCATCATTCAGGAAACTTCCAGGGTTCTCAGCCCTCAGTGCTGGTGCCAGGATCAGGTCAAAGAACAAACAAACCTTTCTTCACCTGGCTTCACCCTTGCCACTCCTGGGAGAGCCTCCCTACCTGACCTCCACCTCCTCCCCAGGCAATCTCTTCCCTGACTTGAATACACACGCCCCACAGGTCTGATGGGCACGGCACAGTCCACACCTCCAAGAACTCTCAACTAGCGCCCCTCCTCATTCTGCTCCTCCCCAAGTCCTCCCCAGTTTCAACAAATGGCACTGTTGTCCCCAGGCGGCTCAGGCCAGAGGCCACCTCTCCCACACAGCCCTCACTGTTGTCCCCAGGCGGCTCAGGCCAGAGGCCCCCTCTCCCACACAGCCCTTGGAGTCAGCCCTGCTTCTGCTCGTAAAGCGACTTCCTCCCAAAAAGGACAAATGGGGAGGTGGGACAAGAGTAACTGGGCAGTGAAAAACCTGACAAACACCACTTCAGCCTACTGATCAAGGTCAACATCAACAGTGACAAATCATTTGGACAGCATGGAGCCTCGGCGGGATATGATAAGGATGCTTCACCTCTGTGGTCTTCCTCCTGAAAAACCATCTTTCCCAGCTTAATTATGAGGAAACATCAAGAAATACCAGTAGAGCAGCACCCTACACTCCACCTGGGCAGTACTCCTCAAAGCTGTCAAGGTCACTGCAGACAAGGAAAGCCTGAGAGGCAATCAAGAAGGGTGGTACAGATGGGTCCTGGGACAGAAAAAGGACCTCAGAATGGAGAACGGGAGAGTAAAGAAAATCTGAATATGTTATGGACTTTAGTGAACAGTAACAGATCAAGGTCAGTTCATTAACTGTGACAACGAACCCTACTCATCTAAGATGTTAATAGCAGGGGCCTGCAGCACTCCACTCGGTGTATCACTCATCAGTTCAGGGACCTCCTCCACAGTCCAGCCCTGGGTCTCGCTGGCTCTGAAATCCCTACTGTTTCTACAGCAGACCTGCCAGTGTCCCTGTCACAAAGCACAGTAGTAACTACAGAAGACATTTGTGTTCCTGAAATGACAGAATCGCACATAAAAAGCTAATTATTATTATTATTTATCAAAAATCTGATAATAAGCACGAAGTGTTAAAAGTACTTTTATCACCATCAAGAGGTCCAGAGAGAGCTCTAACATCTAACACAGCAACTGGAAAGACCACATGCTGAGCTCCACCTTCAGACTGTGCAGTTCCACCACTCAACATCCTCTCACCACTCCAAAAGTTTCAGTGGCTAACCAGCCATTATTGTAAAAATTACAAGAATTGGCCAGGCGAGGTGGCTCACGCCTGTAATCCCAGCACTTTGGGAGGCTGAGGTGGGTGGATCACGAGGTCAGGAGTTCAAGACCGGCCTGACCAACATGGTGAAACCCCATCTCTACTAAAAATACAAAAATTAGCCAGGCATGAGGGTGTGCGCCTGTAATCCCAGCTACTCAGGAGGCTGAGGCAGGAGAATCGCTTGAACCTGGAAGGCAGAGGTTGCAGTGAGCCGAGATCATGCCACTGCACTCCAGCCTGGATGACAGAGCGAGACTCCATTTCAAAAAAAAAAAAAAAAAATTACAAGAATTGGGGGCCGGGCGCGGTGGCTCACGCCTGTAATCCCAGCACTTTGGGAGGCCGAGGTGGGTGGATCACCTGAGGTCAGGAGTTCGAGACCCGCCTGGCCAAGACGGAGAAAACAGTCTCTACTAAAAATACAAAAATTAGCCAGTCGTGATGGCGGGTGCCTATAATTCCAGCAACTCGGCAGGCTGAGGTAAGAGAATCACTTGAACCCAGGAGGTGGAGGTTGCAGTGAGCCAAGATCACACCACTGCACTCTAGCCTGAGCAACAGATTGAGACTCTGTCTTTAAAAACAAACAAACAAACAAACAAAAAAAAACAAGAATTGGGAGGATACATTCAGGGCAACTTCAATCTATCTCTTTGGGGGTGGGGAACAGAGACAAGAATATTGAAGCTGGGTGCCTGGGCATGGTGGCTCCTGTAATCCCAGCACTTTGGGAGGCCAAAGCAGGAGGATCAGTTGAGCCTTGGAGTTCAAGACCAGGCTGGGCAACATACCAAGACCCTGTCTCTACAAAAAAACTACAAAAAAAAAAATTAGCTGGGTGTTGTGTGGCACAACTAACAACTTGGGAGGCTGAGGCAGAAGGATAGCTTGAGCCCAGGAGTTTGAGGTGCAGTGAGTATGATCGCACCACTGCACTAATTATTTTACTTGAGTCCCTCTTAGCAAGTTTTATGTTTATTCCAATTTTACAAATAAGGACATAGACTCAAATAAGTTGGTTAATTAGAGAGAGAGAGGAGGTGGGCACACCCTGGGACAGCATTCACTCCAGACAGCACCTGAGGCTAGGGGGGCTAAAGCCACGCACCCTGAGGACCCTCAGCGGCTCCGGAGTCCCCGTGTTCCCCGGGTGCCGGTCGCGGCCTAATCACACCACAGGGGTTTGTAGGTGCTGGCATCACCTCATCAGTGACGGACCAGGAAGGCTCCTGCAGCCCAGCAGGTCCTGCTCGCCGGTGTCTGCCCTGCCCACCCAGTCTCGTCTCCGGGACCCCAAACGTGACCAAAGGGCACGGCCGTCCTCGTGCGTGGACACGTTCCACCAAGCTTACTCGCGCAGGGCGCGCCAGGGCTGCCCAGCCCTTCAGAATTTTCCCACTGTCTCTGAGGCAGTGACCCGGGGGACCCGGCCGCCTAAGGTCACAACACACGGCAGAGGCCCAGCGGCTCCGCCCGGCGCTGGCGGCCCAGCCCGCGACGAGACCCGGGGCCCCACGGTCCCGCAGGGGCTCCGGAGGCCGGGACCACCGGGCTCCCCGCATCGCCGTGACAACCAGCCCGAACCCGCGGGTCGTCCGCGCTCCCGACCCACCAGCCGGGAGCCGGCCCCGCCCTGGGGTGCCCGCCGCTTACCCCGCGGGACGGTGTACCGAGGCGGCGGCGGGAGGCGGGCGGGCGCCCGGCCGCGGCAGCTCCTCAGTAAGATGGACGCCATGTGCTCGGGCGCGGCGGCCGCTCCGGCCTCCTGCGCTGCCTCCTTCTCCGCGGCGGCCGCGGCTCTTCGCCGTCCCGGCGGCGCTTCAGACCCGGCCCGCGCGGACGGCTGACAGAGGCGGCTGGCCTCGGACGGGAGGCGCTCTCCTCAAGGACCCGGCACCAGCGGCGGCCTTGTCCCGGCACAGACGTCCGGAGGCGCGGGGCGGGGCGGCCAGGCCGCGGCTCCCATTGGGCCCCTCAGCGCCCGCCGCTGGCCAGGTGAGGGGCGGACCGCGCCACCGCGGACTACCGGTTCCGGCGTGCACCGGGACGGCCTGCACGCTGGGGTGCGGACTACCGATCCCGGCGTGCACCGGAGCGGCGGACTACCCTGAGGCGCGGACTACCGGTCCCGGCGTGCACCGGGGCGGCTGGCTCCTGGGGCTCGCTGCATCCTGGTTCCCGTCGTACCGTGGACGCCGGGGCTCGCAGCGTGGCGGCCGCAGGAGCTGAGGGAGTCGGCCGCGCTTGCGCGGGGAGTGTCTTTTCGTCTCCGGGCGGCGGCAGCAGCGCGTGTGTCCGGAACTTTTCTGGGACTAAGTCCTGCACCCACGAGTAGAAAACGGCTCCTGGGAGCTTGGGGCTCCAAGGGCAAGTCAGGGGACGCTGGGGATGGAGGGGCGCCCTCGACGCCCTCGGCCGCGGTCCCTCGCCGGCCCCCCTGCTCTGTGGCTCTGCCCTCGGCGGTCTGCACTCTGGCGCGCGCAGCTCTGAGTGCCTCTTCCCTGCGTACCGGGCGGCGCTCCCCAGATACGGCGCTGCTCGGCGTCGGGAGTCCCCGTCACCACTGGGGGGACGGGAGCGCAGGGTCCCGCCCCGAAGGACAGGGCCATGCCGGCCCCTGGAGGCGAGGGCACTAGGCCGGGTGGCGGCGCAGCCAGCATAGCGGCCCCCCATCCCGGCACACCGCGTCCTCCCGTCTGAGCGGGAGGGGTAGATATGGGTCCTGCGTTGGCGCGGGGGGACCCCTCGTTTCGCTCTGGCCTAAGCAGCCCCTGGGGTCCCGCGCGCCGCAAGAGCGCCAGACTTCCTAACCTGGGCCATACCCTGTCCGCTCCACTTCCCAGTCCAAGAAGGAACAGCCGAAGCCCAGGACGCCAAGGACCTGGCTCGAAGTCTCCAGAATTCCCGCCAGAGCTGGGCTGGGCTCGCGGACCGCTCATGCGCCGTCTCCCAGGAGCCTCCCCCCAGCCCAGTTTAATAGCCGGCCCTGACCAGTCCAGGGGAGAGAGACCGTGCAGCCTCCCAGCAGACCGTGACCTCTGAGCTCCACCTTCCCCTTCCTTCCCTAAGATGAGGATCCCTGAGTTGGGGCAGAGAAAGCAGGCAGGGAGAAAAATGGGGACCTGCGGCGCTGGGGGCCCAGCTGGTGGAGATCTCCAGCTAGGAGATCCCCAGCACAGCACTTGCCCTGCCCTCTGTCTTGTTCAGGGATGTAACCTGCCTCCTCCTGCTTCTCCGCGGCACCTCAGGGCACCGCCTGGGGAGGGTCTTGTAGTGCACACTCAGCATCTCTGTTCCCTGGAGCGCATGGGGTGTGAAACGCCTGATGCCAGCCAGCTCCCCAGTCTTGAGAGGCTGGTTGAATGGCACATCTCCCTAGGAGGCTCCCTCCCCAGGGTCCCCTCTGCCCCTGCTGTCCATGCAGTCGGTCCTCACCCGTCAGGAAAACGTAGCCTGCTTGCCTGGGTGGTTTTCCCCATCAGGAACTGCCAGGTACTGGGCCTGGATGGGCTTGAATTCCCCATCTCAGTGGGAGAAGGGGGCATTGTTTAGTGCAGGGCACTTTGAAGCCGTCTGTAAGTCCCTGTGTCCACACCGGTCAGTGGGCACTGCAGACATCAAATGCAGACAGAGTTTAAGCACAACTAGGCCTGAACCTAGGCCTGTGCTGCCAACAGACATGAAGGGGCCCCTTTTCCACCCATCCCCCAGGAGGCAAGAGGGGGATACAGAAGGATAGTCCTTGCCTCCCCACCCAGGGTTGGACCTGAGCTGGAGTGGACAGTTGGTCAGGGTCAGAAAGAACTGGACTTTTTATGGCCCAGCTGTAGGACTTTTTATGGCTCAGCTGTAGGACTTTTTATGGCCCAGCTGTAGGACTGTATGTCCTAGTCCTGGTCTGGACATTGGTTCTGAGCACCAGATGACCCTGCCCGATGCTGGCTAGGGAGGGTGACCCCGGAGAGGGTGCAAGAAACAGTGCTCCTCTCGTTAATGCTGTGGGGTCCCAGGTGTCCCGGCAAGGCCAGGCAGGAGGTGGTGACTGCCCCATCTGTGCTAGTGCCTGTTTACAGGACTTTGAATGACACTGAAAGAGGAGGGAAGCCCTCCCCGCAGTCTCCACCCTGCCCAAAGTGCTGGGTGTGAGGAAATGTGGAACATACCCTCGCCTGCAGTTGGGATGACCCACCATCCCTGGACCAGAACAAGGAAAGCCTGGCAGCGGAGAGCCAACAGCAGGACTGACACAGGCAGGTGCTGTCTGCGATGCTCGTGCAGCCCAGGCAGGGTGGGATCTTAGATAAATTTTCAACAATTAAAATAGCTGTGATCAGGCGCAGTAACTCACACCTGTAATCCCAGCACTTTGGGAGGCCGAGGCGGGCTGATCACGGGGTCAGGAGATCGAGACCAGCTTGGCCAACATGGTGAAACCCTGTCTACTAAAAATACAAAAATTAGCTGGGCATTATGGTGCATGCCTGTAATCCCAGCTACTCGGGAGGCTGAGGCAGGAGAACTGCTTGAACCAGGGAGTCAGAGGTTACAGTGAGCCAAGATTGTGCCACTGCACTTCAGCCTGGTGACAGAGCGAGACTGTCGCAAAAAAAAAAAAAAAAAATAGGTCAAAAGAAATAAGTAGAAATCTGGCATCCAGCCAGCTGACTGTGCACCCTTAAGGCTGGAATGAGGCCTTCCAGTCCCACATCTCCATATGCAGCAGAACAAGGGCACAGAACCATGGCGCAGTGGTTTAATAGCAAGCACTGTTTTTAGCCTTTTTCTCTTCTTTTTTTTTTTTTGGTTGGGGAAACTTCCTTTTCCTTCTCCCTATGTTCCTCACAAATCACATATAACCTTCCATAGTCACTCGGTGTATATACAAGTGACAGTAGAGAAACAGGGCAGGAAGCCCAGGCAGCACACGGGCCCCAGTTAGGGAGGTTAGGGATCCCGTTAGGGAGGGCGGTTAGGGATCTAGTTAGGGAGGGGGCTAGGGACTAGTCAGGCAGCTTAGGGACCTAGTTGGGGTTGGGACCTAGTTGGGGGGTTTAGGGATCTAGTTAGGGAAGGGGGGCTAGGGATCTAGTTAGGGAGGAAGTTAGGGATCTAGTTAGGGAGCTTAGGGAACCAGTTAGCGAACTAGAGGAAGACTTAGAAGGGTTGTGTGCTGCACTTGACCCATGCTCTGGTGAAAAGCAGCCAGAGTTGCATTTGCCCAGATTGGGGATTTGCTGGGAAGTATGATGAAGGAAGAGAGACAAGGATGTTTGCAAGAGACTATGAGGCTTGTCCCAGGAATTGAAACTGGGGAGAAGGAAAGGGAAGAACAGGAGGGGGCAGTGGGAGACAGCAGAAGATAGCAGGATCACTGGCCTGTGGGCTGAGAGGGGTTTGGAGCCAGGTACCAGAACAAGTAAGCTGACGAAAGTGGGATGCTCCACACAGGGTGCTTGCACTTACTGGTGATGGCAGGGGCTAGGGTGACAGCCCAGGAGAAAAACCTTGGATACCAGGTCACCTTGCAGCTGGGAGAAGCTTTAGCCAGGTACATGCAGCAGGAGAAGTGGAGGTCAGCCTCCAGCCTCCAGCCTCCTCTCACCCCACTGAGGAACCACCTGCAGATAAAAGTGGTGGTTTTGGGCCAAGCACAGTGGCTCGCACCTGTAATCCCAGCATTTTGGAAGGCTGAGGTGGGCAGATCACGAGGTCAGGAGATCGAGACCATCCCGGCCAACATGGTGAAACCCCGTCTCTACTAAAAATACAAAAATTAGCTGGGCGTGGTGGCACATGCCGGTAATCCCAGCTGCTTGACAGGCTGAGGCAGGAGAATCACTTGAACCCTGGAGATGGACGTTGCAGTGAGCCGAGATCACGCCACTACACTCCAGTGTACACTACACTACATTGCATTTTTTGAGACATAGCTAGACTACGTCTCAAAAAAAAAAAAAAAAAAGTGGTGGCTTTGGGCTGGGACATGGGAGGGCTATGCATTTGGATTTTTTTTTTAATTGAAATAGGGCCTCACTCTGTTGCCCAGTCTGGGGTGCAGTGGTATGATCACGGCTCACTACAGCCTTGACCTCTGGGCTCAAGCGATCTTCCTGCCTCAGCCTCCTTGAGTAGCTGGGACCACAAGCATGTGCCACCATGCCTGGCTAATTATTTAATTTTTTGTAGAGACAGGGTCTCACTATGTTGCCCAGGGTGTTCTTGAATTCCTGGCCTCAAGTGAGCCTCCTGCCTCAGCTTCCCAAAGTGCTGGGATTATAGGCAAGAGCCACCATGCTTGACCTAAATTTGTTATTTGTTGTTGTTGTTTTATTTAATTTTTAAAAAATTTTTTTATTTGAATCAATGGAACCCACTATATATATGTGTATGTGTGTATATATATGTGTGTGTATATATATATGTATATATATGTATATGTATATATATGTGTGTATATATATATATATATATATATATATATATTTTTTTTTTAGACAGGGTCTCGCTCTGTTGCCCAGGCTGAAGTGCAGTGGTGCAAAATCATAGCTCACTGCAGCCTCCACCTCCCGGGCTCAAGGGATCCTCCCACCTTAGCCTCTAGAGTACCTAGGACTATAAGCACACGCCACCATGCCTGGCTAATTTATGTATTTTTTTGTAGAGATGGGGTCTCGCCACATTGTCCAGGCTGGTCTTGAACTCTTGGGCTCAAGCAATCCACCTACCTCGGCCTCCCAAAATGCTGGGATTACAGGCTCCCTGCTCCCTTTTGGATTTCCACTCTGGGAACAGCCAGCTGCCAGGTCATGAGGACACTCAGATAGCCTGTAGAGACCCACATGGGGAAGAACTGAGGGTAGTCCATTATGCAGCAATAGATAACTAAGACAGGATGTGCCTAGAGAATTTGCTCTAGGACACAGTCCCAGTTCCCAGGGCATGGGTCCTGGTGTCTCAGCTGCATACCAAGCCTGTGGGCTGAGAGGGGTTTGGAGCCAGGTACCAAAGCATTCATGAGGGACATTGATGAGGTTAGAATGAGGTCTCTCCATGCAGGCTGGGCCAGAATTCCTATGGCAGTTGCTTCCTGTTAAGTCCAGGTGGCCTCATCCTGAGCAGGTGCAGCCCACTCCTCAGCCAAGGACAGTGGGACATCTCAGGCTTCCCTGCAAACACTTTCCTCTCCAGGGCCTTCCCCACAGATTCCAGCTGTGCTACTGTCCCCAGTTCAGTGGGGTGCTGCACACTGGTGCTCTGGCTGGGCTCCACCTTCTGCACATATATTTTCTTTTATTTTCTTTTCTTTTTTAATTTTATTGTACTTTAAGTTCCAGGATGCATGTGCAGAATGTGCAAGTTTGTTACGTAGGTAAACGTGCGCCACGGTGGTTTGCTGCACCTAGATTTGCTTTTTGTTTTTTATTTTTTGAGACAGAGTCTCTGTCACCCAGGCTGGAGTGTAGTGGCGTGATCATAGCTCACTGCAGCCTTGAACTCCCAGGCTCAAGCAATCCTCCTGCCTCGGCCTCTGGAGTAGCTAGGACTACAGGCATACGCCACCATGCTCAGCTAATTTTTAAATTTTTGTAGAGATGAGGTCTCCTTATGTTGCCCAGGTTGGTCTCCAACTCGGGTTCAAGCCATCCACCTGCCTGGGCCTCCCAGAGTGCTGGGATTACAGGCAGGAGCTACTGTGCCCAGCCAGATTTGCTTTTTAGATCCTTCTACATTTGTGGGGAAACTGGTGAACTCTGAATTGACCCTGGTGATCAGTTAATAGTAAGGGACCAGTGTTGGTTTCCACCAAGCTACCCTGGAAATGTAAGATGTTACCATTAGGGGAAACCAGGTTGGGGGACTCCCTATGATCTTCGCAGCTTTTCAGTAAATCTAAAATTATTGCAGTAAAAAACAGTAAAACATCTGGCTGGCTGGCAGAAGGGGAGGCAGCCTCTGTCCTGCGTGGCTGTCCCAGACTGGCTGGGGTGGCACTCTGGCTGTCCCTGGTCAGTCCCTAACTCAGGCTGCCAAAGACGGTCGCCAGTCTAGGGAAGAAGCGGCCCAACGCGCTCCCCAAAGACGTCGCTGCAGGCACAGGGTTTAGGAAGAACTTTTATTTTCTTCCTTCTGCTGCTGTGGGTTTTAATTTCCTGCCATTTTCATAATTAAAAAAAGAAGTGCTATTTTAGCACGAAACAATGTTTCTTTAGCCAAAGCCAGAGTGAGTGGGCAGCAATGGCCGCGCGCCCTGCTCTGGGTGGTCCCGACCCCGGGGAAGTCCCTGTGCAGAACGGGGGCTGCGGGGGCGGCAGGAGGAAGTGGGGGGCGCGGCACCCAGGCCTCGCTGTCTTCCCTTTCCCTTCGAGGGACCTCGCGCTGCAAAATCCGAAGAGCCCGGCTGGGGCGGGGTCGCGGGGTGCGCGGGAACCGGGGCCTGGGACGGGGCGGGGCCTAGCCAGGGCCTCCACGGAAGCGAGGCCAGGACTGGGGAGTGGGGGGTGGGGGGGTCGTGGCTGAGTGGGTGCCCTGAGGGCGGTCAAGGACCCCGCGGGCCTCTTCTCCTGCCTGGACACTGCGCTTGCCTGGCTATCACCAGTCCCAGCCCTGCCGCCCTGGGGAGAGGGAGAAGGCGTGCAGGTGAGCGCTACGGGCTGGGGCTGGCTCTGACCTGACACCAGGTCCCAACTGTAGTTGCTAAGGTCCTGCAACTAGTTAGAGAGGTGTTGTAGAGCCAGGTGCTCATGGTTGTAATCCCAGTGCTTTGGGAGGTGGAGGCAGGACGATTGCTAGAGCTTAGGAGTTTGAGATCAGTCTAGGCAACATAGCTAGACCCCCCCACCAAAAAAAAAAAAAAAAAACGAAATCGGTCGTGGTCTTATGGGCCTGTAGTCCCAGGTACTCAGGAAGCAGAGGCGGGAGGATCGCTTGAGCCTCGGAGGTCAAGGCTGCAGTGAGTCGTGATCGTGCCATTGCACTCCAGCGTGGGCGACAGAGCTGAGACCTTGTCTCAAAAGAGAGATTTTCGGGCCCTAACCTGGCATCTCTAAGTGCGAGCTCACTTGGAAATAGAGTCTTTGCCGATGTAACCAAGGTAAGATAAGGTTATTAGGAAGGGCCCTACTCCAATAGATCTGTGCTCCTCCTAAGAGAAAAGAGACTCAGGCGATGTGCAAGGCAGAGGCCACGTGACCACGGAGCCAGGGATCAGAGGTTGCCACCAAAGGTCTGAGGCAAGCACCGGAAGCTGAGGAGATACCAGGGAGGACCCTCCCCAAAGCCTCCCACCCTGCTGGCACCTTGTTTTCAGGCTCCTAGGCTCCAGAACGATGAGGGTAACTTTCTGGCATTTTGTGGTCCTAAGAAACTGGTAGGAGCGGGAACCTGGCCTGGGAGCCCCCCAGTCCAGTCCAGAGGTAGTGTTCATGGGGCTATGGGGGAGGAAGGAGGGCTCTAGAGGAAGTTGTCCCTCAGCTGAGAGCTCGCACAGCGAGAGGGGTAAAGTTCAGATTGGTGCTTGCCAAAGGTGGGTGTCTGACTGTCCAAGGGGTGACACCAGTGCGGGTCACCTCTGAGGCCTGGGGCTCTGCTTGCTTGGGTGGCCTCTCCAGGAAGCATCTTTGTGGGGAGATGGATTTCCAGTTGCCCCCACGACTGAAGCCTGGTCCTGATATGTGGTTTATTCTTGGAGGTGACCACTGGGACTCAGCCAGGACACAGGGAGGGAAGTGGGGCTCCTCAGCTGGATTTCAGCCCCCATGTCCATCACCCCTACCCGATGGGGACCCCAACTCAGTGGAAGCTCTGCTCACATGGCCCTAAGAGGCCTTGCAGTGCTGCCCTTGGGCTTCCAGTGGCTGCAGCTGTCACTCCCATGGGCCATCCCAGGGAACCAATGTGGCCTTTGGGCTGAGTGGGAGCTGGGACAGAGCCAGAACTTGGGAAAGGTGAGGTTCCAACCCGGAGACCAGAGTGGTTAGGCTGGGAAAGGGTTGTTGGGAGGGCCTCAGGGGAGGCCCTTCTGGCCCTAGCTGCGGCTCTGCTTCAGCTCTGGACCTGCTGGGCCCTGAGTTGAGGGGATGGGGCCTCCTTCCCTCCCCTCCTTGGAGGCAGGAGCCACCTGGGGCCTGGGAGGCGGGGCAGCTTGAGGCTGCTGGTTTCCACTTGGAAGCCCTCTTTATCTGGCCTGGGACGGAGAAAGGCTGGGGTCAGAGTGCACACATCTCCATGGAAACGGCAATGAGCCTGGCCCCTGGGGGACCCCAGCCCTGTGGGGGTTGGGGAGGCCAAGCCAGGGCTCAGGGGCTCCTTTGGCAGCAGCCTTTATAGGGAGGTCAGGGCCAGGAGGTACCAGACATGCAGCCATGAAGAGCCACATGGAAGGGAGAGAGGACTCTCCCTCCTAGGGCTGTAGGCCCTGAGTAGGCGGTGACTATACGGCTGACAGCCAGATACAGAGCTTTTCGTTAGAGAAAAGAGGAGAGTCATAAAGAGATTAAAGAGCCAGGCTCTGCCTGGCTGCTACTGTCCCTGACCACCTGCTCAGGGTCACTCTGGTCCCACCCAGGACCCAGGCCCCGCTCCGATGGCCTGTACCAACCTGCCTGAGGCCTGCCCTCCAAGGACGACTTCTCTCAGCCTTCAGGGATGGGGAAGCAGCCCTGGCTGTCAGAACGTCCCAGCAGTCTCTGTGCCCAAAGCATTACCCTGCGGGACTGAAGCATCAACAGCCCACCCTGGAGCCTCTCAGATGAGCCCGGACGACACACCTGCAAATGGCGAGCACCTCAGACGAGGGCCTCCTTTCCGCAGGAACCCACCAGAGGTGTCTGGTGCGGACCTGTTCCTTCTTGCTCTTTTTTTTTTTTTCTTGAGACAGAGTTTCTCACTCTTGTTGCCCAGGCTGGAGTGCAATGGCACAGTCTCAGCTCACTGTACCTCTGCCTCCCAGGTTTAAGCGATTCTCATGCCTCAGCCTCCCAAGTAGCTGGGACTACAAGCATATGCCACCACACCCAGCTAATTTTTGTATTTTTAGTAGAGATGGGGTTTCACTATATTGGCCAGGCTGGTCTCAAACTCCTGACCTCAGGTGATCCACCCGCCTCGGCCTCCCAAAGTGCTGGGACTAGAGGCATGAGCCACCACCCCGGCCCCTTCTTGCTCTTGAGAGCAACAACACACATCGCCTTTGGGGAGAGGCCCCTGGTGTGTGTGTGTGGGGGGATTGGGGTGCAGAGCTGGCCAGACTCAACTGCAAGGGGCTCAGGACCACCCGAGAGAGCTTGTCTGGGCTCAGGGAGGCTTGCGCTGGGCAGGAAAAGACCAGCCAGCCCCAGATAACTTTCTTCCAGGAAATCCAAACACACACTTGCATGTGTTGAATACATTTACATGTTGATTGTACTATTCAAAATGCAGATTTTTGGGGAAAAGTAGCCCTAATTCCAAATCTGTAGAATGAAATGAGATGTGGTGGTATTCCTCTTACGCTGCGGGGATTTAAATGGTGTTGGGGAGGTAGACAGTTTCCAGGCCTGTGCCCTAGAGGGATCCAGGGCCTGGAGAGGCACCTGTCCTCCTCCCCACAGCCAGAGGGTTTTGGCCACTACCCAAATAAGACACCTTCTAGGGGCTTCTGGTGGCCTCAGGTGAGTTCTGGCAGTGACTGCTGTGGGGCATCTCTTGGCCGCTGCCCAAGCCTACACTATGCACAGGACCCAGCAGGGCCTCACCACGTAGGGTTTGGAGGAGGAATAAATAATTTGATAATCCCTTCCAGTGGGGACCCTGGGGAGGGCTTCCTTGGGCCCCAGTGTACTCCGGGCCAGTCCCTTCTCTAGTGGGAAGCAGAGGTAGCCTGTGGCTGATCACCGAGGGGTCTGTTCCAGCAGGCTTTGTTCTGTCCTGCCCTTGAGGCTCTTCCTGGACCTAAAACCTCAGGCTCCCTACTCTCATCCTGCTTTTGATGGACCCTGCCTGGCCTTAGGGACCTTTTTCTCATCCCTTTAGACCAGGAGGAGTACTGGACTTTGAGCACTCCTGAGTGGCTGGAGAGACCTGGAGGATTTAGGAGTAGGCTGGGCCATGGAGCCTTGCGTCACAGCACCTGGTCTCAACAGCAGGGCACAGCTGGGTGCCTGTTTCTATCTGCAGGTGACCTGGCTGCAAAAGTCTGGAGGCTGCACCAGCAGATGTCTTGTTCCGCAGCCTGAGGTGTCTGAGTCCCAGGAACCAGGGCTGTGGGTACACAGCCTTGTCCAGAGAGCTCACGTCTCAGCTCCCACCACCCCTTCTAATACCCACAGCAGCACCTGGAGTTGGGGCCTGGGCAGGAATCCAGTCTACCAGAAAAGAAATGAGCGCAGGCTGAGCGCCATGTGCGAGGCTCCCAGGCTGGCTTCTGCCACGTGCTTCCCATTGTACAGACAGCCTCCAAGGGGTGGAGGGGCTTGCCTGGCTCCCACAGCTCCAGCGCCAAAGGCTGTGCCTCTGCTGTGGGGACAGTACCCAGGATCCTGGGAAGGAAAAAAGCCACTGCTCACCTCCCTCTGCCCCTCATACCTGTCCCAGCCCCGAGTCTTCGTAAATGTCTCTGTCTCCACTGCCTGAGTTCAAGCCTGCTGTCCTTGCCACCTCTACCCCTCACCCCCATGTCCCCGACTCTAATCCAGCCCCTTCAGCTGCCATAGGTCAGCTTCTCCAGAAGCCTTATTAGGGACAGTATCAGTCTGCTCGGGTTACTGTAGCAAATACCACAGACTGGGTAGCTTAAACATTTGGGAGGCCAGATACGTGAGATCAAAGCATTTCCAAAGTTGGTTCCTTCTTAGGTTGCCAGGGAGAATGGGTCCCATCCTCTCACCAGCAGTCGTTGGCATTCGGAAGCATTGCCCTGACCTCTGCTTTCCTCTTCACATGGCCTCTCCTTGGTGTGCCTGTCTCCAAATTTTCCCTTTTTATAAGGATACAGTCATATTGGATTAGGGCCCACCCTAATGACCACATTTTAACTTGATTACTTCTGGAAAGACCCTCATCCCCAAATGAGACCACATTCTGAGGTACTGGGAGTTAAGACTTCAATGTATCTTTTTTCTTAACTAATAAAGTTTAATTTTTATATATTTATTTTTTCAGACAGAGTCTCGCTCTGTTGCCCAAGTTGGAGTACAGTGGCATGATCTCGGCTCACTGCAACCACCACCTCCTGGGTTCAAGCAATTCTCCTGCCTCGGCCTCCAGAGTAGCTGGGATTACAAGCACGCACCACTGTGCCCAGCCCAATTTTTGCATTTTTAGTAGAGACTGGGTTTCACCATGTTGGCCAGGCTGGTCTCGAACTCCTGACCTCAGGTGATCCGCCCGCCTTGGTCCCAAAGTGCTGGGATTAACAGGGGTGAGCCACTGCGCCCAGCCTAAAGTTTAATTTTTAGAGCAGTTTTAGGTATACAGCAAAATAGAGCAGAAAGTGCACCCAGGTCCCATATAGCCCCTTCTCACCCACACACCCAGCCTCCCCCATCATCCGCATTCCCCACTAGAGTAGTATATTTCTTGTAATCAGTGAACCCACATTGTCACGTCATGATCACTGAAAATCCGGTTTTGGGTTCACTCTTGGTGCTGTACGTTCTTGTATCCACTGTTACAGTGTCACACAGAGTATTTTCACTGTCCTAAATATCATCTGTGCTCTGCCTACTCATCCCTCCCTGCCCTAACCCCTGGCTAATCTTTTTATTGTCTCCATAGTTTTGCCTTTTCCAGAATGTCATGGAGTTGGAATCACACAAGTTTGTAGCCCTTTCAGATTGGCTTCTTAGTCAGTTTTCTGTTGCTTATAGCAGACTACCTGAAACTGGGTGATTCATAAAGAAAATGAATTTATTTACTTATTTTTGAGACAGGGTCTCACTCTGTTGCCCAGGCTGGAGTGCAGTGGCAGTGGCACAGTCATGGCTCACTCAGCCTCAACCTCCCGAGCTCAGGTGATCCTCCCACCCAGCCTCCTGAATAGCTGGGACTACAGGCATGTACCACCACACCCAGCTGATTTTGTAGTTTTTTTTTTTTTTTTTTTTTATAGAGATGGAGTTTTGTCATGTTGCCCAGGGTGGTCTCAAACTCCTGAGCTCAAGGGATCCCCCATCTCAGCTTCCCAAAGTGCTGGGATTACAGGCGTGAGTCACTGTGCCTGGCCGGAATTTATTTCTTACAGTTATGGAGATTGGGAAGTTCAAGGTCCAAGAGGTGTGTCTGATGAGAGCCTTCTTGCTGGTGTGGACTCTCTGAAGCTTCCCAGGCGTCCCATGACAAGGGGGCTGAGCATACTAACTGCTAGCCCAGGTCTCTCTACCTCTTGTTATTTTTATTTTGAGAGATGGGGTCTTGCTGTATTCAAACTCCTGGGCTCAAGCAGTCGTCCCCCCTCAGCCTGCTGAGTAGTTGAGATTACGCCCTGATAATGAGGATCTTCTTTTCACGTGCATCCTTGCCATCTGGGTATCTACTTTGGGGAGGCGTCTGTGGAGGTCTTTTGTCCACTTTACTATAGACAGGGTCACATTCTGTTGCCCAGATTGGAATGCAGTGGTGCAATCACAGCTTGCTGTAGCCTCATGTAACTCTTGGGCTCAGGAGATCCTTCTGTCTCAGCCTCCTGAGTAGCTGAGACTACAGGCATGCACCACCATGCCCAGCTGTTTTTTTATTTTTTTGTAGAGATAGGATTTCAATGTTGATCAGGCTGGTTTCAAACTCCTAGCCTTAAGGGATCCTCCTGCCTTGGCCTCCCAAAATGCTGGGATTACAGGTGTAAGCCACTGCCTTTTTGTCCACTTTTTAAGACGAGGTCTTGCTATGTTGTCCTGGCTGAAGCGCAGTGGCTATTCACAGGTGCAGTCCCACTACTGATCAGCATGGGAGTTTTGACCTGCTCTGTTTCTGACCTGGGCTGGCTCCCCCCTCCTCAGGCAACCTGGTGGTTCCCAGCTCCTGGGAAGTCACCATACTGATGGCAAACTTAGTGCAGACACCTGACTGGCATAGCCCAGAACTAAATGATCCACCTGCCTCGGATTTCCAAATAACTAGAACTACAGGTGTGAGCCACTGTGCCTGGCTTATTCACTTTTTGTTATTTTTTATTTTTTGAGACAGTCTTGCTCTGTCACCCAGGCTAGAGTGCAGTGGCATGATCTCGGCTCACTGCAACCTCCACTTCCCGGGTTCAAGTGATTCTCCTGCCTCAGCCTCCTGAATAGTTGCGATTACAGATGCCCGTCACTATGCCTGGCTAATTTTTGTATTTTTTTTTAGTAGAGACGGGGTTTCACCATGTTAGCCAGGCTGGTCTCGAACTCCTGACCTCAGGCGATCCACCTGTCTCGGCCTTCCAAAGTGCTTGTATTAAAGGTGTGAGCCACCATGCCTGGCACTGGCCGTAATTTTAAAAATTCATTTATTTGTTTGGTGATAGAGACGAGGTCTTGCTATGTTGCCCAGTCTGGTCTCCAACTCCTGGGCTCAAGCAATCCTTTCACTTTGGCCTCCCACAGTGCTGGCTCACACTTCTCACAGGTGTGAGCCACTGGCCTTGGCTCCATTTTGAATTAATTTTTGTTAAGGGTGTAAAGTCTGTGTCTAGCCTGATTTTTTTTTGCATGTGGACATCCAGTTGTTCCAGCACCATTTGTCGAAAAGACTGTCTTTTCTCCATTCCATTTCCTAGAGTCAAGCTCAGCTGACTCCATTATGTGGTCTATATCCGGGTTCTCTATTCTGTTCATGGATCTATTTGTGTATTTTTCCACCAGTACCACAATGTCTCAATTACTGTAGCCTTATAGTAAGTCTTGCAGCAACCCTTGTTTTTTTGGGGGGGCCACAACTCAACCCATACAGGGGCCCAGCACCTGTGAAGGGACAGCAGCGGAGGCGGCGCGGGAGAGGAAGAGGAGGTGAACTGTGGCCACTCCTTGGTGGCTGGAGGTGGGTCCGGGGAGGCAGGACCTGGGCTGAGGTGTCGTTCTATAGCCCGGGTAGCGCACTTTCACAAAGCTCTCCTTGACCAAACTCTCGCCAGGCTCCCCTGGGCCCGCTTCTCAGCGAGGGCTCAAGCTGGGCCTGTAAAGCTCGAGCAGACACTAAGGCTCAAGGCCGAAGGTGTTCCCGGCTCCCTGAACCTGCGTGACAGAAAACCCAAGGCCGCCGGCTCCGGCAGCACCTGGAGGCAGGAGCCGAACTTCCATGGGCGGCGGGCAGCAAATCACACCGGCTTCAACCGCCCGGCCCGCCCACTTTTTGCAGCGTCTGACTTCCCCGCTCGCCCGCGCCGCTTCCTCCTCCTCCCTGTGCCGCACGCAGTCGCCCGCGCCACCCCCTGAAGCCCGGCTCTACCGCAGCGGCGCTGGGGTAGCGCCCCTGGACCAGGCGTCCTCCCCTCGCGAGCGGTCCTCCCGCAGCCGCGCCCAGCTCCGGGTCGGACCCTCGCCCGGGGGACTCGTTCACGCCCTGCGGCCGTTAGGCGGGAAGAGCACGACGCCCTGCCCTGCCCCGTCGTGGCGTCTGACCCTCTCCGCCACGTCTGTTCTGAGGCTCCGGGCCCGCCACGGCGGGGCCTCTGCGGCGGTTTCCCCACCCGTCCCCGCACTGCCGCTCCGCGAGGCGGACGCCGCTAGCAGCCTCCCGCGGGCCCCAGGCCCCGCGCCCCTCTCACGGGACAGGAGCTTGGGGACCCGCGCGGGCGGGCCGCGCGCCCAACGCCAGCCTCCGCGGCCGCGCGCCCACGGCTCGGGGGCGCCGGCTCCGGACGGTGATTGGGCGCGGATCGTGACGTCACTGAGCGCGGCGCCCGCGGGCGCCGGGTCTGGGCCGGGTGCGCGCCGCCGAGTAGCGGGAGCAGGGCGCGCGCCCGGCGCTACTCTGAGGCGGCTCGCGGGGCCCGCGGCCCGGCCCTCCCGGCGCTGCCAGCCCCGCCCGCCCGCGCGGCCCCCACCCGCCGCGTGCCTGCCCGCCCCGCCCGTGCGCGGCCCCGGCGCGGATTTGAAAAGCCCGGTCCGCGGGCCCCGCGAGCGCGGCAGCCAATCAGCGGCGCGCACTTTTCCCGCGGCTTCTGCGAGGCGGCGGCGGCCCCGGCTGCGGCGGCGGCGGCGGGCGGGAGGCGCGGGGGCGGGGTCGGCGCCGCGCGCGAGAGCCTCGGCCTGGCCGCGCTGCGCCCGCCGCCGCCGCCGCCCCCTCCCCGCCTGGGCCCTACCGCCGCACGGCCCCGGCCCCCTCCCAGCCTGCCGCTCCGGAGAGCCGCCCGCCGAGGATGCGACGCACCGCAGGTCACTGGGGCGCCCGCCCAACAGTCGCGGGCCGCCAACCGCCGGGGCTGGGGCCGGGAGGCCGGGCTGTGGGAGGCCTGAGGGGCGGCGGGGAGGACCGCGGAGGCCTGAGGGGGCGGGAGCGCCGGGAGGAGTGGGGGCACTGAGGAGGCCTGAGGGGCCGGCTCAGGGGCTGGGGGACCGGGAGGCCGGGCGGCCTGAGAGGGTCGTGGGGACCGCGAGGACCGCGGAGGCCTGAGGGCCGGCGGGAGGACCGGGCGGACCGCGGAGGCCGGGACGAGTCCGGGCAGGGGAGGGGCGGCGGCCTGCGGGCGGCGGCGGCTAACGGGGCCGGGCGGGCGGGCGCGGCCATGTTGGGCCCGGCCGGGCCCTGCGGCTGCACCTGTGCCCGGCCCGGCCGAGGCGGCCGCCTTTGTTCCCGCGGCGCCGAGCGGGTCGGGCCGGCCTTTGTGCGGCGCCCCCGGTCCGGGGCGGCCGCGGTGGGAGGGGCAGGTTGGGGTCCCGGGGCCGGCGCCGGGGCCAGGGGTCGGGCCGAGGGTCGCTTTTTGTTTGCAGGCGGTGTCTGGCGTTGACACTCGCGGCGCCCGGGCGTTGGTCAGCGCGGACGCTCCCCCGGGAAGCCGGGCCGCGGTCCGGCCCTTGGCAGGTGGAGGCGGGGGTGAGCCGGGTGTGGGTACCCTGCTGGGGGGCTGCGCGCCCTCGGCGTCCGGGCCTCCGCCTGGGATGTTCCCCTCGCCCCAGGATGCAGATTGATAGTCCTTGAAGCCTCAGTGCATGAGATGGGACCTGGCGACTTAATGGCTGGTTTTGCTCCACTCACAGGAACCGTGGTTTAAAATCTCGGCGTTTAAAAAATGCTGGTCTTAAGTTTCGGTAGAAATAAAATGGATGAGGGTATTGTATAGGACCCATTGCAGCACGAATCTTTCTGTGCCCACGATGGGCTTTGACATTCAAGTGGAAACATAGTATCAAAACTGATGTGGTGACGTTAATCGTTTTTAGGTAGATAACGTGTATTTTGTGTGTGTGTGTGTGTGTGTGTGTGTGAGAGAGAGAGAGAGAGAGAGAGAGAGAGAGAGAGAGAGAGAGAGCGCGCAGACCCTGTGAAGACAAGACTAATTGGATAAAGTTCAGGCCTGGCTCAGGAGCAGCTCTTCAGTGCTACCCACCTGCTTCACAGACTTTCAAGCCTTGATTTTTAAATGAGTTAAACGCCAGCATCACGCATGGGTTATATTCACTCTATTTTGTGTATTTCAAATATCAACGTGGAAAATAACTTAGGAGCCATCCCATTTATGAACTTGGGACTTAAACTTTTTAATTTTCCCAAAATGTTTTAAGTGCCCTAGTTACGTATTTAAATGTGATGAGAACAACAATATTTTAAAGAGCAGAACGCCAACAACATAAAGCAAACAAGTTCTGTGAGCACAGCCTTTCCTTGTGTACTTGATGTGTGCTCTCATTCCCCACAACTGATGGTGGTTCAAATCTAAACTGCCAAATGGAGATGAAGAGGACTCATGCTTTAAGCACGATTACTTTGAGTCATTTCCTTTTCTTTCCTTCCATTTTCTCAGCCACCCAAACCCAGCAACCTTCAGTTTTGGGCTGATGGTTGGTAGAGTGAGGACTTACTGCACAATTTTGAGTTTGTGTAAGCTTTTGTGAAGAGCTCTGATCTCAGTACAAAAATTGTCCTCTCCTGACTGCATTAATACCAGAGTCTGGCCTCTGATTATAACAGTAAAGATTTTATTTTAAGAGTATGAGGTAATTAACTGAGAATTTGAAAGAATGATGGACAATTTATCGTATCTATTCGTATGTAACATATAAACTAATATAACTTTTGGAGCCATGCACAACAAAATTATAAGGTCAGCAGGCTGCAGGTGCGACTTGCTTTGTTTCTATGCAATCAGCTTATCCAGGGCTTTCAAACCAGTACTTGCTGAAGTGTGCGGACCCAAATGAAGCATTAAGCAGAGTCCTAGAATGAGTCAGGAAGATAATCTGAATAGGTAGAAGACAACCCACTCCTCCTAATCCTGTGGGGCTTACATGGGTACAGCCTTCTGCCTATTCAGATTATCTTCTCCTTCTAAAAGTAATCAAATCTTACAAAGTTTACTCACATGGCAGAATGTGAACTTTTTTTGTTTGAAGATTCAGTGTAAAACATGCAAAAGTAGCTGGAATTAGGCTTACTAAGCTACAGGATTCTCTTTACCAAGCAAGAACTTAAAAGAAGTGCTAAGATGGTGCTGAAGTTCATAATCCAAACGTATTTTGTCCTGTGCTATTTATTTATTTTTAGAGACAGGGTCTCTCTATGTGGCCCAGGCTTGAGTGCAGTGGCTATTTCAGAGGAGAGCAATCATGGTGCACTTCAGTCCCAAACTCTTGGGCTCAAGTGATTCTCCCGCCTCAGCCTCCTGAGTAGTGGTTACTACAGGCACACTCAGCCTTCCTGGCTCTGCCCTGTCCTTTTTAGCTGGGCAAGTGGGCAAATAACCTTTCTAAGTAAATAATTAATCAGCAGCAACAGAAGCCATAAGGCTTTTTACTCATATATTCTGATCTACGTGTTTGGTTTTGCCTTTTTGTTTTTGTTTTGTTTTTTGGTGGGCTGCTCATGGCCATAGAATGCATACAACTTTGGATAAGCATTTTAGTCTTCTGAGCCTCAGTCTCTTGTTTTGCTTGATTGTAGTAAGTGTGACCTTGTTCTCCAAATACGTGGTACCATGTCCTGACTCCAGGCCTTTGTGTGGGCTGTTCTTGGGTGTGGACTACCTGCCACCTGTCCTTCCTCTTTGAGCATAATTCATGGCTTTTTAATGGCCACTTGTGACCTTTCTCCCCTGTTGGGTTAACTCTTAGAGGTAGGACTCTGTCATTGCCTTGGGCAGCATTGCCTCTGCTGGTGCATTCTCATGGCATACACTCAGTAAGTGCCGAATAAATGGGTATATGGCTTAGGGTAAACAAACAGCCCATTTTAATGCCGATATCTGGCCTGTTTGCCTCTCTGTTTTGTAAGTAATGGAGCATCTGGGAGAAGAAGCTGAGTCTAGAAAGGAAATGGCTTGGCTAAGGTCACTCTGAAACATTGCAAGTATATAAGTCCAACAAGTAGTAGAACAGATCTGTACTACCACCAAGATGGAGCAAGAAATCTACCTCGTCAATTTCTCTATCCTTGGTGAAGATAAAAAAATATAAAGTACACAGAATACGAAAGAGGAGATGACATGGGGGCTTTAGAGGATTAGGCTTGTATTTGTAAACTGTATGATTTGCTAATTCCTTTTTAATGAATGGTTATTTACAGCGAGTACTTTGGGGGAGAAAAAGACTTGTGTTGGTAACCCAGGGACTCTAGCATTTTATATTTGTCTATTGGTTGCAATATTGCTCTTTTCTTTTGAGATAGGGTCTCACCTGTTACCTGGTGTGGAGTGCAGTGGTTCAATCATAGCTCACTGTAACCTGGCACTCCTGGGCTCAAGCTTTCCTCCCAGCTCATTCTCCTAAGTAGTTAGGACTACAGGCAGATGCCACCATGCTTGGCTAATTTTAAAATTTTTTATGGAGTCAGTCTTGCAGTGTTTGGGCTGGTCTCTGTAACTCCTGGCCTCAAGTGATCCTCCTGCCTTGGCCTCCCAAAGTACTGGGATTACAAGTGTGAACCACTGTGCCCGGCCAAGTTGCAGTATAGCTTTTTACTTTTTTTTTTTTTTTTTTTGGGACAGGGTTTTGCTGTGTTACCCAGGTTAGAGTGGAGTCATATGATCACGGCTCATTGCAGCCTTGATCACCTGGGCTCAATCGATCCTCCTACCTCAGCCTCCTGAGTAGCTGGGACAACAGGCATGTGCCACCATGCCTGGCTAATTTTTGTGTTTTATACAGACAGGATTTCACCATGTTGCCCAGGCTGGTCATGAACTCCTGGGCTCAGGTGATCCTCCCACTTCGGCCTTGTGCCTGGCCTGCAGTATAGCTTTTTAAAGAATTGATTGATTTGATTACATTTGGTTTGCTAGTTAAAAAATCCAGACAGATTGGCCGGGTGCAGTGGCTCACGCCTGTAATCCCAGCACTTTGGGAGGCCGAGGCGGTTGGATCACGAGGTCAGGAGGTCGAGACCATCCTGGCTAACATGATGAAACCCCGTTTCTACTAAAAAAAAAAAATACAAAAAATTAGCTGGGCATGGTGGTGGACGCCTGTAGTCCCAGCTACTCGGGAGGCTGAGGCAGGAGAATGGCGTTAACCCAGGAGGCGGAGCTTGCAGTGAGCCAAGACTGCGCCACTGCACTCCAGCCTGGGAGACAGCGAGACTCCATCTCAAAAAAAAAGAATTCAAGACAGATTTTGGCTGGGTGCGGTGGCTCAAGCTTGTAATCCCAGCACTTTGGGAGGCCGAGGCGGGTGGATCATGAGGTCAGGAGATTGAGACCATCCTGGCTAACATGGTGAAACCCTGTCTCTACTAAAAATATAAAAAATAAGCTGGGCATGGTTGCAGTGCCTGTAGTCCCAGCTACTCGGGAGGCTGAGGCAGGAGAATGGTGTGAACCTGGGAGGCGGAGCTTGCAGTGAGCTGAGATCGCGCCACTGCCCTCCACCCTGGTTGACAGAGCAAGACCCCTGTCTCAAAAAAAAAAAACCAAGACAGATTTCAAATTAGTTTTGTTTTAGTATCTGCTTTCCTAAAACCACCTGGCCCCAGATGAGTTTTCAAAGCATTTTACTTTCTGTAATACTTAGTGGTTTCAACAAAATATACAAGGATAGAAATTGCAGTGTTGGTTAGCTGAGTGATGGCCTCAGCTCAAAAACTCCAGTAGTGGATAGGCACAGTTGCTCATGCCTGTAATTGCAGCACTTTGGGAGGCTGAGGTGGGAGGATCACTTGAGACTAGGAGTTTGACACCAGCTTGGGCAACATAGGGAGACCCCATCTCTACAAAAATTTTTGAAAATTAGCTGGGCTTGGTGGTGTGTGCCTATAGTCCCAGATACTTGGGTGGCTGAAGTGGGAGGTCACCTGAGTCCAGGACTTTGAGGCTGCAGTGAGCTGTGATCATACCACCACACTCCAGCCTGGGAGATAGCACAACCCTCTCTCAAAAAACAAACCTAAACACAAAACCCCAATAGTGAGACTACCCTAGTGGGTGTGTAGAAAAAATGCTTTTTTTTTCTGGAAGGAATTGGAACCTCAATTTTTAAGTTGACTTGAGTTGGCACTGAGAGAGTTGATGATGTGAATTAAATTTGTTATGCCGTTTGCTGGTGCGGTGGGTGGCTCACGCCTGTAATCCCAGTGCTTTGGGAGGCCAAGGCAGGCAGATCACCTGAGGTCAGGAGTTCGAGACCAGCCTGGGAAATGTGGTGAAACCCCGTCTCTACTAAAAATACAAAAAATTAGCTGGGCGTGGTGGTGGGTGCCTGTAATCCCAGCTACTCGGGAGGCTGAGGCAGGAGACTTCCCTGAGCCTGGGAGGCAGAGGTTGAAATGAGCCGAGATCATGCTACTGCACTCCAGCCTGGGCGACAGGACGAGATTCTGTCTCAAGGAAAAAAAAAAAATTGTTATGCTTTTAGAGGATCTGTGCATGTTAGCAATGTTCTTACATTTTGATGGTTTTCATATATTTTTTGCTGCTATATTATGGAGGCTAATGATCAGAAAGCATTTTTCCGACTCCGGTTTTACTGTCTTCAGGTAGTTCTCTACACACTGCCTTGTCTTTCTAAAATACAGATGTCCTATGTGTCCCCAGTCTTCAGGGGGTGACTCTCACTGCCCATTGGGGTTCAAGACGAGTCTCTCACTGGCTTTCTGACTCTCACTGCACTACTTGTTTTGCCCTCATCTCAGTTACTCAGCTCATCTCTTTCTGCCATGTTTTTCCTCTGGGCCTTTGTGTGGTCAATTTTTGTTCCTTTCTTCTGCCCATGTGCCCCCTTACCCCATGTGTTTGGGGGATAGGCATGCTTTCCCTCTTCCTTCCTTCTGCCAGGTCTCAGCTTGGGCCCCACACTGAATGCTGTGCCTGACTCCTGCCTGTTTTGGGAGGCTCTTGTCTTTTCCATCGTCACCCACTCCCATTCTCATTCTGTTCCAGCCACACGGGCCTCTTGCCTGCTCTGAAGCCCTGCAGCTCTGCTGCCTCCGACTAGTGCCCTTGTTCCTTCTTTGACCTGGAATGCTGTCCCCAGGTATCTGTGTGGCTTACCCCTCACCCTCCTTCAGGTCTTTGTGCTTCTCCCTCTCGGGCACCTTCTCTGACCACTGATTTAAAGTACTCTGTTGTGACCAGGTACTATTACAGTTTATCTGTGATCCTGGTGCTTTATGAAGCCAAGACGAGAGGATCACTCCAGCCCAGGAGTTTGAGGTTGCAGGGAACCACGATTATGCCACTGCATTCCAGACTGGGTGGCAGTAAGACTCTGTCCCAAAAGAAAAATAAAATTTAAAAAAAGTATTATATATATACACACACACTTCTGAGACGGAGTCTAACTCTGTCACCCAGGCTGGAGTGCAGTGGCACAATCTAGGCTCACCACAACCTCTGCTTCCTGGGTTCAAGCGGTTCTCCTGCCTCAGCCTCCCAAGTAGCTGGGATTACGGGTGTGTGCCACCATGCCCGGCTGATATATATATATATATATATATATATTTTTTTTTTTTTTTTTTTTTTTTTTTTTTTTTGTATTTTTAGTAGAGACTAGGCCATGTTGGCCAGGCTGGTCTCGAACTCCTGACCTCAAGTGATCTGCCTGTCTTGGCCTCCCAAAGTGTTCGGATTACAGGCGTAAGCCACCATGCCTGGCCAAAAAAACTTTTTTTAATTATTCTGTTGCTATCTGGCACTCCACATCTGCCTTAGATTTTCTCCATAGCACATACCTCCAACATTCCATGTGAATTCCTGGCTGCATTGGGTCATCTGTGAAGGCAGGGACTTTTTTCCTTTTGCTTGGCTTGCTGTCATGTCCTCAGCACCTGGAATGGTACCTGAGTGACTGTCAGGCATTCAGTGACTATTTGAATACATACACAGCCCTCAGTACTTCGTATGCCTTAGGGGGCATAATATGTCCCAGAAATGGTGTGAATGAAGGGGAGTGGTGTGAGCATTTTGCCTTGATGTGGAGTTGGAAAGGTGGAGGGCCATGGGCTGGTGGCAGAGGTCACAGAAGAGCCTTATGCACCATTAGCAGGGCTGGAGAACTGTGACTTAACCAATGCACAGGAGGCAAGGCTGGGAAGGTGTGGACAGGTGGGAGAGAATGAGCAGAGGCAGCATTGCCCGGACTGGGCCATAGCGTGAGAGTGGTGCAGGAGAGGGTCCTTGGTCCAATCCTTACAGATGGAAAGATTGGGTAGTTGCTGGTACTGTTACCTCTCTGTGAACCAGGGGAAGGGAAAGTGGGCCTCGCTTCTGACCTACCTTATTTCCTTCCAGAAGGAAGCTCTGATCTCACCTACCTGCCTAAAAATGTGTCTCTGGAGCTTCACTGTTTGCTTAGAAGAGAAAGCCCTAGATCTTGAGCATGGCATGTGGTTCCTGCCTGTCTTTCCTTTATGTATCTATGTGTATATATGTAAATATATACAACACTTTTTAAAATTATTTTATTTTATTTTATTTTATTTTTTTGAGACGGAGTCTCGCTCTGTCACCCAGGCTGGAGTGCAGTGGAGTGATCTCAGCTCGCTGCAAGCTCCGCCTCCTGGGTTCACACCATTCTCCTGCCTCAGCCTCCCAAGTAGCTGGGACTACAGGCGCCCGCCACCATGCCCGGCTAATTTTTTTGTATTTTTAGTAGAGACGGGGTTTCACCGTGTTAGCCAGGATGGTCTCAATCTCCTGACCTTGTGATCCGCCCGCCTCGGCCTCCCAAAATGCTGGGATTACAGGCTTGAGCCACCGCGCCTGGCCTACACACATTTTTTAAAAAATGTGTATTTTTTCTTTCCTCTGTGACTCTGGCCAGTGATCCTGCCTGTCTTTCTAGCATCTTTGCTGGCCAGTCCTTTGTGGTTGCTGTGAGATCTCATCATGCTGCCTGTAGCTCTTGTGATGAGCCGTGCCCTGTCCCATGGATCTTTGCATGTGCTGTTGCTTCTTCCTGAGTTGCCTAATTTTGTGTTGCTGTGGTGGTTTTATGGCTCACCTCTCATCTCTGTGAAGCCTTTCCCTATTTCTACCAGAACCGGGTGTTGCAGACCCTGGGCCCATGGCACTTGTGTGTGTGTGTGTGTGTGTGTGTGTGTGTGTGTTTTCTCCCAAGTTTGTCATGCCTTTGTGAGTACTGGGCCCTCTTATGACAGTTAGCATGTTGCACAGGCTCTTGCCCCATTCTCTTCTCCAGGTTGTGAATTTTTCAAGGTGAGGGCCCTTTGATATGTCTTCAGTGCCTAAATGTGGAAAGCACTTAGTTAACAAGTAGAGATAGTTTTTGGGTATTATTCTGTTTTCCTAATGATTTTTATTTCATAAAAATGTGAATTTCTAGATTTTTGGTTAAAATATGTGTTAGAAATAGGAGGCTTCTGTGTTCTTTCCCCTCCAAAATTCGGAGTTGGTGTAATCTTTGTAGAGCCTTGCTACACAAATCTTTCAGCAGCAAAGCATCTTCTTCTCATTGAATCCTCACAGCAGGAAATTGAATCCCAAAGATGTCAAGTAACTGATCCAAAGTCACAAGGCTGTATGTGATGAAGTTAGAACTCCTGCAGGGCCTGACCTCTGATTCTGTACCCTGGGAACTTACTTTGTTTTGCCTCTTGGAAAACTAACATACAGCAGTCTATATGTGCATGGAAGACTGAGCCATTATATTTCTGCCAGTCAGTGTGGCAGTGTACTTCTGCCTGATATTTCTTCATTCATTGAGTATCAGTTGTGTGCCAATGATGAGCCAAGACCTATGTCCTCGTTCCCATGGGTTTTATAGGCCTGTAATGGGATGAAATGGGGAGGGACAGTGAGCAAAGGTCATATCTTTGAAAAATCTGTGAAATACTCCTGCCAAAAAAAAAAAAAATCAAACCTGAGTCCAGTCAAGCTCCTATGTTTAACAACCAATCTACAGGAAATACAGGGGCAAGAGAAATACTACAGAGTTGCCATTGGCAACACTGAGAAATGTGGGAAACTATAAGACCAGTAAGCCATACTCATCAACAGGGAAAAATGAAGGGGACTGATGACAAGAGACTGGAGGAACATGGACTAATTTTTATTGTAGGGCTTATCTGTGTTTGTGTCAGATCAGTTTGTTAGAGAAACAGCTGAATATCATTTGTGATATTTGAGACAGAATTTGGAACACTGATTATATTTATTATTGAGGAATTATTTTTATTTTTAGCTGTGATAGTGGGTTTGTTATGTTTAGTAATTCCTCCCTTTTAGAGGTGCATACAGACATTTACTGATGAAATGGTACATCATCTAGGGTTTGTGTCATGATCCTATGGGAGAGGGAGTAGGTTATTTGTGGTTACATCAGGACTTCAGGGCTGGTCTAGGTTGAGAGTGGTATGGGCACATGGGTTCTAACTTTTTTTTGAGATAGGGTCCCTCCCGGACTCAAATGGTCCTCCCACCTCAGCCTCCTGCGTAGCTGGGACACAGGCGTGTGCCACTACACCTGGCTAATTTTTTATGTGTTTTGTTTTTGTTTCTGTTTTTTTGAGACGGAGTCTTGCTTTCCATCACACAGGCTGGAGTGCAGTGGCGCGATCTCGGCTCACTGCAACCTCCGCCTCCTGGGTTTACGCCATTCTCCTGCCTCAGCCTCCCCAGCAGCTGGGACTACAGGCGCACGCTGCCACGCCCGGTTGATTTTTTTGTATTTTTAGTAGAGACGGGGTTTCACCGTGTTAGCCAGGATGGTCTCGATCTCCTGACCTCATGATCCACCCGCCTCGGCCTCCCAAAGTGCTGGGATTACAGGCGTGAGCCACCGTGCCTGGCTTGTTTTTGTTTTTAAATAGAGACAGGGTTTTGCCATGTTGCCCAGGCTGGTCTTGAATTCCTCGACTCAAGCAGTCCTTCTGCCTGCACCTCCCAAAGTTCTGGGAATACAAGTATGAGCCACCCCTCTGAGCCCTGGTTCTAATTATTCTCTCCACATTTATATGTGTTTAGAATTCCTCATCACACAAAGCAAGTCATGAAGGAAAGATCTAGGTGCATATAATAGGGAGGTTATACCTGACAAGGCTTTGGGAAAGACTTCCTGATGGGATAGACACTAGAGCAGGGAGCAGAGAGCAGAACGGGGATTGGGTGTTGGCTCCATGAGGGTGGGGGTGAGTATCAGATGGAGGGAAGAGCCTGTGCAGAGCTTCTGTGATAGAGCAGGAAGAAGCTGGTGTGGCTGGAGCAGAGGGTGTCAGGCAAGTTCTTTTAGGTCCTGTTAAGAGCAATGTGAGGTTTTAAGGGTGATGGTGTGACATGAATCTATTTGCTTTGGAAAGAAGATTCCTCAGATTGCTCTGTAGATTGAGTTGGTGCTGGGGAAGGTTCCGGAAGAGTGTGTACAGAAGCCCAATCTGTGGTCACTCTGTTCAGGTGAAAACCTTTCCTTTGTCCCTGCTTTGGGTCCCTGATTGGATTGGACAGCCCTGTCTCCTTGAAATGTGGTGTGGCCTGTGATTTGCTCTGGCCATTGGAAAGTGACACGTAACTTCTGAGTGGAAGCGCTGAGACACGTGCTTTATCGTGTTCCCTTTCTCTTGTTTCTGACTGTGGAAACAAACGGATATGTACTATGGGCAAGAAAGAAAACTTTGGGCTGGGCTTAGTGGCTCATGCCTGTAATCCCAGCACTTTGGGAGGCCGAGGCGGGTGGACACGAGGTCAGAAGATCGAGACCATCCTGGCTAACACGGTGAAACCCCGTCTCTACTAAAAACACACAAAAATTATCTGGGCGTGGTGGCGGGCGCCTGTAGTCCCAGCTACTCGGGAGGCTGAGGCAGGAGAATGGTGTGAACCCGGGAGGTGGAGCTTGCAGTGAGCTGAGATCGCGCCACTGCACTCCAGCTTGGGCGACAGAGCAAGACCTCTGTCTCAAAAACAACAACAACAACAACAACAAAAAACTGGGTTGAGCCAAGTAACAGTTTTGGGCTTGTTACTGTACCATAACCTAGTCTCCAGTGGTTCTCAAAGTCTGGTCCCCAGACTGGCAGCTTCAGTGGCCTGGATGCTAGTTAGAAATGCACATTTTCATGTCTCAGACCTACTGCATCATGAACTCTGGAGTGGGGCCCAACAATCTGTGTTCTAATGTGTCCTTCATGTGATTCTGATGCCCTTGAGTTGAGAGCTACTGTCTGAATTTCCTGACTGATAAGTCAGGAGGCTGTTGGCGTCAGTCTTGGTGAAAGAGCTTGGTGGTTGGCCATTCTTGGGATTGTGGGTGTGGAGAAAAGTGGACAGGCCTAGCTAGGAAGGCCTCTGGAGTAAAATTGATAAGTTGTGTTGTTTGGGATAAGGAGAGATGAGGGGAAGTTCTGGTGCCAGTGATAGCCCTAAGTTTTTGTCTGACAGAACCAGATGGCTAGAGGTGCCATTTACTGTCCAGATAGCATTCTTTCTGTGTGCATTTACATTACCTTCCATTTCAGGTTCAGAAACAAGAGAAAGCCCATTAAGAAATAAAAATTTGTGGACTTCCTTAGCTCAAGTAACAGTTTCTCAATGAACCCCACCTTGATACCCCTCCCCCCATTTAAAAGTGTACCCCCTCTGCAGGGCTGGGCGCAGTGGCTCAGGCCTGTAATCCCAGCACTTTGGGAGGCTGAGGCAAGCAGATCACTTGAGGCCAGGAGTTCAAGACCAGCCTGGCCAACATGGCGAAACCCTGTCTCTACTAAAAATACAAAAAATAGCTGGGCGTGGTGGCGCACACCTGTAACCCCAGCTACTCAGGAGGCTGAGGCACGAGAATTGCTTGAACCAGAAGGTGGAGGTTGCAGTGAGCCCAGATTACACCACTGCACTCCAACCTGGGTAACAGAGCAAGACTTTGTTTCCAAAAAAAAAAAAAAAAAAGCGTACCTCCTCCGCTCTGCTGATCCCACCTTGTTTGTTGTCCCCATCTGCTCTCCCAGCTGTAGTGGAAGCCCCATGAAAGCAGGGCTCTTGTGTCTTGTCCATGGCTGCATTCCCAGAGCGAGCAGCATGTGTGGGTGCTCAGCATGTGTGAGCTGAAGGAGCTGCCTAGATGGCGATAAGAAGCGAGTGTGGCCCACATGGAGCTGCACGCAGGAGCTGCGTTGCTGCCTCTTGTTCTCTGTTCATGGTTTTCTACACAGTAGCCTAGGATAGAGGCTGAACTGTCACGAGAGCATGGAGAAGCTTGTTTAACTTAAGACAACTTATTCTTCCTTAAGTGGGAGAGAAAAATGACATTTCAGCAGAAGCAGCACTACCCACAATGAAAACTTACAAAATGAGACTACTGAGAAAGTTGCAGATATAAAAATTAGATTTTTCTCCCTTTTTTTGTCGGGGAGGAGATGGGGTCTTGCTCTGTCACCCAGGCTGGAGTGCAGTGGCATGATCTTGGCTCACTGCAACCTCTGCCTCCTGGGTTCAAGCCATCCTCCCACCTCAGCCTCCCAAGTAGCTGGGACTATGGGTGCATGCTACTGTGCCTGGCTAATTTTTGTATTTCTTGTAGAGATGGGATTTTGCCATGTTGCCCAGGCTGGTCTCGAACTGCTGAGCTCAAGTGATCTGGCCCACCTTCGCCTCCCAAAGCACTAAGATTACAAGTGTGAGCCACCGCAGGCCCCTTTTGTTCTTTTTTTTGAGACGGAGTTGTGCCCTGTCACCCAGGCTGGAGTGCAGTGGCCCAATCTTGGCTCACTGCAACCTCCAGCTCCCTGGTTCAAGTGATTCTCCTGCCTCAGCCTCCCGAGTAGCTGGGATTACAGACATGTGCCACCACGCCTAGCTAATTTTTATATTTTTAGTAGAGATGGGGTTTCACTATGTTGGCCAGGATGGTCTCGATCTCCTGACCTCACGATCTGCCTGCCTTGGCCTCCCAAAGTGCTAGGATTATAGGCGTGAGCCACTGGGCCCAGCCTCGTTCTTTATCTGCAAATTGTATGCTCTATTTGTAGAAGACAAATTGGGATTATATATCGTGTTAACAGTTTATTGGGTTCTTTTCAGTTGAGTTCTGAAATCTGCAAGTGTGTCTTTAAAATTCAACTGCCTGGGCTGGGCGTGGTGGCTCACGCCAGTAATCCCAGCACTTTGGGAGGCCGAGGCAGGCGGATCACCTGAGGTCAGGAGTTTGAGACCAGCCTGACCAACATGGAGAAACCCTGTCTCTACTAAAAATACTAAAAATTAGCCAGGCGTGGTGGCGGCAACCTGTAATCTCAGCTACTCAGGAGGCCGAGGCAGGAGAATCGCTTGAACCCGGGAGGCGGAGGTTGCAGTGAGCCGAGATCATGCCATTGTATTCCAGCCTAGGTGACAAGAGCAAAACTCTGTTTCAAAAAAAAAAAATAAAAATAAAAAAAATAAAATTCAACTGCCTGTAACTCCTTTGAAACAAATAGTGCTGCTTGTTTGTCCACTATCTACCTTTTTAGGCTGAATGCATGTCTATTTTTTATATACCAGTATGTTCACAGCTGCTATAAGGCATTTCAGCAAATTAGTGGATTAAATCAGTAAAGGGCAGAAACAAGACATTGCCAGTGCCCTATCTCAGACACCTGCTTATGGATCAGTGGAGCATTATTGAGGGCTCTCTGCTGATTCAGAAAAAATAACAACAGAATGAACTGTGATCATTGCCTTCTCTTTTCTTTGCGAGAGGGGGCCCTGGTCATTCTTGTAAGTTGATAAAACTTCTGATATGTTGATAAAACTTCTGAGGTAAAGGAAGTCTGTCTCAGTGGCCCCTGTTGACATGTATTTTGATAGGACCTTGTCCTTGCTCTGCATTTCTGCCTCTGGGGAGTCTCAAGTGGCTGCTTGGGGCCACACATCATGCTGGAGTGTGGAGGCATGCTCTGGGTCCTTGAGCCTAGCTGCTCTTCATGGCTGTGCCTTCTTGGTGGGTGCCCCTCTCAGGAGCTGTTACTGCCTCTCTTGGTACCCATGCACTGCTCCTCTTTGTTACCACCCAGAGATCTCTGCACCGGTTCTGCAGAGCTGCCCTGAGTACAGGTAGTTCCTCACTGCTCTCTTCCCTCAGGACAAGTTCCAGGCGCAGGAATGATATAGAAAAACTGAGTTGTGTGAGTTCCAGCCTAGAGTTTATATAAATTTTATTTCCAGAGATGTGCAATTTGACACATCATTATGGCAAAATTAGCTTAAGTATTTTTAATAATTCTATAATCAGAAAATATATTTTATGAATAATTTGTAGAATACAGAAAAGTGGAAGGATACATACAACTCTGCTCTCACCAACCAAAATGTTGAAGCATATTTTCTGCTTATCTTTTCCTTTACGAAACTAAAGCGCGTCCATTGAAGACGTATGCTTTGTGAGTCTTGTAATCAAAGGTGACAGTCCCTGCTGTACTCCCCTTCAGAGTTCCATCAAGGCAACCTCTGCTCTTTCAGCTGTTTCCTTTTTTTCTTTTTTCTTTTTGAGACAGGATCTCACTGTGTGGCCAGGGCTGGAGTGTGGTGGTATGATCTCAGTTCACTGCAACCTCCATCTCCTGGGCTCAGGCAATTCTCGTGCCTCAGTCTCCTGAATAGCTGGTATTACAGGTGTGCACCACTATGCCCAGCTAATTTTTGTATTTTTAATAGAGACAGGGTTTCACTATGTTGGCCAGGCTGGTCTTGAACTCCTGGCCTCAAGTGATTCACTCATCTTGGCCTCTGAAAGTTCTGGGATTACGGACTTGAGCCACTGTGCCTGGCCTTTCAGCTGTTTCTATTTATCTGTACTTTAAAAAGTAACTTGCGGCTGGGCGCGGTGACTCACGCCTGTAATTCCAGCACTTTGGGAGGCCGAGGCGGGCAGATCACAAGGTCAGGAGATCAAGACCATCCTAGCCAACGTGGTGGAACCCCGTCTCTACTAAAATACACACACCCAAAAAATTAGCCAGGCGTGGTGGCGTGCACCTGTAGTCCCAGCTACTCAGGAGGCTGAGGCAGGGTACTCGCTTGAACCTGGGGAGGTGGAGGTTGCAGTGAGCTGAGATCGCGCCACTGCACTTGAGCCTTGGGACAGAGCGAGACTCCATCTCAAAAAAAAAATAACTTGCTTATTTTGCTAATTTTAGAACTTCCAGATTGATATATGTTCAATTCTATCTGTGGAAGATGATGGAAGATTTAGCTTTCTTAACCCGCCCCCTCTTACCTCCCATGTTACCTCCCTTCTTCTTCCCAACATTCCCAATATTGTGGTGGTTTGATGATCTATTCCAGAACTTAGTGGTTGAAAAAACAACAACCTGTATTTGTTTACAGTTTTGTAAGTGGGACATGGTTTGCCAGGGTTAGCTTGTTCCTCCTGCTCCATGTGATGCCAGCTTGTTGGTACTGGCTGTCAACTGTGAGAGTTCAGTAGGGACTTTTGGCCATGGGCTTCATTCTTCCCAGTGTGGTCTATCCTATGAGGCTGCTTGGGCTTCCTTGCAGCGTGGTGGCTGGTTCCATGAGGGAGGAAGTGAGATCTGCCAGTCGTTTTAAATGCTGTAGTGAGAACTGTCATCACTTTTGACATGTTCTTCTTTTTTTTTAAATCTCCCTTGCTCAGTTATAGCAAGTCCCCACTTTTGCCATGTTTTGTTGGTAAAAACAGCTACAGGGCCAGGCTAGACTCAAGGGAGTGGGGAAACAGACCTTCATCTCTTGGTAGAGTGACAAAGAATTATTGACCATCTTTATTTATATTTTATTGGTGAGGTCTTGCTCCCTTGCGCAGGCGAGAGTACAGTGGCACGATCATAGCTCACTGTAGCCTCCAACTCCTGGGCTCAAGCAGTCCTCCTACTTCAGGCTACCAAAGTGCTGGGATTACAGGTGTGAGCGTGAGCCACTACACCTGGCTAATTTTTGTTGGCTGTTTTTAATCTACCACACTTTTATAGCAAGGTTTGGTTTAAATGAATATAAATTGTTACATTGTTCAGCTAAATCATACACTGTGATGGATAATATTTACTTGTATGACTTTGTTTTCCTGGTGGTAAGTTTTTCTGTTGGCTTTATTTTCCATGTATCTGTTACTAATTCAGCCTAAAGTTTTTCAAATGAACTGTATAAAAAGCCTTTGGGATGGTCAGTTACACTAGATCTGTCAGTTCCTTTTTTTCTTTTTTTTTTCTTCTGTGATGACCTTTCTCCCAGAGCTGTCTTCCTGCTCCAGATTGGACTCCTCCCTATTCTGCTGCACAGCTGTTCACATCATCTTCTGCGATGGACCATCTGTTTTTTGCATCTCATGTCTTCCTTAGTTTACCTTCATGTTTGGTGATACGTGGTCTGATAGTTATCTTAAAATATGTGTGAGGCAACGTTTATTAAGGCTATATGGCTGGGTGCGGTGGCTCACGCCTGTAATCCCAGCACTTTGGGAGGCTGAGGTGGGTGGATCACCTGAGGTCAGGAGTTCGAGACCAGCCTGGCCAACATGGTGAAACCAGTCTCCACTAAAAATACAAAAATTAGCCAGGCCTGGTGTTGGGCACCTGTAATCCTAGCTACTCAGGAGGCTGAAGCAGGGAGAATTGCCTGAACCTGGGAGGCAGAGGTTGCAGTGAGCTGAGATCAGGCCACTGCACTCCAGCCTGGGTGACAGAGCGAGATTGCCTCAAAAAAAAAAAAAAAAAAAAAAAAAAAGACTTTATATGCCAGAGAATCATCTGTGCATATCCTCAGCTGATAGCTTGGTTGGGTATATATCATTTAGGTTGGTAATGATTTTTTCCTCAGAATTTTGAAGGCATTACTTTATTTTTTAATTTTTAAATTGTTTTTATTTTTTTTGAGACTGAGTCTCACTCTGTCACCCAGGCTGGATTGCAGTGGCAATCTCGGCTTACTGCGGCCTCCACCTCCAGGGTTCAAGCGATTTTCCTGCCTCAGCCTCCGGAGTAGCTGGGATTACAGGCGTGAACCCACTGCGCCTGGCTAATTTTTGTATTTTTAATAGAGATGGGGTTTCACCATGTTGGCAAGGCTGGTCTCAAACTCCTGGCCTCAAGTGATCCACCGGCCTCGGCCTCCCAAAGTACTGGGATTACAGGCGTGAGCCACCACGCCTGGCTGCTTTATTATTTTTGAGCTTCCCATGTATATTAGTATTTTTTTTTTTTTTTTGAGACAGTCTCACTCTGTTGGCCAGGGTGGAGTGCAGTGGCATGATCTCGGCTCACTTGAACCTCCACCTCCCGGGTTCAAGTGATTCTTCTGCCTCAGCCTCCCGAATAGCTGGGATTACAGGCACCCGCTACCATGCCTGGCTAATTTTTGTATTTTTAGTAGAGACGAGGTTTCGCCATTTTGGCCAGGCTGGTCTGGAACTCCTGACCTCAGGTGATCCACCCGCTTTGGCCTCCCAAAGTGCTGGGATTACAGGCGTGAGCCACTGCGCCCAGTCGTATATTAGTATTTTTTGAGACAGGGTCTTCTTCTGCCACTCAGGCTGGAGTGCAGTGGTGTAATTATGGCTCACAGCCTCTACCTCTTGGGCTCAAGCGATCCTCCCACTTCAGCTTCCTGAGTAGCTGGGACTACAGGCATGCGCTTCCACACCCAGCTAACTTTTTTACTTTTTGTGGAGCTGAGGTTCTTGCTATGTTGCCCAAGCTGGTCTTGAACTCCTGGGCTCAAGCGATCCTCCTGCCTGGGCCAACCAGAGTGCTGGGATTATGGGTGTGAGGCACCACGCCCGGCCAAGATTTGACTTTTTTTTTTTTTTGAGTCGGAGTTTTGCTGTTGTTTCCCAGGCTGGAGTGCAATGGCACCATCTCGGCTTACTGTAACCTCCGCCTCCTGAGTTCAAGCGATTCTCCTTCCTCAGCCTCCCAGGTAACTGGGATTACAGGCATGTGCTACCATGCCTGGCTAATTTTGTATTTTTAGTAGAGAGAGTTTCATCATGTTGGTCAGGCTGGTCCTCAGGTGATCCACTCCTGACCTCAGGTGATACACCCGCCTTGACCTCCCAAAGTGCTGGGATTACAGGCGTGAGCCACTGTGCCCAGCCGACCTTTTTTTTTTTTAATTGAGATAAAATTCACATAACATTTATTGTTTAAACCATTATAGAGTGTACAATTCAGTGGTGTTTTTGGTATGTTCAGTGTTGTGCAAAAGTTGCTACTACCTAATTCCTAAACATTTCATCAGCTCAGTAAAAAACTCTGCACTGTTAAGCAGTCACTTCCTATCCTCTCCTCTCCCAGCCCCTGGCAGCCATTCTACTTCTGTCTTTATGGATTTGCTTATTTTAGACATTTTACATAAATGGAATCATACAGCATGTGGCCTTTGTATCTAGCTTCTTTCACTTAGCATCATGTTTATCTATGTTGTAGCATAAATCAGGACGTCATTTCTTTTTGTGGCTAAATATCCATCGCATGGATAGATCATTTTGTTCAACCATTCATCAGTTGATAGACAGTTGGGTTGCTTTTTGCTATTACGAATAATGCTGCTGTGAACATTCTTGTACAAGTTTTTTTTGTTTTGTTTTGTTTTTTGTTTTTTTTTTGAGATGGCGTCTCGCTCTGTCGCCTAGGCTGGAGTGCAGTGGCATGATCTCGGCTCACTGCAAGCTCCGCCTCCCGGGTTCACGCCATTCTCCTGCCTCAGCCTCCCGAGTAGCTGGGACTACAGGCGCCCGCCACCATGCCCGGCTAATTGTTTTTTGTATTTTTAGTAGAGACAGGGTTTCACTGTGTTAGCCAGGATGGTCTCGATCTCCTGACCTCGTGATCCGCCCACCTCGGCCTCCCAAAGTGCTGGGATTACAGGCGTGAGTCACCGCACCCGGCCTATACAAGGTTTTTTATTGAGATGGAGTTTCACTTTCGTTGCCCAGGCTGGAGTACAATGGCATGATCTCGGCTCACTGCAACCTCCGCCTCCTGGGTTCCAGTGGTTCTACCTCAGCCTCCCAAGTAGCTAGGATTACAGGCGCCCACCACCACGCTTGGCTAATTTTCTATTTTTAGTAGAGACGGGGTTTCACCATGTTGGCCAGGCTGGTCTCGAACTCCTGACCTCAGGTGATCACCTGCCTCAGCCTCCCAAAGTGCTGGGATTACAGGGGTAAGCCACCACGCCCGGCCTTTTTTTTCTTTTGTGAGACAAGGTCTCACTCTGTCACCCAGGCTGGAGTGCAGTGGCGTGATCTTGGCTCACTGCAGTCTCCACCTCACAGGCTGAAGTGGTCTTCCCACCTCAGCTTCCCGCGTAGCTAAGACCACAGGCACATGCCACCACGCCCAGCTAAGTTTTGTATGTTTTGTAGAGACAGGATTTTGCCATGTTGTCCAGGCTGATGTCGAGTTCTTGGGCTCAAGCAATCCTTCTGCCTTGGCCTCCCATAGTACTGAGATTACAGGTGTGAGCCACTGTGCCCCGCCTACGTGGAATTGTTTTATATGAGAACAGAGGTTCTACCATCATTCAGTGATAGCAGGGCTGAAATATATTTCAGGCAGACTAGTGTGATATATTAGAAAATGAGGGTATTTTAGGTATGTGTAAATCATATTTGCAAACTTGGGTTTTCCATTTCAGTCTTTTCCGCCCCCGGAGGAATGGGTTGGAGCTTGGTCCGTCTCACGGCCTGGCTCTGGGGAATGTCCTGAATATCTCACTGCTGTCCTAGGGTTGAGACCTCCTTCTGCTCAGTTGGATTCACGGAATTATCAGAGTGGGCTTTAGCTGACATCTAAGCCAGTGGGCAAGGTTGGAGCAGTGAGGCCTACTGTGTCTGAAGTGTTAAAGCTCCCCAGAGAACCGGGCACGGTGGCTCATGCCTGTAATCCTAGCACTTTGGGAGGCTGAGGCGGGCAGTTCACGAGGTGAGGAGATCGAGACCATCCTGGCTAACATGGTGAAACCCCATCTCTATCAAAAATACAAAAATAAAAATTAGCCGGGCGTGGTGGTCGGCACCTGTAGTTCCAGCTACTCGGCAGGCTGAGGCAGGAGAATGGCGTGAACACGGGAGGCGGAGCTTGCAGTGAGCCGAGATCGCGCCATTGCACTCCAGCCTGGGCGACAGAGGGAGACTCCATCTCAAAAAAAAAAAAAAACAAAAAAAAACAAACAAAAACGAAAAAACGAAAAACCTCACCAGAAATGCACACTAGGGCTTACCCAGCCCCAGTCCAGGAAGGAATAGTCTTCCTGCCTCCCCATTGCCCTCTATGCTTTCTCTTTTCCTAGCATATCTACTCTTCCTATTTTCTGCCTCTCTCCTCTAGAATATTAGCACCTCAAGAATAAGGAAGGCATTTTGTTTGTTGCTCTATTTCCAAGTGCTGGAGAACTTGGGTGGGACTCAGTGGTTCTTTATTTTTATTTCTTTATTTTTATTTTAATTTTAGAGATGGGTCTCGCCATCACCATGTTGCCCAGTCTGGTCTCCAACTCCTGGGCTCAAGCGATCCTCCTGCCTTGGTCTCCCAAAGTGCTGGGATTACAGGTGTGAGCCCCCACACCCGGCCTGAGTGAGTGGGTTCTGAATGGTGACTGTTGTTGTCCATAGCCTTCCCCCTGCTTCTGAGAGTGGAGTCCCTCCCCTCATGTTGGAGACCTCCCAAGGTCCATGTGGTCCTATAGGGGCTGTTCAGCCTCCCTAGCCCCTTAACGTGTCAGGTAATACTGTATATATTCCATGAAATGTGAATAATTAGTTATATAATTCCTAAGCACTTATTTTAAAAAACAGCAATGTGATGCTTAACTCTTCCCACCTCTGTTCCTGTCCCCCTTAGAAAACCACTGATAACTCTTTTTTTTTTTGAGACGGAGTCTTGCCCTGTCGCCCAGGCTGGAGTGTAGTGGCCTGATCTCGGCTCGGCTCATTGTAACCTCCGCCTCGGGTTTGAGCGATTCTCCTGCCTCAGCCTCCTGAGTAGCTGGGATTATAGGCGTGCACCACCACGCCTGGCTAATTTTTTGTATCTTTAGTAGGGACGGGTTTCACCATGTTGGCCAGAGTGGTCTTGAACTCCTGACCTTGTGATCCGCTCGCCTCAGCCTCCCAAAGTGCTGGGATTACAGGCATGAGCCACCGTGCCTGTCCTAGAACCACTGGTAACTCTTAACTGGTAATTTTTGTTTTAACCTCTGTATTTTTATTTTTCACCTGAGTGCTCAAATATTTTCATCTTTTTTATAATGGTCATGTTGCATTTGTAATTTTAAGAAGAAAAATATTTATAAACGAGGAATTCTTAGGTTATTAGTCTTCTTCCTACAACAGCACTTCTCCAGTACCAATCTGATTCCTCTAAGTCCGCATCCCCAGGTTTGACATCTCTAACTCTAATCCCTTCCGTTCTTTGTCCTTGTGATTTTACACCTTTCTTTTGTGAAAGAGATATGCATATTAAACTCTCAGGCCAGGCTCGGTGGCTTAAATGCCTCCAATCCCAGCACTTTGGGAGTCCGAGACGGGTAGATCACCTGAGGTCAGGAGTTCGAGACCAGCCTGGCCAACATAGTGAAACCCCGTCTCTACTAAAAGTACAAAAAAATGAGCCAGGCGTGGTGATGCATGCCTGTAGTCTCAGCTACTCGGGAGGCTAAGGCAGGAGAATCACTTGAACCCAGCGGCAGAGGCTGTGGTGAGCTGAGATTGTGCCACTGGCACAGTTCCAGCCTGGGCGACAGAGACTCCGTTTCAATAAAAAAATAAATAAATAAACTCTCAGTCTTTGCATATTGCAAGATGTATTTTGCCTCTTTTTTTGTTTTTTGTTTTTTTTTTTTTTTTGTTTTGTTTTGAGACAAGGTCTTGCTCTGTACCCCAGGCTGGAGTGCAGTGGTGCTTTCTTGGCTCTCTGCAATCTCTGCTGCCCAGGCTCAACTGATCCTCCTGCCACAGCCTCCCCAGTAGCTGGGATTATGGGCATGCACCCAGCTGATTTTTGTATTTTTTTGCAGAGACAAGATTTCGCCATGTTGCCCAGGCTGGTCTCGAACTTCTGAGCTCAAGCGATCTACCTGCCTCGTCCTCCCAAAGTGTTGGAATTGCAGGTGTGAGCCACTGCACCCGGCCCTTGCCTCATGTTTGAATGATAATTTACCTGGGCATAAAATTCTGGACACTTGTGGTGGCACGAGGTGGGCATTTATTTTCCCTTAATGCTTGCTTGATTGATTGACAGACAGTCTTGCTCTGTAGCCCAGGCTGCAGTACAGCGGCATGCTTATAGGTTGCTGTAGCCTCGAATTCTTAGGCTTAAGTGATCCTCCTCCCTCAGCCTCTGAAGAAGCTAGGAGTAGCTTCTAGGACTAGCTTCTAGGACTGTAGGTGTGTGTCACTGTACCTGGCTAAATTTAAAATTTTTTGTAGAGACGGCGTCTTACTATGTTGGCCAGGCTGGTCTCAGACTCCTGACCTCGAGTGATCTTCCCACTTCAGCCTCCCAAAGTGGTGGGATTACAGGTGTGAGCCACCACGCCTGGTGAAGATTTTCTGTTTGTCCTCCATGTTCTGTCATTTCAATACAATGTATCTAGATGATTTGTTTTCATTTATTTTGCTCAGAACATAGGGTGCTCTTTTATTCAGAATATCTAATTTTCCTTTCATCTCTGGAAAATGTTTCACCTCTTTGAAATTTGTTGGCTGGCTGAGGTGGCTCAACCTGTAATCCTACCACTTTGGGAGTCCAGGAGTTTGAGACCAGCCTGGGCAATGTGGTGAAACCCCGTCTCTACAAAAAATACAAAAATTAGCCAGTGTGGTGGTGCATGCCTGTATTCCCAGCTAATTGGGAGGCTGAGGTGGGAGGATTGCTTGGGCCCAGGAGTTCTAGGATGCAGTGAGCTGTGATGGCACCATTGCATTTTAGCCTGGGCAACAGAGGAAGACCCTGTCTCAATAAAAAAAAAAAAAAAAATGAAAAGAAGAAGTTGTCTTTCCCTCATCCTCCCAAGCCTCTCCAACTAGAACTGCATTGGAATGTAAGCTCCTTGAAGGTAGAGGATTTTTGGGGGTATACGTAACATAAAATTTACCATTTTAACTATTTTAAAGCATTTAGTTCTATGGTCTTAAGTGCATTCACATTGTTATACAACCATGACACTGTCTCCAGAACTTTTTCATCTTCTCAAACTGAAACTCTGTCCCATAATTCCCCATCCTCCTTTTTCTTCCCCCAGTTTCTGGCACTCACCATTCTACTTCCTGTCTCTATGTATTCTATTCTGGGGACCTCATGTACGTGGAATTTTACAGTATTTGTCTTTTTTGTGTCTGCCTTATTTCACTTAGCATAGTTTCTTCAAGATTCGTCCATATTGAAGCAGATATCAGCATTTCCTTCCTTTTAAAGCTGAATACTACTCCACTGTGCAGATAGTCTACATTTTGGTTATCTATTCATCTGTTGATGGGTTACGTCTACCTTTTGGCTACTGTAATAGTGCTCCTGTGAACATGGTTGTACAAATATCTTCTGGTTCCTGCTTTTAATTCTTTTGGGTAGACAGACTGTTTTTCACCCTGTTTTGTTCAATGTTATAATCCCAACACCTAAAATCAGTGTCTTGCTCATAGTAGGCACTTTATATTTGAAAGAATGAAACATTCATGAATGTTATGTCTTAATTTATCTTACATGGTTTTCATCTCTTTATCAGCCCTTTTCCTTGCTGATTCTCTCAGATTTATCTTCTAATCTATTATATTTTTAGCTGTGCCTGGTCTGCTATATTCAACTCAACTGAGTTTTTAATTTCAATACCAATACTTTTTTTTTTCCAAGTCTGCAAATCATGAAAACAGTAATTTCCTGTTCTCCTGTAGAAGACCTTCCATACTGTCCCATGCCTGGCTCCTGGAGGATCTCTCACTGCTGGTGGGAGGCTGTGTTTACCTCAGGGGCATCTCTCAGTGGCTCTCCCGGGGAGAGGGGGGCTCCCCATGAGCAGTTCTCAGGTTTCCCTGCAGGTCCTACCAGTGTCACTCATTCTAGACCTGTTTTGACATTTTTTGGTCTCCGGATTTAGCCTTCTTAGGCGGAGGCTTGGGGTTCACATTTCTCAAGGGTGGCTCTGTCACCCCAGTGGCCTCTGGTGGGTGTTTGCTGAGGGCCCAGCCCTGGGCTGGCTGGTAGAGGGGCTCAGGTGATGATGACAGCACTGTGACCACAGACACTCACCTGGTGATGAGGAAGTCCTCTGCCTGGTGGTGGCTTCTTTTCCTCCTTACTGTTTGAAAGTACCTGCAAGGTGGGTCCTCTGTCCTCAGGACATGGAGTGAGGATGAGTGGTAGAGGCTCTTGGCCGGGGTCCCACAGTGTAGTAAGTGGCAGAGCTGGGATTCTAGTCCAGACAGCAGCTCCACACTTGGTGCTCCTAATCACGGCAGCCAGCTGCTCGCCATGACTCCTCTCCTTCGGGCTCTGTGCAGGCAGCCCAGTCAGGCCCAAGCCCCTGTCCTGCACCTCCCTTCTGTATTCCGGCTGCCAAGCCCCAGCACCTAAACCCTGGGGTCCTGCCATGGGCAGCCTGCAGCCTATGAGGCTCCAGACTGCTGTTCCCTTTTCATTTCTAGACCTGGAGATTCTCTCTATTGCTTTGCATTAGGCAGTGTAGCTAGACAAGGTCTTGCTGAGTCTGGCGTGCAATAGTGTGGTCACAGCTCACTGCAGTGTCAACCTCCTGAGCCCAAGCCATCCTCACACCTCAGCCTCCCGGGTAGCTGGGACTGTAGATGTGCGCCAGTGTGCCTGGCTAATTTTATTTTTTGTAGAGACAGGGTCTCACTATGCTGCCCAGGCTCATCTCAAACTGCTGGGTTCAAGCAATCCTCCCTCTTTGGCCTCCCAAAGTGCTAGGATTACAAGTAGTGAACCACTGTGCCCGGCCTCCCTCCCTCCCTCCCTTCCTTCCCGAACTCTTCCATTCCTCTCCTTCCTTCCTTTCCTTCCTTCCCTTCTCTCTTTCTCTTTCTTTCTTTCCTTCTTTCTTCTCTTTTTTTTCTTTTCTTTTCTTTCTTTCTCTCTCATTCTTTCTTTCTTTCTTTTCCTTTCTTCTCTTCTCTTTTCTTTTCTTTCTCCTTGCCTTCCCCAACATAAGAAAGATAGTTAAACCCGGGTATGGTGGCTCACATCTGTAATCCCAGCACTTTGAAAGGCCAAGGCGGGTGGATCGCTTGAGCCCAGGAGTTGGAGACCAGCCTCGGCAACATGGTGAGACTTTGTACAAAAACACAAAAATTAGCTGGGCATGGTGGCAAGTGCCTTGTAGTCCTCACAGCTGCTCAGGAGGCTGAGGCAGGAAGATCACTTGAGCCTGGGAGGCAGAGGTTGCAGTGAGCCATGATCATACCACTGCACTCCAGCCTGGGTGACAGAGTGAGACTCTGTCTCAAAGGAAAAAAAAAAAAGGAAAGTGGTTTGGGCTGGGTGCAGTGTCTCATGCCTGTAATCCCAGTACTTTGGGATGTTGAGATGGGAAGATCCCTTGAGCCCAGGAGTTTGAGATCAGCCTGGACAATATAGTGAGATCCATCTCTACAAAAAAAGGGTTAAAAAGTTAGCTGAGCATGGTGGGGTGCACCTATAGTCCCAGCTACTCGGGAGGCTGAGATGGGAGGATTGCTTGAGCCCTGAAGGATAGAGGTTGCAGTGAGCTGAAATTGTGCCATTGCCCTGCACTCCAGCTTCGGTGGTAGTGAGACCCTGTCTCAAGGGAAAAAAAAAATTGTTTGGCAGGGTACAGGGGCTCCTGCTTGTAATGCCAGCACTTTGGGAAGGATTCCTTGAAGCCAGGACTTAGAGACTAGCCTGGTCAACAAGACAAGATCCCGTCTCTACAAAAAATTTTATTTTTATTTTTATTGATATATTTTTGAGACAGAGTCTCACTCAGGCTGGAGTGCAGTGGCGTGGTCTTTGCTTATTGCAGCCTCCACCTCCTGGGTTCAAGCGATTCTCCTGCCTCAGCCTCCCAAGTAGCTGGGATTACAGGTGTGTGCCACCAAGCCTGGCTAATTTTTGTATTTTTAGTAGAGTTGTGGTTTCACCATGTTGGCCAGGCTGGCCTCGAACTCCAGACCACAAGTGATCCACCTGACTCAGCCTCCTAAAGTGCTGGGATTGCAGGCATGAGCCACCTCACCCAGCTGCTGAACTTCTTGAATCTGTACATTTGTGTCTTATTAAATTGGGGAACTTTTGGAGGACCACTGTTTTCTCCAAATATTTTTGCCTTTTTTTTTCCCTCCTCCTTCTGGGTGGAACTCCAGACCCTTTAATATTGTTCCACAGATCTGTGAGGCTCTGCTTCCTTTTTTTCCCCCTTCTTTTTACAGTCTTGCTCTGTAATCCAGGTTGGAGTGCAGTAGTGCAATCATAGCTCACTGCAGCCTTGACCTCTTGGACTCAAGCGATCCTCCTGCCTCAGCCTCCTGAGTAGCAGGGACTACAGGTGCACATCACCACGACTGGCTAATTTTTGTATTTTTTGTTGAGATGGGCTCTCACTGTCTTGCCCAAGCTGGTCTTGAATTCCTGGACTTGAGTGATCCTCCTGCCTCGGCCTCCCAAAGCCTGACCACATTCCCCTTAAAAATGGTTTCGTGGCCAGGTGCGGTGGCTCACGCCTGTAATCCCAGCACTTTGGGAGGCCAAGGCGGGCGGATCACGAAGTCAGGAGATCGAGACCATCCTGGGTAACACGGTGAAACCCCGTCTCTACTAAAAATACAAAAAATTAGCCGGGCGTGGTGGTGGGCGCCTGTAGTCCCAGCTACTCAGGAGGGTGAGGCAGGAGAATTGAACCCGGGAGGTGGAGGTTGCAGTGAGCTGAGATCGCACCACTGCAGTCCAACCTGGGTGACAGAGCGAGACTCCGTCTAAAAAAAAAAAAACAAAAAACAAAAAACACACTTTTTTTTTTTTTTTTGTCCAGCAGCTGGAATCTCTTTTCAGTTATTTCATAAACTAGGCTGCTTGGAATCAGCCTGGAATTTGGGCAGAGTTTATAGGCAGAATTTGGGACTCCCCTCTGAGACTCTCTCCTTGAGATTTCCCCCCTCATTTTATAGTTGTTACAGTTGCTTCAAACTCTCCTCAGTCACACATTTCAAAATGGAGTTCACCCAGTGCTGTTCCCTTTCTTTCAACAGTTGGTTCCGTCCATTTTCTCTCTGCTTTTGGTTGCTCTCAGTTCCTTCAGGAGGTGGTTTTTTATGTTTTGTCCAGGGTTATAGTTTTTACCTTGGGACAGTTGGTATGATATGAGCTGGAAGAGGAACTGACTTTGATCTACCTTTTTAAGAAATTGTGCGGGTCAGACAGAACACATTTGTATGTGTTTTGGTGTTAAAGAGTTGTCCAGAGCACATGAAGCTGAACTGGGACTTCAACATTTTTTCAAGGTTTTACATTTGCTCTTTTTTTCCTGTCTCCTTCCTCAGCTGTCTGCTTTTCTGTGGAGACTGCGGGTTGCAGACACCAGCAGCCCCCTATTGCTGCACGTCAGGTGTCCTCCACCTCAGTACTGTGGACATCTCGGGCCGCATAGCCCTGTTGCGCGGGCATCCTGTGCGTTGCAGGAGATGCAGCAGCATCCATGACCGCAACCCATCAGAGGTCAGGGTCCGCCCCCTAGTGGTGGTAATAAAAAATGCTTCCAGATGAGGTTAAGTGTCCCTGGGGAACAAAATCCTCCCCATTTGAGAACCGCTGTTCTAGTCCACGGGCATCTCTGGTCCTTACTGTACTCAGATTTTCCCTAGTGTCTGATGCTATTGATTTCTGGCTTCTCAGAGGGCTGTTGTTGGAGCTTGTGATGGTGTACTCCTGAGAGATGCCTTCCCAGCTGGGGCGGGTGCCTACCTGTTTCTTATTCCTAGCTGTGTTTTGGGGCTCTGGCCCCTTCACTAGATGTCTCAGATTAGGGACTGTAGCTTTGCAGGGAAGACCCCACACCAGCATGCTGCAGCGAGTTACCTTCCTAAACTGCCCCTTCTGCACGTGGGCCTCACTGGCCAGTGTGGTGCACTGGCAAAGTAACCTGTGTTGTGGCTCAGCAGTGTTGTTCTCAAGTAGTTAATCTTCAGGTAGTAGCTAAAAAATGTGACCTTACTGCTGTGTTCTTTCTTGTTTAATTTAGGCCTGAACACGGAGGGGATTAGTGGACTGAGATAAGAATACTGGGTTGAGCATAGCCAGACCTGACTGGGATTGCTTTCACCCTTGGAGACTCTTGGCTTTTTGCTTCTTATTTTCATCAACCTGGAGCTAATCCTGTGCTTGGAGTTGGAATATCTGGTTTTAGACTTTGCTGACCAGGTCATCTTGGGCACATTCTGAGCCTCTGCCTGATACCTCAGCTGTAACAGGAGGGATTGGGATGAGCTCTTTTCCTGTTAGTGTTGATTTTGCTTTTATGCTATTCCCTGTTGTCCTTTTGCATAGGCCTGGCATTATGCCAGCTGCCTCACACATATTAGCTCTTTTAAGTATATGTTGGTGGACAGGTGGAAATCTGTGTTTCAGGGATGATTGGCAAGTTAAGTTATGTGTCCATGGCCACACTGTAGATTATTAGTGGTATGACTGGAGTGTGCTGTCTTGACTGACTTTCATGTTCTTCCTTTAAAAAATGATTCCTTTTTCTTTCAGCTTTATCATTTTGTGATTCCGTGTAATTTTTGTGATACTAAAACTGCCTTCTGTGACCTGAATTATTATAAAAACATCATAAATTGCTTACAAAGAAAATCAGACCCCACAAAGCTGTAGAGGTCCTGGCATACCTATCCTAGGTTTTAAATGTAATTGCTTTTTCTTTCTTTTTTCTTTTTTTTAATACCATAGTGTTCTAAGAACGGAAGCATCTGGGCTGGATGGAATTTAGCATCAAGCAGAGTCCCCTTTCTGTTCAGAGTGTTGTAAAGTGCATAAAGATGAAGCAGGCACCAGAAATCCTCGGCAGTGCCAACGGGAAGACTCCGAGCTGCGAGGTGAACCGCGAGTGTTCTGTGTTCCTCAGCAAAGCCCAGCTCTCCAGTAGCCTGCAGGAGGGGGTCATGCAGAAGTTTAACGGCCACGACGCCCTGCCCTTTATTCCAGCCGACAAGCTGAAAGATCTTACTTCCCGGGTGTTTAATGGAGAACCCGGCGCACACGATGCCAAACTGCGTTTTGAGTCCCAGGAAATGAAAGGGATTGGGACACCCCCTAACACTACCCCTATCAAAAATGGCTCTCCAGAAATTAAGCTGAAAATCACCAAAACATACATGAATGGGAAGCCTCTCTTTGAATCTTCCATTTGTGGTGACAGTGCTGCTGATGTGTCTCAGTCAGAAGAAAATGGACAAAAACCAGAAAACAAGGCGAGAAGGAACAGGAAGAGGAGCATAAAATATGACTCCTTGCTGGAGCAGGGCCTTGTCGAAGCAGCTCTTGTGTCTAAGATCTCAAGTCCTTCAGATAAAAAGGTATTTAGGAGACGTTGTGTAAGGGGTCATGTGACCTTGAGCAGTGAGCATGGCCACCCTATGAGGGCACCTGCACGAGTACTGGGGCGGGCGGAGAAGGTGAGGACAGGCCTGGTACTTCCAGCCACTTGCCTGAGCCCTGGCTTTGGGTTGGAGGGTGGGCTCCAGGATGCCCTGGCACTGCCTCCTCAGTTCTCAGCTGGCTGCTGAGCCAGTTGAGAGGTCTAGAGAGGTGAGCTAAGTGTTCAAGATTCAAATGGCTAAAAAGAGGCAAAGCTTGTTTCTTAACGTGGTTCTGCCAGTTTCAGAGCCCTTGCTTGACAACGTCAGGCTACACTCTTTTCATGGATCTCATCTCCAAGGTGTTCTTTAGCCTGATGTGGTCAGTGGAGACAGGCTGGGCTCTAGAGTGTGACTTCTTAAGTCTGCACCATCTGATGAGTGGGAAGCAGAGCTGTGCAGAGGTGCTCCCGCTGTCCTTACCCTGTGGTCCAGTGTCCACTTACTGTCTCCTCAGCCAGGTGGTCCAGCAGATGGCCTGCCTCCCTGAGGCCTAGGGATGTGTCTTTTGCCTCCTGTTCTTGGTTCCCAGTGCAGAGCCCAGCACACTGAACACAAGCGAATGAGTGTTTCCTTATCCTAACTTGCGATGGAAAGGTGTGGTGGTGCTGCTCCATTCTGCCTGGTGATGGTGTCTCCACGCCTTCACGTGGCACTCGGGATGGCCCTGACACTCGGATGAGTATAAGCCATAGGAAACAACCAAGGGGCCATGGCTTTGGCAGAAGGAAGGAACTCTTGATGGGGCAGCAGTCTCTGTTCATCTGGTGGTCTATAGGGTGTTGCTTTTTAGTTGTAACTCCTTGAAATTGTTAAAATAATGAAGAGCTTTGAGGGTTAAAAAAACGTTTTTTGATTACTCAGGAGCTGTTTAGTTCTCGCTCATGTAATGGCAGTGGTGAAGTTTTTAAATTTTATTTATTTATTTATTTATTTTGAGATGGTCTCTGTTGTCCAGGCTAGAGGGCAGTGGTGTGATCATGGCTCACAACAGCCTTGACCTCCCAGGCTTAGGTGATCCTCCTACCTCACCCTCCTGAGTAGTTGGACCACAGGTGTGCACCACTATATGCCCAGTTAATTTTTTATTTTTTGTAGGACAGGGTCTTGCTGTGTTGCCCAGGCTGGTCTCAAACCCCTGGGCTCAAACGATCCTCCCACCTCTGCCTCCTGAAGTGCTCGAGTTACAGGTATGAGCTACCATGCCCAGCCTACAAAGATTTTTTGAAGTGCCCACAGCAGTATTGAACCTCATGCTTTTGCTTGGGAAGAGGCCTGTGCAAGTTGTCAGAGTCCTAGCTGTTTTGTTTTGAGACAGGGTCTTGGTATGTTGCACAGGCTGTTCACGAACTCCTGACCTCAAACGATGTTCCTGCATCAGAGCTGGCTTTTTCTTTCTCCTCCAACTGAAAAACAAACCAAACAAAAAAATCTGGCTTTTATTCCTAGCCATGTCCCTTGGTTTTGTTAAAACTTGAGTAACTCAACCTGAATTTTGACTCTTCCTCTGGAGAGTGGGGTCAATAAATGTAAACCTGGGTTGCTGTGCAGTAATCTGGTAGCTGTTCTGAAAGTATGTCAGGCCTGATGGGGTGGCTCACATCTGTAATCCCAGCACTTTGGGAGGCTGAGGCAGGAAGATTGCTTGAGCCCAGGAGTTCAAGACTAGCCTGGGCAACATAGCGAGACCCGGTCTCTATAAAAAATAAAATTAGCTGGGCGTGGTGGCACTGCCTGTGGTCCCAGCTACTAGGGAGGCTGAGATGGGAGGATCAAAAAAACATGAAAATGTGTCATGTGGCAGCTCATGCCAGGCTTCACCAGCATGCTTATGGCAAGGTTTTGGGCCGGCCTCTTCAGCTTACAGGTGAGAAAACTGAGGCCTGAGGCAGTGGAACAATTTACTCATGTGTATAGTGCTCTTGAGCAAGGCTAGAGATTCACCCTTGGAGGGTTGGGGCCATGCTGGCTGTGCTTATTTCCACTGGAGAGCAGAACTGTGAGTGGCTTGTGGGGAGGAGTTTTTCTTTGGTGGAATGTTCAGCCTTAACCTACCCATTATGTTCTAGAGATGGAGAAATTGAGGCTCAGAGAGCCCCAAGGACTCAAATTACATGTGATGGAGCCGAGACTTGCTCCTAGTCCTCCTGGTGCCCTTGCCCTCACCACACTGGGATGGTTCATGTTGGTGACACATGGGCTGCTGAGAACTGATCGTCAGACATGACTGGAGGGGCAGAAGTCAGTATGGATTTGGAATTCTGTGAGAATTCCTTTTCGACCAGTTGAATAAAGTACCATTAAAGACCGTCTATTAATACTAGGCCAAGGAAATAGATTTATATAGAGATCTTCAAAATGTTGAACACCTGCTGTGTGCTATGCACTGTCCTGATCCTTTAGCTGAGAGTGAGAGAGAAATTTTTTTTTTTTTTTTTTTTGAGATGGAGTCTCGCCCTGTCGCCCAGGCTGGAGTGCAGTGGCGTGATCTCGGCTCACTGCAAGCTCCGCCTCCCGGGTTCACGCCATTCTCCTGCCTCAGCTTCCTGAGTAGCTGGGATTACAGGCGCCTGCCACCACGCCCGGCTAATTTTTTGTATTTTTAGTAGAGACAGGGTTTCATTGTGTTAGCCAGGATGGTCTTGATCTCCTGAACTCGTGATCCGCCCACGTTGGCCTCCCAAAGTGCTGGGACTACAGGCGTGAGCCACCGCACCTGGCCTGAGAGACAAAATTTTGATGAAACGATGTTGAGGCTATCATCTAAAACACAGCAAGGGAGCACACTCCATTTTTGGGGGTCTGTGTGTATTTGGACATTGTAGCCTGGTGAATCCTTGGTCTTCTGGATACACAGGTAGTGATTGGATGTGTTAGTGTTTGTCTTCTGTTGTTCATTTTCAGATTCCAGCTAAGAAAGAGTCTTGTCCAAACACTGGAAGAGACAAAGACCACCTGTTGAAATACAACGTTGGTGATTTGGTGTGGTCCAAAGTGTCGGGTTACCCTTGGTGGCCTTGCATGGTTTCTGCAGATCCACTCCTTCACAGCTATACCAAACTTAAAGGTATTGTGTTCTTTGGGTTGTTTTTCCAACTTTCTCTTCTGCACTTAATCTTTCTCATCTCCAGGCTTCTTTCTTACTCTTTCTAAATAGCCCTGCTATGGTTCATTTTTGCAGCTTTACCTAAAGTTAGTGATTGATTCAAGTGTGATGTGTTGCCATTTCTTTTTATATTCAACTCAAATATGTACTTCATCTGATTGAATTAGTGTTAAGGGACACATGACCTTTGCCTTGTATAACTTCTGTTTTTATGATAGTTTATTATTTAGTTACGATGATTGCTTGTTTCAGGATGATTTGCAGCAAGAGTGTTTTATGCTAAGTTTAAGTTGTAAAAATGTCCAAGTGAATTTTATTAGGCCTATGGGAAGAATGGAAAACACTGGAAGTGATCATCTTTGTCTTATGAAGCTTGGGTAGATAAATTGATTTTTACATGGAGCGGCTGATGTAACATATTAAGAATGTACGGCCGGGCACGGTGGCTCACGCCTGTAATCCCAACACTTTGGGAGGCCGAGGTGGGTGGATCACTTGAGGTCAGGAGTTCGAGACTAGCCTGACCAACATGGTCAAACCGCGTCTCTACTAAAAATACAAAATTAGCCGGACGTGGTGGTGCACGCCTGTAATCCCAGCTACTCAGGAGGCTGAGGCAGGAGAATCGCTAGAACCCGGGAGGTGGAGGTTGCAGTGAGCCGAGATCGCGCCATTGCACTCTAGTCTGGGCAACAACAGCGAAACTCTGTCTCACAAAAAAAAAAAGAATGTTATATGTCCCTGATACAGAGCAAATAATGGTTGGTCAACCCATAAATGTGTTTTTAGAGGAATAGTAAAAGATAATGTGGTTTGAGGTTTTTCTGAAAGTTCTTCTAGAGTGAAGTTGGAATTTAGTTTGAGCAAGTTGCGATGTGGCGAGTGCGGAGTTAGAACTGAGCAAGTTAGTGTCACCCTGTGATCTGATCTGTGCACCCTCTGGAAGTGTGGCGTCTAGAGTCAGGCCAGACTAGGCCAATGCTCCAGTCCAATATTGCTGACCAGTCAGCCTCTTATGGCCCCTTGGTGGTCCTTGCGTACATGTCCCCTTCTGGTCTCTGGCTGGAGGCCTGAGCTCCTGTGGGGGCAGCGTTGCTGCCCTTGCTATGAGCTTATGTCTTTGTACTGCCACCTGCATGGCCAAAACAGGCTTGTCAGCTGGCTGTGGGAGCAGGTGGCTGCTAGGAATGGGGTACAGAGGTGCCTCCCTGGCAGATGTAGATGTTAGAGGGGCAGGCTGAGGACGAAGAGGACTCTGCCGAGTCCTGGGTGCCCTTGCCTGAGTCCTGCCCTGGCCTCCTGTCCTGTGCCATGTGTGCTCTGCAGGAGTTGTGGCAGAAGAGCCTATGGCCTGGCTTCAGCTCTGTCTCCATGGAGGACCTTTGGCATCCTTGGCTTGCCAGAATTCGGGGATTCCTTTCCAAGGGGTTGCGGGAACCCCAGGGTGTACCCCAGGGCCTCTAGACTCGGTCAGTGTATGAAAAAATAAATGCTGGTTGAGACAGAAGCTGTCTCCCCTTTGTCTGAGGATGGACCTTCAAGCCTCTGCAGCCCGGGTGCAGGCACACATGGGTGTGTGTGAGGGGCTGCTAATTCTTTCTCTGCTTTCTAAAACCAGGCATAGTCTCCACACAGCAAACCCTGTGACTCCCATGTCATTTGTTTGTGTGGCACACAAGCAGCTCTTACTGATTTCCTTTTTAGTGTCTGGGGATATTTACTTATTTATATGATGCCATGTTTAGCTGTTAGCCTCTCATGCCTGTGAAACTGAAGTAGTCTTTTGAAAGTCTCCTTGTTCTTCCTATTAGGGCTTATTACTTTTAATTTCTTTTTTTGGGGATGGAGGCTCGCTCCATCACCCAAACTGGAGTGCAGTGGCGCAGTCTTAGCTCACTGCAACCTGTACCTTCTGGGCTCAGGTGATCCTTCCATCTCAGCCTCCTGAGTAGCTGGGACTACAGGTGCGTGCCACCACACCTGGCTAATTTTTGTGTTTTTTTTGTAGAGATGGGGTTTCACCATGTTGCCCAGTTGGTCTCAAACTCCTGGGCCCCAGTGATCCGCTTGCCTCGGCCTCCCAAAGTGCTGGGATTACAGAAATGAGCCACAGTGCCGCAGCCCAACTTATATATCATTGCATCTTTTCCCTGCCTTGGAGTTAAGTAATTCCTGTAGTCTGCAACAGCTTCTCTGACATTCAGATATACTGCCATTTTTACTTCTCTCTCTCTCTCTTTTTTTTTTTTTTTTTTTTTTTTGAGACACAGTTTCACTCTGTCTCCCAGGCTAGAGTGCACTGGCGCGATCTCAGCTCACTGCAACCTCTGCTTCCTGGGTTCAAGGAATTCTTGTGTCTCAGCTTCCTGAGTAGCTGGGATTATAGGTGTGTGCCACTATGCCTGGCTAATTTTTGTATTTTTAGTAGAGATGGGGTTTCACCATATTGGCCAGGCTGGTCTCAAACCTCTGACCTCAAGTGATCTGCCCACCTCGGCCTCCCAAAGTGCTGGGATTACAGGCGTGAGCCACCGTGCCCGGCCTCATCTCTCTTTCTTTGCTTGACTCCGGGACCTTGCACTGTGGCTAAGTGCTTTCACTCTTGTGCTTATGGCACCGTTGTGTTACTCTCTGCGGTTGAGGCTGGGACTCAGGAATCAGCCTGCCAGGGTCTAGTTAGCTGGCTGATCTTGATAATGAACTTAATCTCGCTAAGCTTCAGTTTCCCTGTATATGAAAATGAGGAAGATGATACCATCACCTTCATGGAAAGGTCTTAATGCAGTGACCACCGGATGCTCGTATTAGCAATTGTCATTATCCTCACTTTTACTTTTAAAACCTGAGTTTTTATTGTTTCAACTCCCATTCCCCTGGTTTCTTCTATAGCTGCTTCCTGAAAACCTTCATGTTTGACCAGTTATTAACCCTGCAGCCACCTAGTGTTTGGTTAATTTTAATACTTTTGTATCTGTTTTTAAGTGTTTTCATGTCCTCAGGTATTCCCTCAGTTTTCAAAACATAATGCCAAATGGGTATACTTGGATTCTAGCTTTTTTTGTGTATGTGTGAAATATTTGATCTATTTTTTTAATCTATTTTAAAAACTTTCAAGTCAAAGTAAAACAGCACAGCAGACACCTATCCCCTCATCTAGATTCTCCACCTTGAAACATCTTGTTCTACCTGTTGAATCTCTTTTTTTTTTTTTTTTTTTTTTTGTGACACAGTCTCACTCTGTTGCCAGGCTGGAGTGCAGTGGCACGATTTTGGCAACCTCTGCCTCCTGGGTTCAAGCAATTCTCCTGCCTCAGTCTCCCAAGTAGGTGGGACTACAGGTGCACGCCACCACACCCAGCTAATTTTTGTATTTTTAGTACAAATGGGGTTTCACCATGTTGGCCAGGATGATCTTGATCTCTTGACCTTGTGATCCACCCACCTTGGCCTCCCAATGGGATTACAGGCATGAGTCACTGTGCCTAGCCTCCATCTCTTTTGTTGCATGATGGCTGGTAGCTTTCGTGGCACTGTTACCCCCAAATACGTCAGAACAAGGACAGTTTCCTTATTGACTCAGCACCAGCCGCATTTCGGGAAACATCACATCAGTAACAAGATCTGTTGCTGTGCTAAGAGCAGGTGTAGGGCGTGTCCCCAGCAGGCCCCTACCTGTCTTTTTCTGTACTTCAGGGTTGAGATGCATACTCGGCATCTGGTGGTTGTGCCTCTTTAGCTTCTGCTAGTCTAGAACAGCACTCCCAATCCCCAATTCCTCATGACTGCTTTAGCTTTCTCATGATCAGACCTAGGTCAGAAAGGCCAGGTTGGATCTCACAGTTGGAACCTTGAAAGGTAGCTTTGGCCCTTTACTAAAGATCTGTGTACAGAAGAAGGGAGTGTCCTGCACCAGCATAGGCTGGGCAGTGGCCTGCCTCACCTCAGCAGTCGGCTTCTCTAGGAATTATTGTGGGATGTAGAGTAGGAGGCACAAGCAAACCTACTTCAGAAGACTGATAATATACTTTTTTGTGTGTGTGAAGGCATTAGAGTATAAAAGATACTGTACATTTGAAAAGCAGTTCAGAAGGAGTCAAGCCTGGGTAGATAACCCTCCAACTGAAAGGAGATTCAGATAATCTTAAAAGAAAAGGGGTCAAAGGAAGTGAGCAGAACAAAGAGAAGTGAGGGAAGGACAGAGTGCTAGTCAGACCACATCAGGAGGAGCTTATGTGTCAGCTGACCCACCCCTGGTAGGCGATGACCACCAGAGCTCTCTGTGGAAAGGCACAGGTCCCCATTGTCACTAATGAGGGACCTGTGGGCTGTGCTTGTAGTCTGTCCCAACAGTGTAGCTTTTGTTGTTGTTGTTTTGAGATAGGGTCTTGGCTCTGTTGCTCTGTCCAGGCTAGAGTACAGTGGCACAATCATAGCTCACTCCAGGCTCAAACTCCTGGGCTCAGGTCATCTTCTTCCTGCCTTGGCCTCCCAAATTGTTGGGATTACAAGTGTGAGCCACCATACCTGTCCCCAGCAGCCACGGCTTTAGCAGTCCTTGATGATTCATCATGGACTTGTTAAATGGTAACTGGCTATTATTGCACTTTCTACATTTTAGTTGTCATTTTTCTATGAAAATGAGCTCCTCCCTAAAAAAAAAAGAGTTATATATTTTAGTTCTTATTTTCTTAAATCCTCACATTGTCCCAAATTTGACCAGTGGGAGTTCTATTAAGTTCCTTTAAGTTGTATGCCTTTGACATGTCCCCGTCAGCCCTTGAGCACCTCTTTACGTTCTGGTACAACAAGATGTTCCAGGCTCATCTTGTACTGTTTTTCCCACCACCCCCCCCAACCCTAGCATCAGCCGTTTCTCAGAGAAGGCCTAGGTTCTTTGAGTACAGAATAGTATGTAGGAGCCCAGGTCTGGTCGCTGGTTGTGTTCATTGCTCTGGGAGACAGAGTTTGCAAGGGAAACTCTGTGCAGTAGGTCTCCAAGCAGTGCTGAGCCCTTGCTCCAAGTGGAGCTCTTGGGTCCATTTTTGATTCTCCAACACTTGGCCTGCAGCACCCCATGATGAGAATGAGACAGTGAGTGGTGAGTGTCGTTGTTTTGGAAGGACAGGGATGTGAAGAAGAGATAGCTCCTGCCGTGGAGTGGGCTGAGCATGGGTCCTGTGAAGCCAGTACTTTTATATTTTTCTATCCTCTATTCCTATCCTTTTTTTTTTTCTTTTCCTGGAGATGGAGTCTTGCTCACTCGTCCAGGCTGGAGTACAGTGGTATGATCTCGGCTCACTGCAACCTCCATTTCCCAGGTTCAAGCGATTCTCCTGTCTCAGCCTCCCGAGTAGCTGGGATTACAGGTGCACACCACTATGCCCAGCTAATTTTTGTATTTTTAGTAGAGCTGGGGTTTCACCATGTTGGCCAGGCTGGTCTCAACCTCCTGACCTTGTGATCCGCCCAACTCGGCCTCCCAAAGTGCTGTGATTACAGGCGTGAGTCACCGCGCCCGGCACCCGTTAAAAAAAAAAAAAATTATTTATCATGCTTGGGATTTATGGACCAGTTTGAATCCGTGTATCTTAGTAATATACTTAAATTTTGAAAACTGAGGTATAATATACATGCAAAAGTGAACATAACTCATAAGCTACAGCTCAATCTAGATTCTTTTGGAAATCAAAATTTCCTTTGGAAATCTTAAGTTAATGAAAGTCTTAATAGCATTGTTGTAATTTACAGCAGCAGAACCTGTGTTAGCTAGTATCTACCAGGGCACCTAGGTGGACTAGCAGCTTTTAGGCTCAACCTTTTTTTTTTTCGAGACAGTCTTTCTCTGTCACCCAGGCTGGAGTGCAGTGTCACAATCTCGGCTCACTGCAACCTCTGTCTCCCAGGTTCAAGTGATTCTCCTGCCGCAGCCTCCCGAGTAGCTGGCACTACAGGCATGTGTCACCACACCCGACTAATTTTGTATTTTTGCTAGAGATGGGGTTTCACCATATTGGCCAGGCTGGTCAAGGCTCAACCTTTTAAGTTGGAAACAGAAGATAACTATATGTTTTAGATATTACACTCACTGGTCTCTTTAGGTAACTGTGGTCTGGAATCAAGTAATTTTCTGTTGTGGAGATTTTTGTTGTCACCTTTTCTGTGTTATGGAAGGGAATGTTAGGAATTAACCCTCCTTGCTTTATATAGGAAAAAAAATGCTTCTGGCATTTTCTAAAAATATTGCAGGTAATCTGGCTTTCTCGTGTCTTGTGCTGTTTGATGGTATTATCTTCCTACTGATTTGTTTCTTGCTTGTTCTATTACTTGCTGAGAGATGTGTTAAAATCTCCCATGGGATTGTGGATTTGCTGTTTTTCTACTTGTAGTTCTGGCAGTTTCTGCTTTACCTATTTTGGGGCTCTGGTGCCCTCCAGAGACTGAACTGGGAAACTCAGGCATGGTCATGCTTGTCCTTTGTTTCCCAGGGAGCTCTGTGGTCTCATGTCGTTGTGACTTTGCTCCTGTGCTCCATTCTTGGCTTCCGCAGACACCTGGCCTTGTCTGCATCTTTATGGCTTCTCTTCCCTCCCTGGAGCTTTATCTCTGAGGCAGCCTTGTCTCTTGGTGGGGTTCATTTTGCATGCATGGAACTTAACAGGCTCCACAAAATCTGGAGAGAAACTCTGGCTTAGTTGAGCCCAGAGAGTCACAAACTACCTGTAGTCTAATGGGCTGTGATGGGGAAAAAAGGAACACAGTACAAAATTAGGTACCAGGACTGTTAGTAGAAGCCAGGTTCTCTTCGAAGGGGATGTAGGTGGGGAGGTCAGTGACTTGCATTTTTATACAGATGGTGATTAATGAACATCAGAAATTGCATAGGAAGAGGGCCAGGTGCAGTGGCTCATGCCTATAATCCCAGCACTTTGGGAGGCCAAGGCAGGTGGGTGACTTGAGGTCAGGAGTTCGAGACCAGCCTGGCCAACGTGATGAAACCCTGTTTCTGCTAACAGTACAAAAATTAGCTGGGTGTGGTCCCAGGCGCCTGTAATCCCAGCTCCTGGGAAGGCTGAGGCATGAGAATCGCTTGAGCCCAGGAGACAGAGGTTGCAGTGACCCGAGATCGCAGTACTGCACTCCAGCCTGGGCGACAGAGCGAGACGCCATCTCAAAAAAAAAAAAAAAAAAAAGAAAAAAAAAAAGAAAGAAAGAAATTGCATAGGAAGGGAGGATTACTAATAACATAGTACTGGGACAACTGGTTAATTATTGGTAAAATAAAAACAGTGAGATATTCACCTCTCAACTTGGACCAAAGGATAGTTCCTATGGATTAAAGAAACCCATAAAAATAGTAGAAAATTCGGTTATGTTATCCGGTTTCTAGATGGGAAAGAACTTCAGAATGTTACACTCATTTATTTTACAAACTTGGGATCAGATTACAATAATCTCTTCTGCTTTTTTTCCCACCTGACATGTAAGGAGCATTTATCTGTGTCATTATTTATAAACATGGTTTAATTTTATATTGTGTGTGCTGTTACAGGTTTTCTTTATTATAAAAATGCTATAACATACCTGTATTCATTTTCATTACTAAGAAAAGTTCTTACAAAGTTTTAAAGTAATGGAAGAAGTCACAAATCCCTTGACATATCCTTGAATCTTAGGTATTTTCAAATCAAAGAAGTTTGAACACTTAAAAACAAGTCAAATTGTACTGAAAGATTAATAGTGAAAAATCATCCCCTGCCTTCCTCTCTCCTCCCCAGAGGTAATTATTTTTATCTCTTTCATCATTTTCTTCTACTTCTAATACTTTGATTTCTCATGTAGACATTTTCTGTTAACTTTCTATCATGGAAAATGAAGATTGAACTCTTCAGCCATTTTCTATTTCTTTCCCCCCATTCTCCCCATATAATTAAGTCACTATTTGTAATAAATGAAAAATAAGTGTTTACATAATTTTGACTATGTAAATATCATTCAGTGAAAAACCAAGTTATGTTCTGTAATTGCATTTTCTTGTAAAACCTTTTGTTTCCCTTGGAATTAATTACTGCCTTTCTTTTGAAATCATACACTATGTTGTCCATACAGCCTTAATTTTTTTCAAGTATTCATCTCCTCATCCTTAAAACTCATCCTTATTATGAAGTTAGTTTCTCCTATTTATATATTTATATAGTTATTTTTTCTCCTTAAAAAAAAATGAAAACCTGGGTTTGAGTCCCATCTTCCCTTTCTGCTTCTTGGAACTCATCTTTTAACCCTCCTTCCTTACTACTTAGATTTTCTTTCTTTGTAAAAAAGTTGTTTTCTCTCATCTTTTCTTCCCTTGGAGCTCTCTCCTAGAATCTTCCTTTTTCCTGCTTGATTCTGGTTTGCTAGCACTCTTAACCTTTTGCACTGCAGTAAGCTTAGACTTTCTTTAAGCTGCTTTCCCTAGTTATTTACATTGTTTTCTGTAGTTCTATGTGGGCAGCAAGCCACCCAGGTGCCAAGGCAAGAGACTGAAGGCACAGGCTGTTCCAGTATAATAAAGAAAATACTTAAAATAAGAATAGTTATATTAGACATAGAATATAGACATGATTATATATGAATATTATTAATCATTAGTTTGTAGCATTACTCTTTATTCAAATATTATAACAATCTCTGTTCTACAATTATAACCTAGGAAAAACCAGGTCATACAGAGATAGGAGCTGAAGGGACACGGTGAGAAGTGACCAGAAGACGAGTGTGAGCCCTCTGTCACGCCCAGACAGGGCCACTAGAGGGCTCCTTGGACTAGCGGTAACGCCAGTGCCTGGGAAGGCACCTGTTACTTAGCCGACCTTGGTCTAGCGGTAGCGCCAGTGCCTGAGAAGGCACCCGTTACTTTGCAAACCAGGAAAGGGAGTCTCCCTTTCCGTGGGGGAGTTAGAGAAGACTCTGCTCCACCACCTCTTGTGGAAGGCCTGACATCAGTCAAGCCCACCCGCAGCCATCCAGAGGCCTAACCGTCTCCCTGTGATGCTGTGCTTCAGCGGTCACGCTCCTGGTCCACTTTCATGTTCCGCCCTGTACATCTGGCTCCGCCTTCTAGATAGCAATAGCAGAATTGGTGAGAATATTAAAGTCTTTGATCTCTCTGAGAAATGCATAGAAGAAATAATGTAAGCTGTCCCCTCTCTCTCTCTGCCTCGGCTACCAAACAGGGAAGGGCCCCCTGTCTGGTGGACACATGACTCGCTTGACCTTACCTATCATTGGAGATGACTCACACTCCTTACCCTGCCCCCTTGCCTTGTATACAATAAATAACAGCGCAGCCAGACATTCAGGGCCACTACCAGTCTCCGCATCTTGGTGGTAGTGGTGTCCCCTGTGCCCAGCTGTCTTTTCTTCAATCTCTTTGTCTTGTGTCTTTATTTCTACCATCTCTCGTCTCCACACACGAGGAGAAAAACCCACAGGCCCTGTAGGGCTGATCCCTACAGTTCTATGCTGTGTTCTTTCTTGGTTAAGTTTTCTTTTTTCCTGGAGGCTATTTTTGGTATCTTAAGACAGTTTGTATGGGAAGTAAATTTGAGTCCTTGCAGTTCAGAGTATGCTACTTTTGTTTTTGTGAGGTGGAGTCTTGCTTTGTCGCCCAGGCTAGAGTTCAGTGGCGGGATCTCAGCTTGCTGCAACCTCTGCCACTTGGGTTCAAGTGATTCTCGTGCCTCAGCCTCCCGAGTAGCTGGGACTACAGGTGTGTGCCACCGTGCCCAGCTCATTTTTGTATTTTTAGTAGAGATGGGGTTTTGCTATGTCGGCCAGGCTGGTCTCGAACTTCTGACCTCAAGTATTCTACCCGCCTTGGCCTCCTAAAGTGCTGAGATTACATGTGTGAGCCACTGCACCCAGCCCAGAGTATGCTACTTTTTTTTTGAGATGGAGCCTTGCTCTGTTGCCAGGCTGGAGTGCGGTGGCACGATCTTGGCTTATTGCAGTCTCCACCTCCTGGGTTCAAGTGATTCTCCCGCCTCAGCCTCCTGAGTAGCTGGGACTACGGGCACACGCCACCATGCCTGACTAATTTTTTGTGTTTTAGTAGAGACAGGGCTTCACCATGTTGGCCAGGCTGGTCTCGAACTCTTGATCTGAGGTGATCTGCCCACCTTGGCCTCCCGAAGTGCTGGGATTACAGGCGTGAGCCACTGTGCCTGGCCCAGAGTATGCTACTTTTCTATCTTCACACTTGATTGATGGTTTGACTGGGTGTAGAATTTTATGTTGAGAAGAATTCCCCTAGGAATTTTGAAGGTATTACTCCATTTCCTTCTAGCATCCAGAGTTTTTGGCCATTCTTCACATAATTTGCTATTCTTCACATACCTTGCTATTCTATTTCTTGTTCCATTAACTTGGAGGCTGGCCTTTCACCCAACCCCCAGCAGCTTGAATTTCAGCAGGGTGTGCCCTGCTGTGGATGTTGCAGTGGGACACTTAGGACTGTTTTAGTTGGAGACTTGATTTTGGGTTTATTCTTGGAGCTTCTCTGTTTCTCCAGAAAGCCTATTATTTGGGTATCAAACCTCCTAGATTGATCTTACAGGTTGCTATGGAAATAGGTATTTTTCATCTTAATTTTTTTCTTCTTTCTGGGAGATTTCTTATCTTCCAAGCTTTCTTGTTGAATTTTTTCTTTTTTTCTCTTTTTTTTTTTTTTTTTTTTTTGAGACGGAGTCTGGCTCTGTTGCCCAGGCTGGAGTGCAGTGGCGCAGTCTCGGCTCACTGCAAGCTCCGCCTCCTGGGTTCACACCATTCTCCTGCCTCAGCCTCCTGTGTAGCTGAGGCTACAGGCGCCCACCACCATGCCTGGCTAATTTTTGTATATTTAGTAGAAATGGGATTTCACCGTGTTAGCCAGGATGGTCTCGATTTCCTGACCTCGTGGTCCGCCTGCCTCGGCCTCCCAAAGTGCTGGGATTACAGGCTTGAGCCACTGCACCCGGCCTGAATTTTATTTTCATAGTTGTATTTTAGAATTTCAAATATCTCTTTGTTTTTCTGTGTTCTCTTTTCATAGCACACAGGGTTTCTCTGTTGGGTATCTTCTCTTCCCTTGCCTTATGTCTGTGGCCCTGCAGAGGGCCATTCATTTCTGTGTGTTTTGGATTCATTCATACTGGATGCTTCCCTGGGTCCAGGGGTTCCTTGGTGCTGGGCTCGTGTTTAAGAGCACGACACTTAGAGCTGCCTGCAACCATGGGTGGGGAGGCTTGGTTATCCACCCTCCTTTGCATTAGAGGGTCTGATTGGCCATTGACCACTTAATTGGGGGAATCTCCAGAAGACTCACTGGAGAGGTTTTTCCTCTGGAGCACTTCAGGTCTTCAGGAAATATCCTTTGATTCATCTGGGCCAGTGTTCTGCATGAGGGGACAGGGAGTGGTAACTGCCCCCACCCTGTGCCAGGGAGATCCCCCTCCCTCCTCTCACCTGGCACAGAGATCTGACCTTTTAACCTGCTTACCTGTATTCACCTTCTCATTTGACTTCAGTGGAATCTGGTACCTCCTTTCTTTTATTTTGGGCCCGTCTCTTTCTTTCCTCATCCCCCTGGCTGCACTGTGGGACGTGGCTTCTTCCTCTCAGCTAAGAGTAAGACTAGTGGGCATCTGTGGGGTTACTCTGTGGTCTGAGCTGCTCTCTGAGGCCACTGATGCTCCTGTCACTCTAGCACTGTGAGATAGGGGGGTAGCTAGCTGGTAGGTAGCAGGGCTGGGATTTGAACCCAGGTTGTGTGATGTCCGTATACTGCCTCCTTCACTGCCTCTCTCACTCCTTTCTTGCACATGTCCTCTTGTCTTATTTGGTATCTTTTTAAGAGGGAATAAAGGAGTGCATTTAGTCAGCTAGCTAGCTTTTTTCTTTTTCTTTTTTTTCCTTTCTTTTTTTGTTTTTGAGACAGGGTCTAGCTCTGTCACCCAGGCTGGAGAGCAGTGGTATGATCTTGGCTCACTGCAACATGTGCCTCCCAGGCTCACGCCATCCTCTCACCTCAGCCTCCAGAGTAGCTGGGACTACAGGTGCACACCACCACACCCGGCTAATTTTTGCATTTTTCGTAGAGATGGGCTTTTGCCATGTTGCCCAGGCTGGTCTCGAAATCCTGAGCTCAATCTCCCTGCCTCGGCCTCCCAAAGTGGTGGGATTACAGGCGTGAGGGACTGCGCCTGGCCTGGTTGGCTTTCTTTCCCATTCAATTTTGAACCTTATCTGAGTCTCTTGTAAGTTAATTAGTTTCCCTCTTTGGCATGTGGCATGGAAGGGATAAGAAGTATAGAATTTGTTTTGAGGTTAACAGGCTCAGACAACACCAAGGGAAACAACTGCAAAATAGCAGTAGATTTGACTAGTTTCATCCCAGATTCTAACTTTCATTCTCTAACATTTTATTTTAAAAACTAGGTCAGAAAAAGAGTGCACGCCAGTATCACGTACAGTTCTTTGGTGACGCCCCAGAAAGAGCTTGGATATTTGAGAAGAGCCTCGTAGCTTTTGAAGGAGAAGGACAGTTTGAAAAATTATGCCAGGAAAGTGCCAAGCAGGCACCCACGAAAGCTGAGAAAATTAAGGTGATAGATGACCCTTCAGTCTACTTTTAGACCAGAAATTTAATTTTTATTCTTTAAGTTAACTTATTTTTGTTTTGAACTTATACTTGCTCGAAATATTGTAATGGCTTAACAATCTCTTTCATTGTTGACTTTTGCCCAAGGATGCCATGTTACAATATGATAAAGTTCTTTTAGAGACACAACTGATTTTTTTTTGCTCATTTGATGACTCTCAGAGATAACTTGTTTTAGAATTTATATATACACATATATGTACGTATATATGTGTATACACACACACAGACAGAGGGATTAATGTAATGTGATAGGAATTGATTTCTGGTTTAAAGAAACAATAAAGGTATTATGTTGGGCTGAATTCTAAAATTGGTTTTTAAAAGTTTTTATTTCTATTATTTTTTAAAATTTTTTTGAGATGGAGTTTCACTCTTGTCGCCCAGGCTGGAGTGTAATGGCATGATCTTGGCTCATTGCATCCTCTGCCCCTCCGGGTTCAAGCGATTCTCCTGCCTCAGCCTCCCAAGTAGCTGGAATTACAGGTGCCTGCCACCACGCCTGGCTAATTTTTGTATTTTTAGTGGAGACAGGGTTTCACCAGGTTGGCCAGACTGGTCTTGGACTCCTGACCTCAGGTGATGTGTCTGCCTCAGCCTCCACAGGTGCTGGGATTACAGGTGGGAACCACCACGCTGGCCAAGTTTTTTATTTCTAAAATTATGTGAAAATGTAAAAGTATTCTTTTTTTTTTTTTTTTTTTTGAGACAGGGTCTTGCTCTGTCACCCCAGGCTAGAGTGCAGTGGCGTGGTCTCGGGTTACTGCATCCGCTGCCTCCCAGTTCAAGTGATTCTCATGTCTCAGCCTCCCTAGTAGCTGGGACCACAGGCATGCACTACCATGCCTGGCTTATCTTTTGTATTTTAGTAGAGATGGGGTTTTGCCATGTTGACCAGGCTGGTCTTAAACTCCTGGCCTCAAGTGATCCATCTGCCTTGACACCCATAAGTGCTGGAATTATAGGCATGAATCATGTGCCTAGGAAAAGTAGTTAACTTTTATGTTTGTGTAGTGAAACTTACAGTGTCTCTTTTTTTTTTCCCAGCTATTGAAACCAATTTCAGGGAAATTGAGGGCCCAGTGGGAAATGGGCATTGTTCAAGCAGAAGAAGCTGCAAGCATGTCAGTGGAGGAGCGGAAAGCCAAGTTCACCTTTCTCTATGTGGGGGACCAGCTTCATCTCAACCCTCAAGTAGCCAAGGAGGCTGGCATTGCTGCAGAGTCTTTGGGAGAAATGGCAGAATCCTCAGGAGTCAGTGAAGAAGCTGCTGAAAACCCCAAGTCTGTGAGAGAAGAGTGCATTCCCATGAAGAGAAGGCGGAGGGCCAAACTGTGTAGCTCTGCAGAGACCCTGGAGAGTCACCCCGACATAGGGAAGAGTACTCCTCAAAAGACGGCAGAGGCTGACCCCAGAAGAGGAGTAGGGTCTCCTCCTGGGAGGAAGAAGACCACAGTCTCCATGCCACGAAGCAGGAAGGGAGATGCAGCATCCCAGTTTTTGGTCTTCTGTCAAAAACACAGGGATGAGGTCAGTACTAAGTTGTGTTTCATGCTAGCAAGTTTCAGAATTTGAGGAACATCCCTTCAGTGCAGAATCATCTGTTTCTCAGCATTATCAGGAGACTCTAACATGAGCCTTGCATAGATTTTAGATCTAATAAATAAGTATTAGGGAACAGCCATTCTGACCCTTGAGGGAAAAGATACTCGACTTGCACTCTGGGGTCTTAAAATATCCTTCCTAATGTGGATAAGAAGATACCGAGAACAGGCCAGGCACAGTGGCTCATGCCTGTAATTTCAGTACTTTGGGAGGCCAAGGCGGGAGGATTGCTTCAGCTCAGGAGTTTGAGACCAGCCTGGGCAACATGGTGAAACCCCATCTCTACAAAAATTAGCCGGGTGTGGTGGCACATGCCTGTAGTCCCAGCTGCTTGGGAGACTGAGACAGGAGGATCCCTTGAGTCCTGGAGGCAGGAGGATCCCTTGAGTCCTGAAGGTGGGGTTTGCAGTGAGTCGTGATGGCATCACTGCACCGTAGCCTGGGTGACAGCAGAGCGAGACTGTGTCTCAAAAAAAAAAAAAAAAAAAAACTAGCACAGAGGGAAGTGGGTCTCAACAGGCTGCGCTTTGCTTGAAGCGTGTGGTCATGTCCTTAACGTGTGACTCCAGGTTAGCACTTTCTCCAGCAGTCTGTTCTGAAGCTTCCAGTGCAGGATATGCTCATCTGTAAAGCTCATTGTGTCCACTGGCACTGAGGGTGTTGATTTATTTCCCTGACATTTAAAAGGGTAGCAATGTGATTAAGACATTTATATAATTTTCTTAATTGTTTGCATAAAATGCACAGTCTGTTAGTACATAATAAAGGCTGTAAAGAACTGAAGGAGTTGGGTTCCCCACTTCCCACTTTTGGTTATGTTACTTGGAGTGGATCATATTCTCATGCTTAAAAGGCTTTTTTTAAGTGTTCATTTTAATTTTACTTCCATAGGAATTTTCCATTCAGTAGTCTAAATCTATGTGGTGATTAAAGGTATCAAAAACAATAGTGTTGGCCAGGCACAGTGGCTCACACCTGTAATCCCAACACTTTGGGAAGCTGAGGCGGGTGGATCATGAGGTCAGGAATTTGAGACTATCCTGGCCAACATGATGAAACCCCGTCTCTACTAAAAATACAAAAAAAAATTAGCTGGGCATGGTGACGCGTGCTTGTAATCCCAGCTTCTCAGGAGGCTGAGGCAGGAAAATTGCTTGAACCAGGGAGTCGGAGGTTGCAGTGAGCCAAGATTACACCACTGCACTCCAGCCTGGCGACAGAATGAGACGCCGTCTCAAAAAAAAAGGAAAAAAAGTCTGTCTTCAAAAAATTTTCCATGAATCTTTAACCAGCATGTATTTTGTGGCAGGCAGTGTGGCACAATAAGGAGCCATGAGTAGTTCAGGCAGAGATGCATAAATGGGTGACTGTGAGTATTCTAATAAATCTACTGGACATGATTTTTTTGTCCCTATATGGGATCTGGAAATTCTGCCAGAGAAAGGCATTTGAGTGATGCCTTCAAGAGTGGCTGGGCGTGGTGGCTCCCGCCTGTAATCTCAGCACATTGGGAGGCTAAGGTGGGCAGATCACCTGAGGTTAGGAGTTTGAGGCTAGTCTGGCCTACATGGTGAAACCTTGTCTCTACTAAAAATACAAGAATTAGCTGGGCATGGTGGTGTGCGCTTGTAATCCCAGCTACTCAGGAGGCTGAGGCAGGAGAATCACTTGAACCGGGAGGCCACAGTGAGCTGAAATCATGCCGCTGCACTCCAGCCTGGGTAATCCTTAGGGCTTTTCTCAGGAATGCAAGGGTGATTTGATGTTAGAAAGCTATTATTGTGACTTACTGTGTAATGCTCATCTCCATAGAGGGAGAAAAGGCATTTGATAAAATTCATTGCTTTTTTTAATTAAGTAAACACCCTGTATTTATGGGGTATATGTGATATTTGGTACGTGCATTAAAGTTCATTGCTTTTTCTCCTTGGGAGGTTGAGGTGGGAGGATTGCTTGAGCCCAGGAGTGTTGAGGTTGCAGTGAGCTGTGATTGTGCCACAGCTTTCCAGCTTAGGTGACAGAGTGAGACTCTGTCTCATAAAAAGAAAAGAAAGGCCGAGTGTGGCAGCTCACACCTGTCATCCCAGCACTTTGGGAGGGTGAGGCAGGAGGATTGCTTGAGCCCATGAGTTTGAGACCAGCCTGGGCAACATGAAACCCTGTCTCTAAAAAAAAAAAAATTTTTTTTAATTAGCCAGATGTGATGGCATGTGCCTGTAGTCTCAACTACTCAGGAGGTTGAGGCAAGAGGATTGCTCGAGTCCAGAAGTTTAAGGCTGTGGTGAACCATGATCATGCCATTGCACTCTAGTCTGGGCCACAGAGTGAGACCCTGTCTTAAACAAAAAAATTATTGCTTATTGATAAAAGGTTAGTAAACCAGGAATAAAAGGGAACTTCCTAAATCTGTTTAAGGATATGTATCAGAAGCTTTCATCAAGGATATTACACATGAAACTTTAGAAGCATTCTCCTTAGGCCAGGCATGGTGGCTCACACCTGTAATCCCAGCACTTGGGGAGGCTGAGGCGGGTAGATCACTTGAGGTCAGGAATTCAAGACCAGCCTGGCCAACATGGTGAAACCCCGTCTCTACCAAAATTATAAAAAATAAGCTGGGCATGGTGGCGTGCGCCTGTACTTCCGGCTATGTGGGAGGCTGAGGCAGGAGAATTACTTGAACCCAAGAGGTGGAGGTTGCAGTGAGCCAAGATCGTGCCACTGCACTCCAGCCTGGCGACAGAGCGAGACTCCGTCTCAAATTAAAAAAAAAAAGCATTCTCTTTAAAATCATGAACGAGGGCCAGGCACAATGGCTCATATCTGTAATCCTAGCATTTTGGGAGGCTGAGACAGGTGGATCAATGAAAGCTGGGAGTTTGAGACCAGCATGGCCAACATGGTGAAACCCCGTCTCTACTAAAAATACAAAATTTTACCAGCTGTGGTGGCGAGCGCCTGTAATCCCAGCTACTTGAGAGGTTGAGAAAGGAGAATCGGTTGAACCTGGGAGACGGAGGTTGCAGCGAGCCAAAATCACGCCAATGCACTCCAGCCTGGGCAACACAGCAAGACTCTGTCTCAAAAAAAAAAAAAAAAAAAGAATAAGACAGGAAACCATTTTTCACCATTTAATAAACGTTGTACGGAAAATAGTAGCCAATATTAGGCCGGGCGCGGTGGCTCACGCCTGTAATCCCAACACTTTGGAGGCCGAGGTGGGTGGATTACTTGAGGTTAGGAGTTCCAGACCAGCCTGGCCAACATGGTGAAATCCCATCTCTACTAGAAATGAAAAAATTAGCCAGGCGTGGTGATGCGCGCTTGTAATCCCAGCTACTCAGGAGGCCGAGGCAAGAGAATTGCTGGAACCTGGAGGCAGAGGTTGCCGTGAGCTGAGATCACACTACTGCACTGCAGCCTAGACAATAGAATGAGTCTTCGTCTCCAAGAAAATACTAGCCAGTATTATAAAGGAATAAATAAAGCTGTCATTGTTTGCAGAAGTCTATGTAGAAAACTCAAGAGAATGTACAGAAAATCTTTTAGAATTAATAGAGTTCACCAGGATATAAAATTAACATACAAGTGCAGCATCAAAGAGGAAATGTAATGTTAAAAAAGATACCATTGATAATAGAAACCAAAATGTCAGGTACTGCGGAATCAATATTACGAAATATGCATGTAACTTTAGAGAAAAATAACTGATATTTTAGCAGACCTCAATAAAGATGTATTTATATATAGGAAGATTCAAGCTTCTGAAGTTGTCAATTCTCCCTTTAATAATCTATAAATTCAGTATAATTCTAATAAAACTTCCAACAGGAATTTATTTGCCCTTTGTAAGTGGATGCTGCTGTGGCCACATTTGAAGAGAGGCTTGGCCTGAGGATTTGCTCTACCAGATAGGAAGTTATCTTATTTAAAATAGCAGTATTTGGCCAGGTGTGGTGGCTTACGCCTGTAATCCCAGCACTTTGGGAGGTCAAGGCAGGCGGATCACCGGAGGTCAGGAGCTCCAGACTAGCCTGGCCAACATGATGAAACCTTATCTCTACTAAAAATATAGAAATTAGTTGGGCATGGTGGCAGGCGCCTGTAATCCCAGCTACTCGGGAGGCTGAGGCTGGAGAATTGCTTGAACCTGATAGGCGGAGGTTGCAGTGAGCTGGGATTGTGCCATTGTACTCCAGCCTGGGTGACAGAACAAGATTCTGTCTCATAAAAAATAAAATAGCAGTATTCACGCAGGGCAGTGATATGGCCCAAGACGGGGCCCAGAACAGGCTCTCGAGCATGTGGACATGGATGGGAAAGCGCTGCAGGCCAGTTGCGTGGGAGGTCTGCACTGGACGTGGTGCTGGGACCACTGTGATTTATGAACTTGGCCAGCATGGGAGAGGAGCTTTGTCACCATGGGAGAGGGAAGGATTTCTTAAATAAGCCAAACTAATAACAGGCTATAAAGGCTATAAAACTATGTATGTTAAAATGAAAATCTAGGCCAGGCATGGTGACTCACGCCTGTAATCCCAGTACTTTGGGAGGCTGAAGCGGGAGGATTGCTTGAGCCACTGCACCACTTCAGCCTGGGTGACAGAGACCCTGGCTCAAAAAAAAAAAAAAAAAAAAAATTCTTATGTGTCAAGGACACCATCGACACAGTGAAAGGACAAATTCTGTAAAGAGCCGAAACAATTCTGAAGGAGAAGGGCAAGTTTCTTGGAGAGCCAGTAAGTGCATGAAGAGATGCTGCTCAACTGCGGCCATGCCCAGGAAGCTGTATGTTACGATCCTGGTGGGATGGTCCTTCACAGTCATCCTTCACAGTCATCAGGTGAGCAGACATCAAACTCAGAACAGCCAGGGATTGAGAAGATGAGCAACAGTGGGACTCCTCATACAATGCTGGTGAAACATCATTTATTACACCTGTTTTGAGAGAAATTTGGCAAGATCTAGTGAAATTGAAGATGTGCCTTTTTTTCTCTTACAGTTTTACTCCTAGATATTTACCCTAGAGTAATTTTGCCCTTGCACGCAGAGAGACCACAGTGTCCAAAACCAAAAAGCTACCCAGTGACAGACTATGGTATGTTCCTACAGTGTAACTACACATCAATTAAAGTGAACTCATTGGATGTCAAAGCAGAAACAAATTGCTGAAGGGTATGCAGATTCTATCACTTGTGTAGTTTGAAAAGGGCCACATACCCACAACTGAGTTTAACTTATCCCTTTCTCTGCGTCCATCTAAAAAGTGTAAGTGGGCAGCTGTGAAGGTATGTGCCTCTCTCCAGGAGCCAAGAGGTCTATCCAGGCAGGAGCCATTAACACCTGGTGGAGTAGCTGTGGTCATTGTTGGATATAAAATGATACAAAGCAGGCCAGGCGCAAGGTGGGAGGATCACTTGAATCCAGGAGTTTGAGACCAGCCTGGGCAACATAGCAAGATCTTATCTCTACCAAAAATAAAAATAAAATAAAATGGTATAAAGTAATCAGCAATGTGTGTACAGCCACCGTTTCAGGCATGTTGGGGGAGGGTGCAGTGGCAAGCTCTGAATGGACACTCCAGTGTTTGACAGCTAGGCCTGCGCAGGGTTGGTGAGGTGCTGTATGCTCTTGGGCCCTGGAAGCAGGGTAAGGCGGTGTCGGGTGGGAACCGCCCCGTCAGCCACTCTGGTATGTTGCTCGGCTGTGTCTCTACAACCTGTTCACTAGTTTGGAATTGTGAAAAAAATGGGTACCTGAGAATTGAAGCCACTGTCCAAAGACCACCCTATTGGCTTTTTGGGACCCAAATTGATCTCAGATGGTCCTTCTAGTGCTAAGAAATGTGCTAAAAATGAAAGTCTGGATTGGCACTATACTAAAAGTAATATAAAACCAAACTGAAGGTATACAGTTAAAACTGAGTTCTGGGCAGAGTGCAGTGGCTCACACCTGTAATCCCAGCACCTTGGGAGGCCGAGGAGGGTAGGATGCTTGAGGTTGGTAGTTTGAGAACAGCCTGGGCAACACAGTGAGACTCTCATCTCTACAAAAAAAAAAACAAAACAAAACAAGAAAATTAACGGGGCATGATGGTGCACACTTGTAGTCTTAGTTACTCAGGAAGCTGAGGCAGGAGGACCACTTGAGCCTGGAAGGTCGAGGCTGCAGTGAGCCATCATTGCGCCACTGCACTCCAGTTTGGATGACAGAGCGAGACCCTGTCAAAGCAAAAACTACAAAAAATTGAGCTCTGTGTTAATGTCCAACACTCTGCCCTGCCCACCCCTGGTTCCTGATGTAAGGCCCATGGGGCCTCCCTTCCCTCCCCTGGACTCTGGCTGGGTGGTTTTGAAGAATTTTCTGTTATCGGAAAAGCAATGACTATTAGGATGCTCTTTAACTGTTCTGTAATAAGCAATTCTAAACTTGAGGAAGCTCCTCCCTGCTTCCATCTGTAACCTAGGTCTTTCTACATTGTTTTTTATTTTTCGGGAGTGCTGGTGCACACAAGGATGGTTTTTGTTGGCTTGTCAGTTAACCAATGGCCAACCCTTGAGGGATAGAGTCAGGTGGAACTTCCTTGCTGCTTTCTGTGCCTTCCTTTTCTAGGGTCCCTAGATGTAAGGCTGACTTCAGGACTTTTTGTTGCTACTTGCTGACTCTTTAGAGGTCATTTTCTTTTTCTTTCTTTTTTTTTTTTTTTTTTTTTTTTTTTGAGATGGAGTTTTGCTTTGTCACCCAGGCTGGAGTGCGAAGGCGCCACCTCGGCCCACTGCAACCTCCTCCCCCCGGGTTCAAGCGATTCTCCTGCCTCAGCCTCCCGAGTTGCTGAGACCACAGGCACATGCCACCACATCCGGCTAATTTTTGTATTTTTAGTAGAGATGGGGTTTCATTATGTTGGCCAGGCTGGTCTTGAACTCCTGACCTCAGGTGATCCACCCGCCTTGGCCTCCCAAAGTCCTGGGATTACAGGCCTGAGCCACTGCACCCAGCCTAGAGGTCACTTTCTAGCTTCCTTTCTCCGTACTAGTGAAGAAATGTACTTCTTTTTATATATCTATATATATATTTTTTTTTGTTTGTTTGTTTGTTTGTTTGTTTTTGTTTTTGTTTTTGAGACAGGGTCTTACTCTGTCGCCCAGGCTGGAGTGCAGTGGTGCAATCATGGCTTGCCACAGCCTTGACCTCCCTAGGCTCAAGTGATTCTCCCACCTCAGCCTCCCTAGTAGCTGGGACTACAGCCATGTGCCACCACGCCTGGCTAACTTTTCTATTTTTTATAGGGATGAGGTCTTGCTATGTTGCCCAATCTGGACTCAAACTCCTGGCCTTAAGCGATCCTCCTACCTCAGCCTCCCACAGTGCTGGGATTACAGACATGAGCCAGTGCACCTGGCCGGCTCCAGTATGAGCAGCATTTTCACTAGCAGGCTTTTTGGGCCTGAATTTTTTTTTTTTTTTTTTTTTTTAAGACGTAGTCTCGCACTGTTGCCAGGCTGGAGTGCAGAGGCATGATCTCGGCTCACTGCAACCTCCGTCTCCCAGGTTCAAACGATTCTCCTGACTCAGCCTCCCGAGTAGCTGGGATTACAGGTGCCCACCACCACGCCCAGCTAATTTTTGTATTTTTAGTAGAGCCAGGGTTTCACCATGTTGGCCAGGCTGGTCTCAAACTCCTGACCTCGTGATCCGCCTGCCTCAGCCTCCCAAAGTGCTGCGATTACAGGTGTGAGCCACCGTGCCTGGTTTGGCTTGAATTTTTAATTTTTTTTATTTTTATTTTTGAGACAGGGTCTCACTCTGTTGCCCAGGCTGGATTGCAGTGGCACAATCACAGCTCACTGCAACCTCCGCCTTCCGGGTTCAAGCGATCCTCCCCCCTCAGCCTTCCTAGTAGCTGGGACTACTGGTGCACGCCACCACACCCAGCTAATTGTTGTATTTTTAGTAGAGACAGGGTTTCACCATATTGGCTAGGCTGGTCTCAAACACCTGACCTCAGGTGATCTGCCCACCTCGGCCTCCCTAAGTGCTGGGATTATAGGTGTGAGCCATTGCACCAGCCTGAGTTTTTAATTTTTAAAGGCTTTTCTACCTTTCCTGATCCTAATTTTTACACATCCATTAGATTGGAACCAGTGCTTTATGTCAGTTCTTTTTACATGCCTTGGTATTAGTTATCTATTGTTGCATAACATGTTACCTCAAAACTTAGTGGCTGAAAACAACAACATGCATTTACTGTCTCACAGTTTCTGTGGGCCAGGAATTTGGCAACCGCTTAGCTTAGTGGTTCTGCCTTAGGGTCTCTTGAAGTTGCATTTAAGATGTTACCTGGGGCTACATCATCCTAAGGCTTGACTGATGCTGGAGGATCTGCTTCCAGGGTACCTTCTCTCACTCATGCTGCTGGCAGGAGGCCTCGGTCCTTCACCATGTGGCCCTCTCCACAGGGCTGCTGGTGTGTCCTCACAACATGATGGGGGCTGGCTTTCTCCAGAGTAAGTGATCCAAGAAAGAGCAAGGTGGATATCTTTTATGCCCTACACTTGGAGTCATATGCAACCATTTCTGCACTATGTTATTGACTACGCCGTAAGCAGTAGTGGGGGCTTGAGCTCTAGGAGGCAGGGCTCACAGAGGGGTTGGGGGTCGTCTTGGAGGGTGGATACCTAAACATTCTTCGCTGAATCCTGAAAGCAAAAGAAAACTCTAAAAAGATGTTGGGGGGAGCACAGTGCAGTGCCTCATGCCTGTAATCCCAGCACTTTGGGAGGCCATGGCGGGCAGATCACTTGAGGTCAGGAGTTCGAGACCAGCCTGGCCCACATGGTGAAACCCCCATCTCTACTAAAAATACAAAAAGTAGCCAGGTGTGGTGGTGCATGCCTATAATCCCAGCTACTCAGGAGGCTAAGGTGGGAGAATCGCTTGAACCCAGGAGGCAGAGGTTGCAGTGAGCTGAGATCACGTCACTGCACTCCAGCCTGGGCCACAATGAGACTCTTATCTCAGAAAAAAAAAAAAAAAAAAAAAAAAAAAAAAGCCGTGTAGGGAGCAGGCAGGATGAAGGAGGGGAATGTAATCTGAAGACTCTAATTTGTAGAGTCTCCAATTACGTTGGCAATGTTTTAGTCAGCTGTGGGATTGTGGAAATTTGGTTTTCCATGTTTTTTTGGTATGTTTTAAATTTTTATTTATTTTTGAGACAGAATCTTACTGTTTCCCAGGCTGGAATGCAGTGGTGCAATCATAGGTCACTGCAGCCCTGAGCTCCAAGGCTGCAGTGATGCTTCCACCTCCACTTCCCAAGTAGCTGTGACTACAGGCACTTGCCACCATACCCAACTAATTTAAAAATAATTTCTTTTTTTTTTTTTTTCAAACACGATCTTTCTCTGTTGCCTAGGCTGGTCTCAAACTCCTGGCCTCAAGTGATCTTCCCACTTAGGCCTCCGAAAATGTTGGGATTATAGGCATGAGCCATGTGTCCAGCTTGTTTTTTGATATGTTAAGAATAAAGAAGTGGCCACTATTGAGTGCTTATCACATGTCAGATACCTTGCCAGTATGTTATTGTACAAAAGTATATCTAGTACTCCTCAGAATCACCTTATAAGGTAAATATAAATTATCTCTGCTTTATAGCTGGCTAACCTGAGCTTAAAAGTTGTAAGGTTTCAGTGAGATGATGCAGTCAGGAAGTAGGAGAATTGGGACCTGACCCTAATTGTGTGTGAGCATGCGCTTTTGTGTTTTTAGAACTCGTAACCATCATACCATACAGTTTCACCGTGAAGCTCGGAGACGTTAATGAGGAGTCATTGCTCTGTTAACCTCAGATGATGATGACACTTTCCTGGCTTCCCCGCAGAAGCCGTCTGTGGTGGCTGTCTTGTGAGGCGTGGTGGCTGTCTTGTGAGGCGAGGTGGCTGCAGGGCGCTTGTGACTCTGCTTTGACGAAGCAGTAAAGGACACTGTTAGCATTCATCCTAACTGGGGGCTCTGGAGTCATGGTGGGTGATGGGGTGCCAGGGGCAGAGGTGGGTGGGAGGGCAGCAGGCCCGTGAAGGAATGTGCTGTGTTTGAGGAGGTGAGAGGCAGATGTGTTGTGGATCCGAAGCCCTGTGCAGAAACTTCCACTGGTTGAAGAGCTGAGGCCCTTGGAGCTTGAAGAGTTGGGAGTGAGTGGGCTCATGGAGTGAGTCATGGCAGCAATCAGGGTAGGGCCTGCTGGGTTGGGAGGGGTGTGGCAGGAGTAGGCATATGCAGGGCTGGGGACAGGGACCCCACAGGGAACACTGGTGGAGTGCTGGGGGTCAGAGCCAGACCCAGAACTGCAGAAGGTGTCCTCAAGGTGGGAGGTCCCAGGCAGTTAGGCTGGGGGTGTCTGCAGGTTGTCTAGAGAGGTGGTGGGTGGGCATTGGTGGGTGTTGGTGTCCAGGCCAGGGTGAGGACAAGAGGGAGTGGAGCACATGACTCATCCAGGCAACAAGAGGGCAACAAGAGCCTCCCATGGTGGGGCCATGGGAGGCTATAAGAAGCCGTCTGTGGTGACTGTCTTGGGAGGAGGGGTTTGGGTTTGGGGGCAGAGGTTACCTGTATTGGCTGGGCAGGTGGTAGGTCCAGGTGGTAATGGTAACCAACCAACATTAACCTGATGGTTCCTTACCACTGCCAGGTGGAGTGTTACTGCCCCCGTTTCACAGAGTGGAGGCAGAGACAGTGCCTTCACTTGCCGAAGTCCACAGAACTACCCAGTAGAGGAGCCAGCATCAGAGCTGGTTGGTGCCGAGCCAGTCAGCAGACTTTCCAAAGGGCTGGTGAGCAGTGAGGGCTCTGTTCTGACTGCTCAGCTCTGCTGTTGTGGCAGGAAGACAGCCATGGGCAGCATGGGAACAAATGCATGGGGCTGACATCCAGTAAAACTTTGTGGGCACTGTTGTTTGAATTTCCTGTAATTTTTGTGTCATGAAATATTATGATGTTTTTCAGACATTGAACAGAAACAGGTGGTGGGTTACACCTGGCTGGCTGGCATTAGTGTGTCAGCCCTGTGCCCTGCTCTCGAGATCCGTGGCTCTCGGACTTGGGGACACATTAGCAACCCCTGGGAAACCTTTAACTCACTGAGGCCAGACCCGGTGGGTTGGGTTGATCTTGGGTGGGACCTAAGCACCATAGGATTTCAAACCCCCAGGTTATTACCAGGTGGAGCGAAGTCCCCAGGATCAGACTTCGGTGTGTCTGCGGATCATCCTAGAGACCTTGTGAAAGTGCAGATTCCTGGTAGGCAGGTTGGGGTGGGGCCCGGGAGTCTGCATTTCTAGCATGCTCCGGGTGCTGATGCTGGCAGCCCTGGTGTGGCTGGAGGGTAGGGAAGCCTCGTCTTTTGGCTGTGCAAGGTTGTCTCCGTGTGCTGGCCTGGGCTGTGACAGAAGCCAGCTCGCACTCCTTGGTGTGTGCCTTCACCCCTGCCCAGGGCCTGTACCTGAAAGACGAGGGTAGGTGCTGCCCAGTGAGGACACTGAGCTGAGCCCACCTCCATGTTCAGGGGCAGCGTTCCTGTGGCACTGGCTCTACAGCTAATTTTTCAGGGGTGCCTAGAGGCTGGGTCTTAAGTGAGTTAGTGGTTTTGGAAAAGTATATATATATTTTTATCATTTATCATTTCCAACATTTACAGAAGTAGAGTTGAATTGTTTTCACTGGCACTATTCTAATTTATGAGTTTTCATTGAGTCACAGCATCAGTTAAGCACTACTTTTCTTTGAAGCTTTTATGGACATAGTTCCACGATGTGGGAATAAAAATGCGACACACTAAGTTCTAAAGGGCCGTGCATTTGATTTCATGCAAAACAAAACCCAATGAGTTTTACGGATTTAACTTCTCATTGCACCTTCTCCCGTTCCCACAGGTGGTAGCTGAGCACCCAGATGCTTCAGGTGAGGAGATTGAAGAGCTGCTCAGGTCACAGTGGAGTCTGCTGAGTGAGAAGCAGAGAGCACGCTACAACACCAAGTTTGCCCTGGTGGCCCCTGTCCAGGCTGAAGAAGACTCTGGTAAACATAGCATTATGCTGATGTCCTCTGCTTGGGTTGATGTGTGTAGTGTAGCAAGCTGAGCTCTGATCTTGGAACCGTAGGGAAGTGTGTCCACTCTCCCTGTTTCTGACCCGTGGGGTTTGGGCCAGCGGTCCAAGTGCGTGTGGTCACAGTAAAAACAGCTTCTGCCATCTGCGTTTACTGGCTTATGAGAGCTATTCAATGTAGTGCCTTCTGGCCTGTGGCTCCCTTGCTCTCCTACCCAAGTTGAGCAGCCACTGTGGTCACTGCTGCTGATGGGGCTGTGTGAAGAGAGGACACAAGAAGGAAGGGGAGGGAAGGTCGTCTCTTGGATTCCAGGCTTACATGATGTGGTAGGGTCAGCCTTCAGGCCTGTGACTTCCGAGGAGGCAGCACTTTTCTTGCTTCTGAGAGCAATCCTCCTGGTTTCGGCTGTAGTCTGCACCTTACAGGGGTCCGGAGTGTGGGCAGCTCCTGGCTTGTTTGCCTGAGAGCTCATAGGGCAAGAAGGGTGACTGGACTGACCTTGAATTCAGGTATCCTTTGGTCCTTCCTAGGCCTTCGGCTTAAAAAAACCAAAAGTGCTAGTTTGCTTTGGGCAGTGGCAAGAGGAGGGAGAGCTGACATTGTAAGATTTGAAGATGTGTAACAGTGGTTAGATTTGTGATAAATATGTGCTTGGATGTAAATTGTGGAAAACTGAGATTTGAATGTAAAAATAACTGACATATTAGGGTATCAATTTAAAATTAAAAAAAAAAGTACTGTATATCTGAAGAGTCATCATTGAGGAGCTTTGGAGAGTCCAAACATAAAGTGTTTCAAGACTCACCTAAAGGGAAGTCGGGGCCCAGAAGCGAAAGGGTCTGGCCACATGTGCCTGCTGTCACCTTTCTCTTTCTCAGATGTTTTCATCTTGATTTAGGTGTTTCTAGATCTCTTCATCAGCTATCTCATTAATCTTGAATTTGTTCAACTTCCTCAGTGTTCATTGCAAATACTATAATTTAGAATAGCAAGGATATTTAGGACTTGTATATTTTCTTTAAAAGAAAATATACCTCACTCTATCAGTACACTAAATTTAGAGACGTGTTCCTTTTAAATGACTGGCTTATTTAAAAATGAGCCAGCTCTTCCTGAAGCCAGATTCAGCTTACCCTCGAAGTGTAAGCATAAATTTGATTGTGTTATATTTTGCTGAGTGCTTAGTGGATAGAAGTGACAGTTGAGTTTCTGCCCACAGTGTGTGTCAGGTGTATGCAGGTTCTTGGGTGTCCTTTAATCCTGACTTTCAGGTGACCCTGGTGCTAACAACTAGGATGGCGCACCACATCATTGTCACGCGCCCATGACCTCAGTGTTAGAAATCTACACAGATGTCTGGGCACGGTGGCTCACACCTGTAATCCCAGCACTTTGGGAGGCCAAGGTGGGTGGATCACTTGAGGCCAGGAATTCAAGACCAGCCTGGCCAACATGGTGAAACCCCATCTCTACTAAAAATACAAAAAAATTAGCCAGGCCTGGTGGTGCATGCCTGTAATCCCAGCTACTCGGGAGGCTGAGGCACGAGAATCTCTTGAACCCGGGAGGCAGAGGTTGCAGTGAGGCAAGATCACGCCACTGCACTCCAGCCTTGGCGCCAGAGCAAGAGTCAATCTCCAAAAAAAAAAAAAAAAAAAAATTCCAGCCCGGCGCAGTGGCTCCCGCCTGTAATCCCAGCACTTTGGGAGGCCGAGGTGGGCAGATCACCTGAGGTCGGGAGTTTGAGACCAGCCTGACCAGCATGGAGAAACCCCATCTCTACTAAAAATACAAAATTAGCCAGGCGTGGTGGCACATGCCTGTAATCCCAGCTACTTGGGAGGCTGAGGCAGGAGAATCGCTTGAACCTGGGAGGCGGAGATTGCAGTGAGCCGAGATCGTGCCATTGGATTCCAGCCAATGGAATGGCCAACAGGAGCGAAACTCCATCTCAAAAAAAATGAAAATCCATACAGATGCCCCTGTTGCTTGTTTCTGTAAGAAGCGGCTGCTGCCTCATCCTGGATGAATGGAGAGGTGCTCAGGAGGTGCTGTGTCGAGGATGTGCTGTGTCAAGGACCTCGCCTGTGGGAAAGCGAGGCGCGGGGCTGGCTTTGTGCTCACGAACGGGTGTTCTGAAGGCAGACCTGCCTGAGGGGGGCCTCGAGAGTTTGGCTGGCTGTGCCATGTGGTGCCTATGCTTGGCAGTGCCTGAGCAGGTCCTGCTGCCGAGCATTCCACGGGCTTCTTCCCCAGACTGCCTTTGCACCAGCCTGCAGTGGTGTGGCCAGGAGTGGGCTTCACGAGGGCTGCTTGCCTGGCCCCCATCACACCAGGCTGGAACTGCAGCTGGTGAGGGCCCCCACGCTTTGGCTGCTGACTCTTCTTGCGCATTGGGCTCAGGCCTAGACCTGAGGTGAGGCTCTGTGAATGCATTGGCAGCAGGGCACGGACACTTACTTGTACCTCTGCCTGAGGCCTTGCTGGACCCTGTGGAGCTGAGCACTCTTTTGCTGGTGTCTCCTGTCCCAACAGTAGTGAGGCTTGAGGGTGACAGCGTCCTTCAGGGCAACAGTGTCCTTCTGCAAGATGTTTTTTTTCTTTGAGTTGGAGTCTTGCTCTGTCGCCCAGGCGGCTGGAGTGCAGTGGCGCGATCTCGGCTCACTGCAAGCTCCGCCTGGCGGGTTCATGCCATTCTCCTACCTCAGCCTCCCGAGTAGCTGGGACTACAGGCGCCCGCCACCATGACCAGCTAATTTTTTTTTTTGTATTTTTAGTAGAGACGGGGTTTCACTCTGTTAGCCAGGATGGTCTCGATCTCCTGACCTCGTGATCCACCCACCTCGGCCTCCCAGAGTGCTGGGATTACAGGTGTGAGCCACCGCGCCCGGCCCTGCAAGATGTTTTATGAAGAGTCCATTAATAAAAACCCTGAACCCCTCCGTAAAGCAGTCATGCAAATGATAATATTGGATTTATATTTAAAATAAACATTGGCATGTTGAAATTAATCATCTCTGTAGAATTTGCACTTACACCTTACCGTCTTAGGTTGATATTGTTTGGATGCCTTAGGTCTTGGATTAACTGCTATTCCTGGGAACACCTAACACATGGAACAGCTGAGCAAACATGGAGGAAGCCCTTAATTTGCATATATAAATGTTGTGTTACTACTTAACATGTTTAAGGAAATGTTTAAAAAGTAGCAAGTTGTTTTTTTTTTTAAGTTCAACTTAAATTCCACAAGTCTTTGAATGTTAGTAAGGAAAAGATTTTTTTTTTGTTTTTCGTTTTTTTTTTAGACAGAGTTTCGTTCTTGTTGCCCAGGCTGGAGTGCAATGGCACAATCTCGGCTCACTGCAACCTCCACCTCCTGGGTTCAAGCGATTCTTCTGCCTCAGCCTCCTGTGTAGCTGAGATTACAGACATGTGCCACCATGCCTGGCTAATTTTGTATTTTTAGTAGAGATGGGGTTCCTCCATGTTGGTCAGGCTGGTCTCAAACTCCCGACCTCAGGTGATCCGCCCACCTCAGCCTCCCAAAGTATTGGGATTACAGGCATGAGCCACCATGCCCGGCCTAGGAAAAGATTTTTTTAAAATACTGGGCTATCAGGAGGCAGAGGTTGCAGTGAGCTGAGATTGTGCCATTACACTCCAGCCTGAGCTACAAGAGCGAAACTCCATCTCAAAAATAAATAAATAGATAAAATACTGGGTTATATTTAAATTTAATGCTTTAATACATTAAATTATAATTATAAGGCCAGGCGCGGTGGCTCACGCCTGTAATCCCAGCACTTTGGGAGGCCGAGGCAGGCGGATCACGAGGACAGGAGTTCGAGACCAGCCTGACCAACATGGTGAAAACCCATCTTTACTAAAAATATAAAAATTAGCTGGGCGTGGTGGCACGTGCCTGTAATCCCAGCTACTCAGGAGGCTGAGGCAGGAGGATGGCTTGAACCCACGAGGCGGAGGTTGCAGTGAGCTGAGATTGTGCCACTGCCCTCCAGCCTGGGTGACAGAGCGAGACTCCATCTTAAAAAAAAAAAAAAAAAAAAAAAAAAAAAAAATATATATATATATATATATATATATATATAAAAAACAGATAAAACAGATGCTAATATAATCCCTAAGGTTAGATATAGTCACCAGTTTTTTTGTTGTAAAGAGATTTGATCTGTAAGACATAAGCCCTGGAAATCAGCAGGGTTACAGGAAACCCATCATGGGCTGGATCTGTATGTTGAATGCCCTGGGTAGGTTCTCACAGTGCTTCAAATGCAGCTTTTGGAGTGGTTTTCATGTACATTTTCCCCATTCCCCATTCCAAGGTAATGTAAATGGGAAAAAAAGAAACCACACAAAGAGGATACAGGACCCTACAGAAGATGCTGAAGCTGAGGACACACCCAGGAAAAGACTCAGGACGGACAAGCACAGTCTTCGGAAGGTAATTGTGTTCCAGGTTTGCTTGACCTGTCAGAGTGTATGCTCTGTGACTCTTGGTGCCACTGTTTCCCTGCATGGGAGCACACATGAGATGCAGGTGTCAGTGCACCCAGCTCCTTCCAGGCTGGTATTCAGCAGAAGGCTTGCATTTCTTACAGAACCCCATTGAGAAAGGCTGCTTGCAGGTTCTTACCCTCCAGGGGTGTTATCACAGAAACCGATGGTGTGTTGCTCTGCAAGAAAACAGACATCCAAATGCTTTGAGTAATACTTGTTTTTTAGATTGGACAAAATTGTCACTAAAAATAACCTCTTTGGCCGGGTGTGGTGGCTTACGTCTCTAATCCCAGCACTTTGGGAGGCCGAGGCAGGTGGATTGCTTGAGGTCAGGAGTTCGAGACCAGCCTGGCCAAGATGGTAATACCCCGTCTCTACTAAAAATACAAAAAATTAGCTGGGCATGGTGGCGTGCACCTGTAATCCCAGCTACTCAAGAGGCTGAGGCAGGAGAATTGCTTGAACCTGACAGGCAGAGGTTGCTGTGAGCTGAGATCATGCCACTGCACTCCAGCCTGGGCGACACAGCAAGATTCTGTCTCAAAAAAAAACAAACAAAAAAACCCCCAAACACCATAACCTCTCTATAGGGCTTATTATTCAGGATGTAAGTAATGAACTGGCATCAAAGTCCATTAGAGATATGTGTTACATGTCAATAAAAAGTCAACAGTTCATTAAAGGCAATGAACCTAGATTTTATTTAGTTTATTAGTAATTCATGTTATTGTTTACTGAATGGGAATACTAAACAGGCTGTGCAGGAAAAGTGCAGCATAGATACAAAGCCAGCCCCGGGTCCTTGTGCTCCTCGCTTACTGCCAGCATGTGTCCAGGGACAGAGTTTGCCTGGTACCTGCAGGGGAGTGAAACCAACCAAGGAAACACCGGGTTATTCTGTCTAGCGTATGGTGCCCATGCATGTAGAAGACGTGAGCCCTTTTCCTAGTGTATGAAGTGGTGCCATTCATTTCAACTGTCTCAGATGTCCGGTTAACTTTTTCATGAACTGAGACTTTAATTAGACTTTGTACTTTGTTTGAATTTCTATTTTATTCGATAATAGTTCTGGCCGGGTGTGGTAGCTCACACCTGTAATCCCAGCACTTTGGGAGGCTGAGGCAGGTGGATCACCTGAGGTCAGGAGATCAAGACCAGTCTGGCCAACATGGTGAAACCCCATCTCTACTAATAATACAAAAATTAGTCGGGTGTGGTGGTGCATGCCTGTAATCTCAGCTACTCGGGATGAGGCAGGAGAATCACTTGAACCTGGGAGGCGGAGGTTGCAGTGAGCTGAGATTGCGCCACTGCACTCCAGCCTGGGTGACAGAAGGAGACTCCATCTCAAAAAAAAAAAAAAAAAAAAAAGTTCTGACAGAGTAGTTGTATATTTGTGATTTTGAGTAAAGCTTCATCCTGTTTTTCACTGATCTGAGTTAAAATGCTCTTTTTATTTCAAAGAATGGAAAATACATCTCACATATTGCTAAGGTGTAAATATGTGGACACCATATCATTTACCTTATTTCTTTAAACTTGTATTTGTAGTTGAGAGGAGCAGGCAGGCCCTGCGCCATTTTTCTGGCCCACAGAACATTCTTCTGGGGCACCTGCCATAGGTGAGGTTGTTGAGTGATCAAGTGTTCAGCAGTAAGCTAGGTCAGATTCACCTGTAGTCACTAAGGTTTGTAGTTACCAGGAAGCCTGCACTTAACATTTGCTCTGGTCACCTAATTTTTTTTTTTTTTGAGAGGGAGTCTCACTTCGTCACCCAGGCTGGAGTGCAGTGGTGCAATCTTCACTCACTGCAACCTCCGCCTCCTCGATTCAAGTGATTCTCCTGCCTCAGACTCCCGAGTAGCTGGGATTACAGGTGCGTGCCACCATGTCCAGCTAATTTTTTTGTATTTTTAGTAGAGATGGGGTTTCACCATGTTGGCCAGGCTGGTCTCAAACTCCTGACCTCAAGTGATCCGCCCACCTCCACCTCCCAAAGTGCTGGGATTACAGGTGTGAGCCACTGCGGCTGGCCAGGTTACCTTCTATTAAAGCAGCCCTTTGCTGGCAATCATACTGAAACTGGTTGTTTTGAAATATTTGTGTAAATGTTATACCTAAAAAATACATGACCCTAGACACTCAGAATACCAAAATTCACATTAAGTGGCTAGTAATGTTTTATTAGCTCCTATCTCAGGAGATAGCACATGATAAAAAGAAGTAATGGTGTCTTGTCTCTTCAGATTTGGGTTTTATAAACCTGAGCCAAACCACATATGACACCCAATGTGCACTGAGCACTTCTGACATGCTAGGCACTGTCCCAAGTGCATTCTCCTGTCGCCTTGTCCATGATCCTCTGGATTCCACCTCACCGCATCCTGTCTCACTGGCTCTGGTTCCAGGCAGGTGGGTGAGATGGAGTATGAGTGCAGGAGTGGCAAGTCATTCCCTGGGCAGCGCTGCTCTAGTGCTATGGGGACAGGACAGTTTTCAGCCACACCTTTCAGAATCTCAGCCCTTGAGAAAAGCTTCATGATCCCTTCTCCCATTTCTTGCTTTTCTCAGTTGTGACATGTTTTACTGATGATCTTTGTTCATTAGGTGTATCTGGTGTTTGTCTAAAAATTGGAAATCCTCAGTATAGTGATACTAGTAATGTTGGTCCTGACTTAGCAGGGCTGAGTCTAACTTGATTGGGCACCTCTTGAATGGAAGGATCCATTTTTCTCATGTTCATCCTCTGCTTTGGGTTCAGTGGAGAGTCTAGGTGCATGTTCAATAAGACTCGTATCAGGTGTCTTAACCACATGACTGCAGCGGGTCTTGGCGTGGCCCCACCCACCTCGCCCTCCTGACAGATGCGAGAGCGGGAGGTGCGAAGAAAGAATCAGTCCAGATTGTGAAAAAAGTCTGAGATTGGGCAACCATGGATGACTTATGTGTGGAACACATTTCCAAAGGAAGAAGTTTCTGCCACGAAACTTTTCAGCAACCTGTGTTCATTCACATGAGGAGATTTTTTTTCCTTTCTTTTCCTTTTGTTGTTCTTTTTCTTTTTTTTTCCTTTTTTTCTTTTCTTTTTTTTTTCTTTCTTTTTTTTTTTTTTTTTTTTTTTTTAAATAATAGAGAGACACAATCACTGACAAAACGGCCAGAACAAGCTCTTACAAGGCCATGGAGGCAGCCTCCTCGCTCAAGAGCCAGGCAGGTAATGTGGTCAGCGCCCTTTCCTTCTTGGCTTCTGGGTGCCCAGGCTGGGCTGGGTGGGTGGGCTGAGAGTGTGAAAGGGGAAGGCTGGGGCTGGTGAAGGGGAACAGGGCAGGGGAGGAATCCACAATTAAGCTAGGAGTGAAAAAGAAGGAAAGGAGGTTCTCCTGTGGTTGAAAACTAAACTGTTTTAATGTGTATGTTATTTTGAAGGGTTTGGCTAAATTTTATTGAAGTTACTTTTTACTTGGCTCTATTATTTGCAATTTAAAATTTTACTAGAAAAGTGATTTCAACCAGAAGTTTTCAGGTTTCTTACTTGATGGTGCCAGTTGCTACTGTAAATTCTGTCACCCTTCAGTACCCTGACCCTCTGCATGTAAGCTAACAGTAAGGGCTCGTTATTTATATTTCACATGCTAAAGAAACTAGCTTAAAACCTTTATGAAAAATAATTGTCAAAAAAATAAGAGGGGAAATTACACTTCCTTTTACCTTTTAGTTATCTTTTTGAAATACCTGTTTGATCCCTTATTGAAGAAGTCATACCTTCTCCAACTCTTAATTAAAAGGAAAACAAAACCCTGGGGAGGAGAGTGGCAATGGCTCTGTTTTTCTTGTTTTGCATGAGGTGCTTGACTGGCTTTTAAAAATCAGTTAAACAGACTTTAAAAAAAAAAAAAGACATGAGCAATTGGACATTTGAACGCTAGCTGATGATATAAGAGCATTGTTACTTTTAAGTGTGGGAGTAGCATTGTGGTTATATGTAAGACTTTATGTTTAGAGATTTGTGCTAAACTTCTTATGGATGAAATGATATGTCTGGGATTTGCTTCAGAATAATCTGGCAGGGGGACGTGGAACCAGGTATGGATAGAGCCACGCTGGCCCCAGGTTGATGTTTTTGGGGGCCAAGTAGCGAGGACATGGGGTTCATTGTACAGTTTGTCTGCTTTTGTTTATGTTCAGATTTTTCCATGATAGAAAGTTAAGCCAGAAGGACAAAGGAATTCAGAAGATTCATCTTTAGAACTTCACTTATTTGAGGGGTAATTTTTAAGCAGTAAAAAGATCAAGGGTTTATGATTTGAAACTTTACAAACCAAAATTATTTTACAGCAACGAAAAATCTGTCTGATGCATGTAAACCACTGAAGAAGCGAAATCGGGCTTCCACGGCAGCATCTTCAGCTCTTGGGTTTAGCAAAAGTTCATCTCCTTCTGCATCCTTAACTGAGAATGAGGTAAAATAATAATAATAACGATAACCATGGCATTGGTATGAAGGCCATTTAGCTGCCCACGCTGCAGTGTGAGTAATGCTCAGACTTCATAAGCGCAGCATTGGTGCTCACTGCCAGTGCAGATGTTTTAGGGCCTCTTGGCTAACTCAGATTCATGAAATGGACAAACAGTGCACTATGTTAGTTTATTTGAGCACTTTTTATACACACGCACACAGTGTCTGTGTACATGTACAGATATACTTCAGTCTTGATGCAGTTTCATAGTTCTTAAAATCTGTCTGAAGAATGTTGTGTTCTGTGTAGCCCTCACACTGTAAGAGTTCACATGGAAGTAAGTCTGCGTTGGTTCTGAAAGGGCACAGTGTCAGTTGAGCTGACATATACTGGGTGGGGTGGAAGGCGACTCACACACCACACCTGATTCCTGTTGCTTCCAGACCTAGGCTCATGGAGGAAGCCAAAGATTTCTTTGTTCTCATGCATTTCATGGCTTTGGTCCTTTAAATTCTGGCACATTTTTAGTTACTTGAGTGTTGAGGTGAGTCAGAACTACCATTGTAATATGACTCCTGTGTTCTGGACTTGCAGAGTACATGATAGCAAAATAAAGCCATTTGGGGCTGCTGCCTGCCATCATTGTAACATGACACTTAGACTTTATTATCAAACCTAAATTTTTTGCCGTTGCCAAAAACAACAAATAGCCACAGAACGTAGGTGTGACACTTTTTTGTTCGGAGGTAGTTTTGGTTTCCTGATTTTTAGGGATTACCTTCATAGAGCTTTGGAGTTTTAATTTCTTGTTATTTGGTTCTCCGTGATGCTGTTTTTCTCATTGTAGACATGGGTCCTGTTTTTGTCATGTTTATGAGGAGATGATAACTGGGGGCCCTTTTGGAACAGGGTAGTGAGGCAAGGGTTGGACAGGCCCCTTACTCTTGCTGAGTCAGAAGGCGGCACTTCTGGCCAGGTCTCTGCCATGGTCCCCAGGAAGGATGGGGTGTGCCTCAGTTGTTTCCACTCATTAGAGGAGTGTAGGCCTTCCAGTGCAGGAAGGTCAGGGACCTAGGCAACCTGGGCGGGGCTCATAGAGCTCTGCGGCTTGCCACTCTGAATCCTCAGCGACCACTCCTCCGAGTGGGATTTTCTGCAGGGACTCAAACCAACTCAGTGGTGGTCGAGACCTGTTCACGGATGGTGGGACTGGGGCTGCTTTACAGTTTGATACGTGTAGATAATTAAGCATTTTGTGATGTTTGGACACACTGGAGAAAAGGCAGTAAGAATTATTTACTGAAACATCTAGGAGCTTACTGAAATATGAAAAGGCAAATTTTATACAAATTATTTTTCCTTTTTCCTTTCTTTCTTGTCCAAGTTCAGGTTAAAATCTTAGAAAATTAAATGAAAGGTCATTTACAGTTCCAAAGAAGAATATTAAACATTTTTCACTTAAGTTGAGATTTTTGCTTTAAAGAGCTTTTAATGAGTTTTTCTGTTATCATAATTTTGGTCCGGTTATTCACTTGAGTTGTTGCTTATACTGTTGTCAGGTACAGTAGAGAGAACATGGAGCCTGCTGAGATCTTCTCTGTTATTCCTGATCCTAAGTCATGTATATCGAAGGCTTTGATTTAGAGTAATGCATGAGGCCAGTGTAGCGGGGTCGAGGCCTGCCCATGAGTCAGGGGAGCTCAGTCTCCCTGGCCTAGGCAGTTGTCCTGACCTTGAGAAGACATAGATGAAGCATTTTATCATCATTAGACTTAAATTTTAATTCTTCAGAATGTCAGAAGTTGATAGGTTGTTAAATACATTTATATAATACATTAAATATGTGAAATTAATACACCTTCCTACATTTTGAAGGTGATGCATAGATCCCATAGTGTGCATCATGTTCCTTATATGAAAACGTTTAAATTACTGGGTCTTTTCCATTAAACTACTTTTGTATGGCTTAGATAAATCTTCCATTAGTGTTCATTTTTATAGAATTATGCTGTTAAAACTACTTTAGGTGAACAAATAAACTTGTCTATTATATATTAACGCGACTGAACTACAGTAAATGTTTGTGATGTTTCCAATGCTGAATGCCTGTTAGCATATGAGGCAAAGTGTAGTGTTATAAAAAACAGCCTGTTGACTGCTGGGCCCGATTCTGATATGAGTTAGGTGACCATGAGAATTGCTGTTTGAGGTCCACACTGACACACACCCATTGGGTCACACCCCCTTTGCATGTTTGTATTTCCTCCCTTTCATCACATTTGTTTGAAATAAGGTACTTTTATAGGGTTGGTATTTCAGAACACTTTAGGTCATGTTGTAGTTTAAATTCTTCTTGAAAAAGGTATATGTGATAAATAAAAATTTTTATTGGAATAATTATTACATGGTACTACATCACCCTGAGGAAGAGAATAAATTAAAATTACACACTTGCATGACAAAGGCCTGTGAAGGAATTAATGTGATTTAAGTGTTTTGTAACTTCATTTTTTATTCCTTTAGTAGAGCAAATTCTTATTTTTTTCGCCTTCACTGGTAACAGCTTTTGTGGGAGCCCACACCAGTCAAGTTGGATTTGAACCCAGCTGCTCTGTACTGCACTTAGAATGATGTAATATTCCAGGATGCTGCTGCAGGTGGCGTATCATCGTACACACTCAGTGACATTTCTATCACAATCATTTTATGGAAGATGTGTGATAATCTGTTTTTACTGGTATTAATAAACACATACAATGAAGAAAACAGATAACAAATTTTAAGACCAAGGTAAGATAACTAATCAAGGCCATTTAATCCGTCACATTCATCTCATAATAGAAACACGTTCATATTCCAGTGGTCAATGTAGATTTCAAGTTGAAAGGCAGTCCCTTTAGTTGGGGGCTGTCCAGAGCTGCAGCAGGGCTTTGCACGGAAGGGGTGGCCCTGTTAGAGTTGCTTCTCCTCTAGTTTGTAACTTACTGGACTTTTGTGGAAAATATCAGCGTCGCTACCCTCAGAAACAAACTAACAGCACACGTTAGGAGGAGTCCTCATCAGCTGTTCTCATTGCCAGTGAGATATATTCAGTATTGTAGATACTACACTAATTTCCAACATAAGAGGCAGGAAGAGTTTTGATTCTATCCTTTTTTACTAAACAGTTTTATTATGACACTAGATACAGTAAATTTTTAGAAAAAAATACCATTTACAGTATTATTGTGAACCATTTAACCCTTTTGATCCAAGGCCCCGGACCAAGGGGATACTGTAATCAGGTTATGTACACCAACCTCTGCATCAGTTGCTTCTATAGAGCATCAGCCCTCATGTTTCATTGTCTTAATGTCGGGGAGCAGCCTGGTGTCCTGCCCCAGGTGTCCGCATTTTTGCATGGTAAGGAAAAGGCTTACTTGCCCTTCAGCTCATAAAAGCAGAAGGTGTGCTATTCACAGTACCATGCGAGTAGCCCACAGTTAATTCCCGGCAGATTCTTTGGCTGTGTTTTATCTTTAATGAACGTTTCTGACTAATATTTTGTTGTAAACCATTAAGTAATGTAACGCATGTAAGATGCTTAGGGTGCCTGGCCAGGACTCCGTGGTTTCCTGTTGTGACAGTAATAATGGTTATAATAATAAAAATGATAAAATTGCCATCATTCTATTTTTATCCAAAAGTATAAATTTTGCTTTGGCATGAAAAGTGGTCCTCTTGACTGCATTATGCATGCGAGGATGAAATAAACCTAGAAGTGGCAGAACACTGGATTTGTGTGTGTGGCGCTTTAGGGTGCTGGACTGTATGGCTGAGGGCTGGTTGGGTTCCTCTATTGGCTCTGCTCAAATGTTGCAGGATACATAGCCCCAAAGATGGTCTAGGAGCAATCTAAGCTGTGTTACTCCAAAGGACATGAAAAAGCTCAAGAGTAAAATTAAAATTCTCAAAAAAAAACCCCACGAAATTTAAAGATGGGGAAAAAAAGATGGTATAAAAATGGCTCTGGTTCAATAAGCAGTCACCCAAAGTAAAGACTCTATCTTGAAAGGCTTTTGGTGAAAATGAAGGGATTTCATTTGAAATTACAGCATGATGAATTTTGCATGGGTGGCCAGCCAGCTAGCCCATAACTGATAGATGCATTAGAAGTCAGCCAGCGCATAGGTGCTCCCTCTATATTATGGAGAAAGCAAAACCCTGCAAATGACCAAATGGTGTCCAAAGAGCAGCATGACATTGGCATCAGCTGAATAACCAGGGGCACATGGGGGAACGTGGATGGGAATGATAGTGTATCTCAGCGGGGGGTGGGGTGACATCGTTCCCTGGGGACATTGGGAAGGTGGGCAGGGGCAAGTGAACTCAGCACTCTGCAGTGAGAGGGACAGTCCCATGTGTGGCAGCATTGTCCCACTTCAGATGCCAGGAGTGGGCTCATCCTAGAGGAGCGGAGTTTTCCGAGAGGACCATCTCCTGGTTTCCTGAAGGAGGTGGGTGGAAACGGCTCTTGTTTGAAAGAACTTAGGGAGGACCATTGGCTTGCCAAGAGTACAGAAATTCATTATGCTGCTAATTTAACGTGGAATTCCTTCATTTCATAAGAACCTCAAAATAATGGTGATACATTCTAGCCTTAAGACATTTGAATTGCCGGTTGTTGAGGTGAATTTTGTTTGTCATACATGGAACCATTTTAGTCCCATTTGACTCACTTCAGACCATCTTCCACACACTATGTCTGTGCTTGGAGAGGGGAGGTGGCTCTCCAGTGTAAAACTTGAGGCATTCACTAGAGGTGAAAACTTGTCAGAATATATAAAAGCTTAGATTGTAGCTGTTCTAAAAACGTAAGTACTCCATTGTAATAGGGTGGCATCTTCAGGTAGTGCACATATTGGCAATAGAGGTCCTGAATTGTTTTTCTAAGACTGATCTGAGAGCCATTGGGCCATCAAGCCTTTATATATCTGCTTCTAAAATTGCCCCACCTGCTCTAGATGGATCTTTGGGCCTTTCCTCAGTGTTCATGCAAAAATTAAATGTCTTTTTTCAGCATACTGACTCCAGGTGTAGTTACATCTCAGTGCTGTCTTGAGTATATATTTTATCTCTTATACCTGTATCTCCCAACTAGAAACAGCTCCAGTGTTTTTAAGAGAATGTTTCTTAAAACCAATAGGAAACTTAAGCGAGGTTTCATGACACAACCTTTCATGTCGTGAAAGGCAGAGGGTGACTGTGTGTGATGTGCAGAGTCCTTGGACAGGAGTCGGGGGCTCCTCTGTCCCACTGCTGCTTCTTGAGTGGGTGGAGTGGTGCTTAGAGGATCTCCGAGAGGTCCCCGCAGCTCTAGGGAGATCTGATTTTGTGTTTTTTGTTTAAGTACTTCACACAGAAGCCTAGGTAGATTTAAAATGGGGTGCTCAGGGACTGGGGAACAAGACGGGGTGGGGTGGGGAGATGGGCATTTGGAGAGTCTCATGTAGCTGGAGACGTTAAGAGCTGAGCACACCACAGGAAAGGAGGGAGGATGCTGTGTGAGAGCCATGCTGTCAGGAGCAAGCTTGCTGCTCCTGTGCTGCCCTGGCCCTGGCCTTGCTTGCCCATGGTGTGTGTGTCCAGAGGTGTGTGTGAGGCTGCCAGAACAAGTGCTGGGTCTGTCACAGAGAAGTTTAAAAAAGAAAACTAAGATTATAAATTAGCATCTAGTTCCAAAACCAAAAAAAGTGCCTGTGGATGTATATAAAATTAAGATGATAAGAAAGTGCTCCTGAGAAGGCTCTTGCCAGAAGCCTGATGTGAGTGTGTGGCACCTGTGATGGCAGGGCTGTGAGCTGGGCTTCTGTCCTCCTCTGTGTCCCGGCATGGAAGCCAGTATAAGCATTTCCAAATGAGGGAAAAGTCCTTGGCTCGTTTGATCCAGTTGAGTTGAAAGGGTTGCCTTGGCAGCAGAGGCTCCTCTGATGGCTGACATCAGTCACTGCGTCTGGGCCTGAGACGTGCATGGAGGGCTGTAAAGCCACGGATTCCCCTCGCTGGAGAGGCTCCTGTCTGATAGCGGTAGATGAAAAATAAGGTCGTTATGACTTTGGCAACTTGCTTCATTTCTTTTTCATTTGACTTACAACACACTTCTCTAACATCTAGCCCTTTTAAATTTTTAATTAATTTCAAAGCTTCCTCTGGCCAGGTAGACTTTTGTATACAGACCAGGTGAGAGCCCTTTTGCCTTAGTGTGAAAATGTAACATTTTATGCTTTTAAAATCAATAGATTCATCACCTTAGTTTTTTAAAAAAAATCTATAAATAGGGTAATTGCTGAGGTGTGCGGTTTATCTTTGAGATGATAAAGCTAAATTATAGTCTTTTGCCAGAGAAACTGAGGTAACTGTCATTAGAAAAGGTTTCTTAAAATACTCACAAAGCTGTTATTGGCTTCTTAACTTCTAAAATTTGGGGGGTCTTGCATTTATTTATTATTTATTTATTTATTTATTTAGAGACAGAGTCTCACCCTGTTGGCCAGGCTGGAGTGCAGTAAGTGGCACAATCTCGGCTCACTGCAACCTCCGCCTCCTTGGTTCCAGCAATTCTTCTGCCTCAGCCTCCCGAGTAGCTGGGACTACAAGCGGCTGCCACCACACCTGGCTATTTTTTTTTGTATTTTTAGTAGAGACAGGGTTTCGCCATATTGGCCAGGCTGGTCTTGAACTCCTGACCTCGTGATCCACCCGCCTCACCCTCCCAAAATGCTGGGATTACAGGCGTAAGCCACTGCACCTGGCGGGGTCTTGCTTATTTTAAAAGAAATATTCTGATTCATATTTTAGGACTTTTTGTCAACGAAATTGGTTTTGATCCCTTTGGGTACCATTTTTATTGTTTTATGTAGAATGTTAGAAATTACCACTAATTTACCTGGCAGTGATGTCAAATTGACTGTAATTAGCAGGTAGAAAATTATTTGTATTATATTCATCTGATTCCTATACTGGATGAGCAAGGAGCATGCTTCCTTTGGGACATTCTTACAGCAGGGTGTCTCTCCAACAGCCCGACAGGCCTCATCTTTTTGGTTGGATACCTTTGAACTCCATGGTTACGTGTTAGGTCCACATTTGTGTTTTTTTCTAGCCTACCTATAGTTGTTGGCCTTTTTGCATATAACTCTCGGGTAATATTTTGAAGCATGCTGACCATCCAGGCATATAGTATTTTCAAGAAATGACTGAGGTAGGGGTGGGGGTCCTGGTCCGGCTGATGGGGGTTTGCTCAGCACTGTGCCAGTGGAAGCAGGTGTATTGTGGGCAGTTTTGTCATTGTCCTCAAGTCCTTCGCAGACAGTGCACAGCCTGCTGTCTGCAGTCGGCCAGACCAGGCTCCTCCCCAGCACACTCCCTGTGGGATGGCCGCTGCTCAGGACACAGTGGGACAAAGTTGGGTTGATAGGATATTTTAGATTCATTTTACCTTTGACAAGGGCAGGCCTTGAATTGGGAGCAGCAGCCACCTGGCCTCACTCTGGCCACAGGTGACACTTGGTCCTTGCTGCCACCTGCTTGGGGCTATGTGGCTACGGCTACACAAAAGCCTGTGCAGGTTAGAAGACGACTGTGGTGTGCAGTGGTGCTCTGGGAGTGGAGACTTCCTCTGTTCTCAGAGACTCACCCCCAGCCCTGACCCTAGAATTTAGGGATAGCCAGGAAGTTTCTAGTTTGTGTAACCTAGAAGGGTCACTTTAATAAAAATTGTTATGAACTATAGTATTTTAGATGATGAGTGACTTATTTTAATTCCACTTTAACATTTTACTGTGCTGTTAACTTGGAAGACCTGTTTGAAATTAGTCTTGATTTCACACTCATTTAATCTGCTGAGCACAGGGCTGTTGTCATTTGTAAACGCAAACACTGTGGAGGTACTTCTCGCCATCAGCTTCCTTCTTTACAAAACCATCATTTCAACATGAAAATTATGTCAGTTTATAGAAATATTTATTGTTCAAGGTCTGTAATTGTATTTCAAAAACGATGTCGTATTCAAGTTGTGAAGGGATTTGTTTTGTCAAAAAATTAAAAACTCAATGTGTATGACGCCACTCTGAAGAGTAGGTGAGCGCTTTGCAGTCACAGAAGGTGGCATCTGACTGCGGCTCATACAGGTCACCCTGAAGGGCCACGTGCTTTTAGCAGTTGGCTGGAATGTGTTCACTAGGTTCCGTTATGTTTGGTAATATCATCTTGAAAAGTCCCTGTAATAGATCAAGGAGACTGCATTCCCTGCCCTGAAGGAATGTATTTCTAAGGCAAATAGGCAACTTGGTACTATCTTATTCTGAGTAGAGAGTGGAGAAAGTATTTTCAGACTGAAGAAAACTTTGAAAAGTCAGGAGCTAAGCTGCTCGGAGCTCAGTGCCGCAGCATGGCTGTGGTGGACGCGGGAAACAACGGGAAAGTTCTTGACAGAGTCTGTGTCCGCTCAGTCCCTGCACTTTTCCTTTCCAAATGCATCTCGTTGGATATGGAATAGATCGTAGATGTTGTAGACTGAGATTTGGGACTATGTTGGGACCGTACAGGTGAATGTGCCACCTCCACAAATGGCTTCTCCGAGTGAGTCACGTCACCTGGTGCGTGGAGGTGGAGCCTGCGGCTGGAGTAAGGCTTGCTGTGGGACGCCCTCGTACTTTGCTCTCCTTGCGGGTGGTTGCCGAGCCGAGAGCATTGGATCCTCCCCGACTGTGGCTAGTTGTCTGTCCGGTGGCTGGGAGGGGGTGTGGTGGGAAAAAGTCGGAATCTCTGCAATCTGTGTCATGGACTGTACTATTGTAAGGTCTATATTCTGTATGTGGGTCCCAGACCCTGATCAGGAAATGAGCCTCATGTGTGTCGTTAACATTTATATATTTCCATTCAAAATATGTATTCAGTGTTTATTTCCTCAAAACAGACTTTGTTAATGTAGGAAATCTCTCCAAGTGGAAACGTGCTAACTTTTTCTGTAAATCTGAAATAAAAGGTGCTGTTCCTTCCTCTGACCCAGGACTGCTTTGTGTTTTCTGTCTTTCTCTCCATGCATTTTTTTTCTCATTTTTAAAGCTTTTTAAGTTTGTTCCACCACGTTAAGGGAAGAGCATGGGTTGGTGGATAGCGCTGGGGCTCTCTCCCCTGAGCCATGCAGAAGGCCCCTTTCTCTGGGCCTTGGTTCCCCCATCAGATGGGTCAGCTTGGGCGACTGTGTGGGTGACTCTCTGAGTGGGGCCCCAGACAGTGTGGCCACTGCTTCCCCATGCCCTGTGCTCCCCTGGCTCCCCCTCCAGTCTCATCTCAGAAGTGCTCAGGTCTCCACTGCTGAGTCCATATCTGATGCGCTTGTTAAATTGGAGGTTTGAACTCAGAGCACGTCAAGTGGCCCTTTGTGGGTGTTAAAGAACAGGATGTGCGCTGTGGCTCTTGCAGGGCCCTCCTGGCAGCCTCACAGTGACAGAGCCTTAAAGTGTGCACTGCTCTGATTAGTGTTCATGACGCTAGTCCATCTTCCTGGAAAAGGTGAGGAAACCAAGATTAAGAGGCTGCGTTTTCTTTAGACTTTGTGCTGTCAGGAGATGTATCTAGTGAGAAGAGAAGAGTGGCTCACATCTGTCACCACCCACAGTCACCAGTCAGAGGCGACGGAAGCCCTTGGAAAAAGCCCACTCTGGCTGGGTGCGGTGGCTCATGCCTGTAATCCCAGCACTTTGGGAGGCCAAGGCGGGTGGATCACGAGGTCAGGAGTTCAAGACCAGCCTGGCCAACATGGTGAAACCCCATCTCTACTAAAAATACAAAAAATTTAGCCGGACTTGTTGGCAGGTGCCTGTAATACCCAGCTACTCAGGAGACTGAGGCAGGAGAATCACTTGAACCCAGGAGGCGGAGTTTGCAGTGAGCTGAGATTGTACCACTGCACTCCAGCCTGGGCGACAGAGCAAGACTCTGTCTCGAGAAAAAAAAAAAAAAAGCCCACTCTAACACTACTCTGAAGTCAGCAAACACTTCTGTGTTAGTTTTTAATTTGTTTTTCTTCCACCGCTCCCTGCAATGTCAGCTAAATGTGGAAAAGCTCACTGATAAGGTCACAGGATTGGTCAAGAGTCCCTGGTGGGGTTGGCTTTTATTTTTTAATATGGCCCAATTCCAATTTCTGACTTCGTGTTCATTGGCAAACAGCAAGCCGATAACATAATTACTTGTTTTTGTGATGATTGAGGTGTACAGGAAATGTAGTTTATGCTTTTGCTCTGTTTCATCTCCAAAATTCAGTGTTCAACACTTATTTACCTAACATCAAATAAAAACCAAATTTTTTAAACACTTGATTTGACAGACAAGAAGATTCTCTATTTTATTCATTTAAATATTTGTTGATGTTGCTTGTCAGGTGAGGGTGAAATGCTGTGTATGTGAGGGTGAGGCTGAGGCTGTATTCAGCCTGGTCTTCAGTGATTTCTATTAAATGAAGGGGAGAGAGAGGCAGAAGAGATACAACCTGCGAGCAATTCCACTCGCTCAGGGATTCCATGCCTTTATCCCAGGCCTTTTACCTAGACTCAGATGTGAATCAAGTAGGTAGATTTTACCTTGCCTTTGCCCACCTCACTTCTCTGGTGGGGAGAACAAGTGAACTGTGAAATATCAGGACAAATAGGCAATGGGAGGAAGAAGAGAAACCGAACGGTCAGCCTGTGGTGTGAGTCCGGAAGACTCTCCTGACTCTGCACCCCCGCGTAGGCACATACTTCTGAAAGGACGCATGGTCTCCACCCCGGCGGCAGCTGGACTGCACGGTCACCTGATGAGGCTGACACTTACTTCATCTGTGGTTCCTTTACACATTCGTTTGGTGTTAGCATGTTTCTCCCACCTTAGAGTAGTAGAACCTGAACAGACTAGGTAAGAAGGGCCAAGATTCTTGTTCCAAAAAGCCTGTCTTAGTTCACCTACTAGAGCAAATTGGATGTTCATAACACTTCCTTCATTTTAAGGAATATGCCTCTTATATGCATATATATGCTAAATACTAGGTAGAATAAAGTCCGTTTTTGAATTTTCTACATAGCCTAATTGACGGGTTATATTATCACAAAAACCAGTTGATGATGGTTCCACTGTGAAATCACTGGCGGTACAGGACCAGTGCTGAGAAAGACTGGTGGGTGGTGGGGTGGGGCGGGACGAGCCTGCCTGCAGGGCATGGCCACCCGCTGTGTTCTGCGACTAGTGAACTGTCATCCGCCTCCTTCATCTCTAGGTCTCGGACAGCCCGGGAGACGAGCCCTCGGAGTCCCCATACGAAAGTGCAGACGAAACACAAACTGAAGTATCTGTCTCATCCAAAAAGTCTGAGCGAGGAGTGACTGCCAAAAAGGAGTATGTGTGCCAGGTGAGGAGAAGGCAGCATCCGCTATGTCCGTGCTGGTGTCTGACTGGGGCCCCGGTACGCAGAGCGAATTTGTAGTGTCTTTTCCCTTCCCACCAGACCCCTTCCCCAATCTCACCGTCACTCACTCATCTCTGTTTTGAAGGGGTCAGACTGACTCTCAGTGGAATCCTGGGATTGAGTTGTCTCCATTAACATCCATAATTCACATGTAGGATGAGATTTGTATACACATCATGTAATACACACACACACACACACACACACACACACACACACACACACACACACACACACACACACACACACACACACACACACACAAAGTTCCTGTTGGAAAAGGTGAGGTGCTAGGCCTGTTTTAGCTTCACTGATGACATGCACACTGGACAGGCCAGGCTGTGGGCTGAGGGGGCCATCACTAGACCTGTGTGTGCCCACAGGACCCCAGCCAGGCCACCTACACTCTGTGCTTCAGTCCCGCCCCATCTGTCAGCTGGAGATGGCATGGGAGCTTCCATGCCAGGCAGTCGATGCATGGGAAGTGTGAATACTGCCTGCCGTCAGCGTGGCACCTGCCATCTGGATTAGGGTGCCTTTGATTTCTGTTGATTTTCAAATCTGATTTGAAATATCTTGGATGTATCCTTCAGGGTTGTGATCCTGTTACTTCCTTTGCCATTGCTGAGGACTGGCCTCTTTCTGTAACAGTCATCTGGTTTTAATCTGATTCTGTATTTGTACGTTCTGTTTGGGCCAGACGTTTGCCCATGCATGTTATTATATATCCTTGAGTAGCAAAATGGGATTTTCTGCCACTGGAGACAGAAGCAGACGGCTTCCCTTGTGGTAAGAGGTGCAGAAGGGACTGCCGGGCGCTGCTTACCCGCCTGCTCTGCCCCCGCAGCTGTGTGAGAAGCCGGGCAGCCTCCTGCTCTGTGAAGGACCCTGCTGCGGAGCTTTCCACCTCGCCTGCCTTGGGCTTTCCCGGAGGCCAGAAGGGAGGTTCACCTGCAGCGAGTGTGCCTCAGGCAAGTTCCCACGGGCGGGCAGCTCTGCAGCCTGGCCGGCCACCTGCTCCTGCAACCCCCTGCACCAAGTCCTGCCCTGAGCTGCCTGCAGAGGACAAGCCCCCTCCCCACCCCCACCGCCTGGCCCTCTCTGGAGCTTGTAGCCCACAGCTGGCAGGTGTACCCACCTCTCAGTAGCTGCAGGGTTTGCTCTGATTTCAGTCGTATGTGCCCCCTTGGTACCTTTCCATCAGGTGGCGGGCAGGGTGGCGGGATGACAGGTCATGGGCTTTTCATCCCGTGGGCTGGCCTGAGCCTGTGCTATGTGTGAGGCGGCCACCACAGGGCACTGCCGCTCAGACAGTGCAGCATTAAGGGTACAGGTAACCTGGTTGGTCACCGAACACTGAAGTCCATAGGAACATGGAGTTCTTTATGAAGACACAGTGTCACCTTGAGCCTCAGTTTCAACAGAAAGAACAGCTCCAGGCTTGTCCTGGGTTGTCAGTGCTGTTGTTCTGCCTCCATGTTACTGCATCAGGTGTCGCCCGGCACAGTCTGGGGTCTGTGAGGATGATGAGAGGACACCTGCACAGCCGTGGCCCTTCCTGCCTACTCACCGGGCCCAAGGAGTCTCCTATCTCACGTCAGAACACTTCCTGGGTCAGGAAGACACCTGGAGAGTCTCCCAGGCCATGGCAGCCCCACAGCAGCACCTCACTTATGGGAGTGTCTGTCTGCCTGCCCAGAATGATAAGTGACTGCTCCACCACTGGCCAGCTGCTCTCAAGGAGGAAAGGCCTCTTTTCATAGGAGCCCCTTCTTTCAAGCTTCTTGCCAGTTAGACTGGGCCTCCCCAGCCAGGCTGCCTAGTAAGATTCTCCTGTATTTCAGGTGAAGCTGGAGCTCAGATCGCAGCAAGGTAATCCTTGATGGCTGGATCTTTTTGCTGGAGAATGCTTGGACTAGTGAGCAAGGTTGGAAACAGGGCCAGGTGCTTTAGCAGCATGGCTGCCTCTGAAGAGGAGTTGCTTGATTTTAGTGGCTCAGAACTGCAATTTAATTCTTGTTCTTTGCACCTCTCTCTCCACCCCTTCTTTAACTTTTTGTTAGGGATTCACTCATGTTTCGTGTGTAAAGAGAGCAAGACAGATGTTAAGCGCTGTGTGGTAACTCAGTGTGGAAAATTTTACCATGAGGCTTGTGTGAAAAAATACCCTCTGACTGTATTTGAGAGCCGAGGTTTCCGCTGCCCCCTCCACAGCTGTGTGAGCTGCCATGCTTCCAACCCTTCAAACCCAAGGCCGTCAAAAGGTACAGGTGCACCTGCGCAGCCTTGCTGTGGGTTCAGATGCAGGCCAGACGCAGGCCCATGGGCGCTTGGGAAGGTGGGCTGTTGGGATTGTCACCAAAGAGCATTAATTATCTTGAGTGACTAACTGGACATCGGCTGGGTTGGGTTTTCTTTGACAAAGGACCTGTCTCCCTTTTCCTTCTTTCCATCCTAAATATCACCCTAAAGATGCTTAACTATAGGAGAGGGGCAACCTTTGGACCATTTGATAGATTTTGTTTACCCTGGCTTTTTTTTTTTTCTTTATAGAGATAGAGTCTTGCTCTGTTACCCAGGCTGGAGTGCAGTGCAGTCACAGCTCACTGCATCCTTGACCTCCTGGGCTCAAGCTGTCCTCTCGGGCTCAAGCTGTCCTCCTGCCTCAGCCTCCTGAGTAGCTGGAACTACAGGCACATGCCACCACACCTGGCTGATTTTTGTAAATTTTTTTTTTTTTGGAGAAAAAAAATCTCCCTCTGTTGCCCAGGCTGGAGTGCAGTGGCACGATCTCAGCTCACTGCAACCTCTGCCTCCCAGGTTCAAGCGATCCTCCTGCCTCATCCCTTCAGTAGCTGGGATTACAGGCACGTGCCACCATACCTACCTAATTTTTGTATTTTTAGTAGAGACGGGGTTTCATCATGTTGGTCAGGCTGGTCTTGAACTCCTGACCTCAGGTGATCCACCCGCCTCAGCCTCCCAAAGTGCTGGGATTACAGGTATGAGCCACCACGCCTTGCCAATTTTTGTATTTTTTTGTAGAGATGAGGTTTCACCATGTTGCCCAGGCTGGTCTTGAACTATTAGGCCACTGCTCTGACCTCTTTTCTTTTTTTTGAGACAGGGTCTCCTTCCGTTGCTCAAGCTAGAATGCAGTGGTGTGATCATGGCTCACTGTAGCCTTGACCTCCCAGGCTCAGGTGATCCTCCCACCTAAGCCTCTCAAGTAGCTGTGACCACGACGCCTGGCTAATTTTGTTTATTTTTTTGTAGAGACGAGGTCTCACTGTTGTGTTGCCCAAGCTGGTCTTCAACTCTTGGGTTCAAAGAATCCTCCCACCTGAGCCTCCCAAAGTGTTGGGATTACAGGCATGAGCCACCACACCCAGCCTGTTTGCTCTGGTTTTAATGGCCCATTATATGTAAGAAAACATCTTTAAATCAAATTACATTTGGATTTTCTAATGTTAGGTGTGTGGGATGAGGGTGGCAGGTTTTCTGTACTTCTTGACACCAGTGGTTCTTTATCGGGCAATTTTGTCCTCCAGGGGACATTTGGCAATGTCTGGGGATATTTTGGGGATGTGCTCCTGGCATCTAGTGAGTAGAGGCCAGGGATGCTGCTCCACACTGCACAATGCCCAGGTCGGCTGCCCACGTGCCCCAGGTGCCTGCAGTGCCCAGGCTGAGACACGCGGCATTTTAGATGTATGACCATTTTCTCAAACATGGTTTTGAAGCACCTTTGCTCTGAAAGCTTTTTTTAAATCAAATACCTCCATTTCATTTTAGCATTAACTTTTCAAATTCATGGAGGCTGAGTAATTATTAGTTGCTCTTTTCACTATGACTGGAGTCAGTGTTTGGGGTCCTTAGGGTGTGTTTCTTTGCCTTCAGGTAAAATGATGCGGTGTGTCCGCTGCCCCGTTGCCTATCACAGCGGGGATGCTTGTCTGGCAGCAGGATGCTCAGTGATCGCCTCCAACAGCATCATCTGCACTGCCCACTTCACTGCTCGGAAGGGGAAGCGACACCACGCCCACGTCAACGTGAGCTGGTGCTTCGTGTGCTCCAAAGGTGAGGGGCCTGGGGGTGTCTGCGGCACACGCCTCTCACACTCCCAGGAGCCACATATCAAGGCAGGCTCATTCCTTGTCTGCGCTGTGTTCATTGATGTTGACAGTGTTCTGTGCGTCTTCACGTTAATAGTATATCACAGTAGCTCTAAATTAATTGTAATCATTTCGCAAACATACAGGAAATTATTTGTGGTGAAAATGACATTTGCTCTCGTGCTGATGTACAGATCGCTGTTTTAAAACTGATGTTTATAAGTTAAGGCTGTAATAAGTGTAGACTGTGAAGCACTGAATCTGGGCTGAGCCATAGCAGACAGGCTAAGCCTGGCCGCCTCGCCCTCCTCTTGCAGGGGGGAGCCTTCTGTGCTGTGAGTCCTGCCCAGCGGCCTTCCACCCTGACTGCCTGAACATCGAGATGCCTGACGGCAGCTGGTTCTGCAATGACTGCAGGGCTGGGAAGAAGCTGCACTTCCAGGATATCATTTGGGTGAAACTTGGGAACTACAGGTGTGAGACATAGAATCGTATGCTTTTATGTCTTTTCTGTTCACATGTGTTCGCTTTACAGTACTTAAAGTATTGAAATTATTATCGCTGTCTCTGAGGAGTCTGTGAATCCTGTTTTTAATATTTATAATAGATGGTGGCCGGCAGAAGTTTGCCATCCCAAAAATGTTCCCCCAAATATTCAGAAAATGAAGCACGAGATTGGAGAATTCCCTGTGTTTTTCTTTGGGTCTAAAGATTATTACTGGACGCATCAGGCGCGAGTGTTCCCGTACATGGAGGGGGACCGGGGCAGCCGCTACCAGGGGGTCAGAGGGATCGGAAGAGTCTTCAAAAACGGTACGGAGATATTCAGATAGAGAGTGAGACAGCACTCTCGTGCATTTTCTTACCCCTAATTTCTATTTTTTAAAATTTGATCTTTATAGAAAATACTGGACTAAGCATTCAATCTGTTTTTTTAAATTAGGAAAATGTTTGCAGTCTGGTTTATTTGTTGAGCATAGAATAAGATACACTGATAACTTTTGTAACATTGGTTTGTGATTAATTTCATTAAAATTCTGTAAACCTATTATTCAGAAATTATTTTTAATACTAATTTACAGAAATGTTCCATGGCTTGCCTTTATGTAAAATGCAGATCTGAAGGAAGGGTCCTGTTGTCTCGACCTTGTGCAGCAGGCTCTTGGGGGCTCGCTTTACCTTTCAGTGCATGAGGAATCAGGGGTGGTCAAGCAGACAAGGTGCTTGGCCTCTGATTCCCCAGCTGGGGTGGGAGGCAGGAGCAACGATGTGGCATGGCTGGCTGATGACCCACGTTTGAGGGAGGCAGGATGGGGATGTGACCCTTCACTGGAGGAACTGGAGGAACTGGTATTTATGATCGGTCAAGAGAGAATGAGGCCAGTAGAGAAAACCCGAGGTGTGTGCATGTGGCTCGTTCAGGGAGAAGCACACGCTGTGTTGCAGCCGGGTCAGTGCTGGCTCCTGTGTGACTGCAGGCGGGGACCCGCGTATTTAAAGCTTGGTTAGCTCCATGCTGCCAGAAGCTTTGCAGGCTGCACTGAGTGGTAGGAGTGCATGGTGGGCATTCAGAGATCTCATAAAGAATGGGTAGGCATTGAAAGATTTTAAAAAATTATTAAGAGGGCGAGACGAAATTGAGAGGTGGACTTATGTGTTTGCTGCGACTGTCGGCAAAGTCTCCTAACTGTGGATGCAGGTGTCCTGTAGAGCCAGAAACCTTTGTGGCTGACTTGGGGCTGCAAAAACAGGGCAGACCACAGGACACGTCTAGGGTTGACATGGGGCTGGCCTCCTTCTTGGGACGGATTGTAGGGGTGTGTGTTTCCTCGGTTCTTGCTTGAGCCTATGGTTAATCTCTCAGAACCCCTTTTGTTTCGAGAGGAGCTCAGCTGCATGTTTTTTTGTTTTTGTTTTTTTTTTTTTGAGACTGAGTCTTGCTCTGTTGCCCAGGCTGGAGTGCAATGGTGTGATCTCGGCTCACTGCAACCTCCACCTCCTGGGTTCAAGCAATTCTCCTGCCTCAGTCTCCCAAGTAGCTGGGACCATACGCACCTGCCATCATGCCTGGCTAATTTTTTTTTTTTTTTTTGTAGAGAATGGGGTTTCAGCATGTTGGCCAGGCTGGTCTTGAACTCCTGACCTCAGGTGATCCGCCTGCCTCGGCCTCCCAAAGTGCTTCGATTACAGGCGTGAGCCACTGCACCCGGCCTCAGGTGCATTTTTATTTTCTGTCTGAGAACAGCAAGTCCCAGGCTTTGACCCTGGTGCTTTGTCCTTAGGCCATAGTGGAGGACAGGGAGCTCCCGACAGAACTCTGCCCTGGGCCTGTCTTGTAGAGAGGTGATGGCTGTTCTCTGAGCACTCCTTTGCCTCACACACTTGGCCGCATTTAAAAATACCTGCCCACTGACAGTTGTTCATAGACTCTAGTTTTATGGGAACCAGAAACTATACTTAACATTGAAAGTTTAGAGTGAACTATAAAAATATGGAGCTTGAAAGGTAGTTACCTGTATTTACTAAAATCTTTACTCCTATTTCATTGACTTTTTAGCACTGCAAGAAGCTGAAGCTCGTTTTCGTGAAATTAAGCTTCAGAGGGAAGCCCGAGAAACACAGGAGAGCGAGCGCAAGCCCCCACCATACAAGCACATCAAGGTGGCGTGTGGGAGCTGCGTGCACGCGTGTGGAGGGAGTCTTCCCCGAGGGCCGTGAGAGGTTCTTAGGCACACCCAGGCTATGGCTGGGGAGAGGACTGTCACCAGCCAGGATCTGTGGTGCCTGGCATGGATGGCCACACAAGAGACCATGAGCAAATGGCATGGGGGGATCTGCATGGGGGTTCTTGGATCCGCCTTGGAGTGTGAGGCTTGGCTTGGTAGCTTAGAGAAGGGTTGGGGTGACAGTCCTGACCGGGCTGCTTGGAGCAGGAGGAGCTGAGGGATGAGCCTCCCACCTGCACCAGGCTGTTGCCAAGTGCTGGGAGTCAGTCACATACGGCCAGGGCTCAGTGACTGAGCCCCAAACACGTAGATCCTGTACCTCAGAGAGCAAGATGGCGGGGCGGCAGGGGAGCTTGCCAGTTCTGTGTTTATTCCAGTGAGCTCGAGAGCCCCAGCAGGAGGAAGTGCAGCCAGGGCAGGGCTCTGTGAGAGCTCCAGGCCCCTCAGGGCTGCCTGCGCTCAGAGCTGGTGCGGCAAGCCGCATCCCCAGGAGCCTCGTGGCCGTTCCTGACGAGTGTTTGTGATAAGTGTGTGCCGGAGGTCAGGTGCTCTGCCTTTGCTTGTAAAATGTGGGCTGCAGTCAATATCTTTGTATGTAAAGAAAGTGCTCTGTATTCATCTTTATATAATATTTTCTTTGGGATGGATTCCCAGAAACAGAATCACAGGGTCAGAGAGTATGAAATGTTTAGATTCTTGGGGAATATTCCCAGATTGTTCTCCAAAATGTACAGTTTGTCATACCACAGCAGTGAAAAGAGTGTCTTTCGCCACCTCTTCCCTAAGATTATGCATTTCTACCCCAGCTGATTTTCAGCTGTCTCTACTGCTTTGTTATTTGGTTGCTTGTCTTTCACTAATAGTAAACCACAAGGTCATGAGAGCAGAGGCTATGCCCTCCTGCCTAGCACTGCTCCTCCTGGGGTGGACTCCCATGTGGCTTGCTGCTGGTGCTTGGTAAAGGAAGAGTCAGAGAGATGGGTCGGGAAGCTGCTCAGAAGAGCTCTTACCAGCGTTTGCTGGACACCCTGCAGTGTACTAAGCAATCAACACGCTTTTTCTCTCTTCATCTTACAATGGCCTGGCTGGATACGTGTCAGCTCTTGTTCATCAGCGATGTGCACAGACACTAAGATAAAATAATGTGAGGGGGCGTTGTGTTGCCCTGCCTGCCTCTTGTGCTAAGAAGGCAGAGGAGAGCTCCTCTGGGATCTGGGGAGGGCTGTTCTGAGTAGTGTGTCCTAGCCAGGACTCTGAAGCTTTCTAAAAGGCCACCTGGAGGCTGGGTAAGGAGAGGCAGTGGTGGGTGTGCAAGGGTATTCGGAAGGCTCTCATGTGTGGACCAAGACAGCTTACTCCTTCCCTGCAGGTGAATAAGCCTTACGGGAAAGTCCAGATCTACACAGCGGATATTTCAGAAATCCCTAAGTGCAACTGCAAGCCCACAGATGAGAATCCTTGTGGCTTTGATTCGGAGTGTCTGAACAGGATGCTGATGTTTGAGTGCCACCCGCAGGTGTGTCCCGCGGGCGAGTTCTGCCAGAACCAGTGCTTCACCAAGCGCCAGTACCCAGAGACCAAGATCATCAAGACAGATGGCAAAGGGTGGGGCCTGGTCGCCAAGAGGGACATCAGAAAGGTATGTGTCGTTATCCCCTCCCCTGCTTTTGAGAAATTACGGTTCACTGGGTAATTAGGCCTAGGTTTGCTTGTGGTGGTTTTGTAGTCATGTGAGAATGGTATTTTTTGGAAAAAAAATTTTTTTTGTTTTTGTTTTGAGACAGGGTCTCACTCTGTCATCTAGGCTGGAGGGCAGTGGCATGATTGTAGTTCACTGCAGCCTCAGAATCCTGGGCTCAAGCCATCCTCCCACCTTAGCTTCCCAAGCAGCTGGGACTACAGGCGTGTTTGACCATGCCCTAATAATTTTATTTTTTTTTGGAGATGGGGTCTTGCTGTGTTGCCCAGGCTCATTTCGAACTCCTGGCCCCAAACCATCCTCCTGCCTAGGCCTCCCAAAGCAATGGGATTTTAGGCAAGAGCCTCTGTGCCTGACCTGAAATATTTTTTTGAATTGAATTATTACAATTGAATATTTTAAAATGTTACATGAAAGGTATCTGCTATAACTCACACATTCCCTTAAAACATGCCTTATGTCAGAATTCTGATGGTTATTTTTATGAAATGGAAGATCTGTGAAGTGACCCACTTTCCTCTGGGCTAGTAGCCAGGTGCTTGGGAGCACTCACCAGCAGGCGTAAGGAGATTGCTCTTGTGAGGGGTGGTCCTGGCACAGTCTAGGACCAAGTCGTTGGTAGACACCAGGACAGTTGACCTCCTGCCTCTGCTCCCAGACTGTGTCCCAAGGACATCCAGGGACTGAGAGACATGTAGAACTGCTGACCCTGATGTATTTTGGCATGACCCAGGTCCATACCAGGGCTGACCCAGCACAGAGAGTTCATAAGCCTGGTGCCAGTTCCAGCAACAGCACAAAAGGTTGCTTAGAAACACCTCCCCAGCACCCTTGTTCCTCGCCTGCCTGACTGCTGATTCACCCAGACTCTTGCTTTACATCCTGTCAGATACTTTGTAGCCATTTTCTCTGTTGTGGGGATCACCGTGTAAAGTGGGTTATGTAGAAGCTTGGTTATCAGACAGCGCTCCTGAGACAAGGTCGTGTAGGAAGCAAGGGTTGGCATATTGCCACTTCGTGAATACTTAATACATTTTTCATTGGCAACCTTTACATACAGATATGTCTGAGATCCTTTGAATTTAATTTATGGAGACTTTGTACACGCCCTCCACGGAGGTATGCTGATGTGTGTGGTGCCCGTTCTAAGTGATCATGATGGGGAGTCTTGAGCCCCGACACTGAGGATTGGTCAGCACGCTTTTTGTCATGGCCACATGCTTGTGATTTCCAGGGAGAATTTGTTAACGAGTACGTTGGGGAGCTGATCGACGAGGAGGAGTGCATGGCGAGAATCAAGCACGCACACGAGAACGACATCACCCACTTCTACATGCTCACTATAGACAAGGTAATGCGGAACTCCACTGTGAGCTTCTGCAGTGTGCTGGACCTGGAGCCCTGATGGTCACCTGTAGAACTGGACTTTGCCCTGTGGCAGCGCCAGCATTTGTCTCCTTAGCTGCTTATTTTCAAACATCTGCACATTTTCTTCTGAGGTGCAGCGTGTCTTTCAGCTGCGCCGGAGGGCTAGAGCTAACCACCTCTCAGCACCCAGGCACCCTGAGGCTCTGCTTGTCCGGGTGTGCATGCAGAGCGTTCCCAGCAGCCTTAGTACAGGGCAGGGAAGTAGAGAGGACACAGATGAGGAAGTCTCAGCATCTTCTTTTGTTTTTAAAAAGTGATTGTATTTTATTTTTTAATTTTCAGTGCTCTTTGGGTAAGGTCTCAGCATCTTCTCTGTTGTGTAGCAGAATCGTTTTTGCTTGGTTGTTGCTTGTATGCAGCCCATATTTCTAACCATTTTGGAACCTAGGTGCTAGAGGGATCAATGTTCTGAGGAAAAGGAGGATAGGAAGATTTGTGTAAAAGTGGGCATGGATAAAAGACAGTACATCTGGAGTGCTCAGCTCTGGGCCTGATGCCCAATCCTGACAGGTGTTGCCGGGCCCTTCCAGGGCGGCTCCTTCAATGGCCACAGCCCTGTGGGGGTGCGTGTCATCCCTTCCCTCACACGGCAGGCTTTTGGCTTCTGGATGACTTCAGCTGGGGAAGTGTGGCCTCCTTAGTGCCTGAGTGGTCTTTGAAAGGAAGGGAGATAGAATACATGTTTCTGCCTTTTGTTGCCCTTAAGCTCATCATCTAGCAGGAAAGTCTGGCTATTTTTAAAAGAGTAGATTAATAGTAGTGCTTGAAAACCAGATAGAAAATGATCACCGATAAAAAAATGTTGAACAATTCATGGAAGACAGATGTGATGAGACCTAGAGAGAAAGGGCTGCTATGGAAATAAGAATGGTTCCAGGAACCTTGTCAGGTGGCCCCTGGGGAAGCTATATCCCCTACCCCTGCAGTAGTGGGGCAGCAGTGGCCAGTGGAGCCTGCTCCGGGGGAGCACTGGGCTCTGTGTCAATCACAGGTCGTGGGGCTTACACCTTTCAAAGAAGTCAGTGTCATGAAGGACAAAAAGAATCCTGGGTTAAAAGAGACTAAAGAAGTACCCAGAGGAGGTGTGTGCTTCTTGATCAGAGCCTGAATCTGGGATGAGGAGCTATAAAGTATGCTTTTGGGGGCAGTGGGAAAAATTTTAATTTGGACAGGAGGCTGTTCTTCATGCTAAATTTCATAGGTATGGAAAGTGTTGTGGCTGCGCAAGAGAATGACTTGTGATGTGTTTAGGGTCAGATGTCAGATATTCGTAACTTACTTTCAAAGGATCGGGAAAAAATTTGTGTGTGTATACATATATCCATAAATAGAAAAAGCAAATGTGGTAAAACGTTAATACTGAATGAGTGAAGGGTATACTGATGTTCGTTATAGTATTCTTCCATTTTTTTCTTAGGTTTGAAATTTTTTTACTCCTAGGTTTTGTTGTTATTTTTCTTTTTTGAGACAGGGTCTCTATCACCCAGGGTGGAGTGCAGTAGCACAGTCATAGTTCACTGCAGCCTCGATCTCCTGGGCCTAAGCAATCCTCTCACCTTGGCCTCCTGAGTATCTGGGACTACAGGAACATGCCACCACACCTGGCTGATGAAATTTTTTTAAATAAAAGAATTGTCTTGAAATAGCCCTAGAGCTAGAGAGGTGGGTAGCGCTTCCTCCTACATGCTCTGTCAGGGCGCACCACCCAGGGGATAAGCTAGCAGCACATTCCTCTCAGGGCCCTGTCAACACAGGTCTTCTCTAGGAGGTGGGCTCTGGCATACCCTATGACATTGGAACAGGGATTCTGAAGTGCAAAATGAACAGAAAACCAAGAATACACAACGAGAGAGAAAGAACAAGCCCCAGTGACTCTTCAGCAACACCCTCATAGGATGACAGATAAGGGGCCTGAGCTTGCTAAGTAAATAGGAAAGCTTTGCAGGGCTGGAGCAAAAAGGCAAGATGGGAAGCAGGTCCATAAGGGCGAGAGTGGGTTTGTACACAGCGCCTCTAGGACCATGGCGTGTAGAGCAGGCAGGAGCTTGTGTTTTAACCCTCATGTGGGGACCAGTGATAAGTCTTGCTCAAAGGCTTGGTGGCCAACTGGAGTTGAGTACCCTGTGTAGACCCCTGGGAGGGTTTTAGCCCTAGGGAAGGGACTAATAAACTTGCCCCAAGAGGCAGCAAATATGCTTCTCTGTTGTATCTGGGGAGGAGGGCAGGGAGGTTATTTGTTAGACATCGAAGCCCTAGGTCTGTGCCTTATGTTTTGGAGTCTAAATGTAAACTACTTATGTGCTGTAAGAAATGCCAAGTGGATACTGCAGTTTGCTTTTGATTAGTAAAAAAGAAATGCCAGGTTGAGCATTTAATCCACAAGTTGGTTCCTGACATGGTAATCCACCTGAGGTACCTGATTGAGGCAAAGATAAAGCCTGTGACACATGAGAGACATTTAAGCAATTCATACCTCATATATTTCCTATGAAAACAAAAAACAAGCTGGGCACAGTGGCCCACGCCTGTAATCCCAGCACTTTGGAAGGCCGAGTTGGGAGGGTCACTTGAAGCCAGGAGTTTGAGACCAGCCTGGGTAACACAGACCCTCATCTCTACAAAAAAGAAAAAAAATTAGCCGTGCCTGTGATTCCAGCTACTCAGGAGGCTGAGGCAGGAGGACTGCTTGAGCCCAGGAGTTTAAGACTGCTGTGAACTATGATCATGTCAATATATTCCAGCCTGGGGGACGGAATGGGAACCCGGTCTCTAAACAAAACAAAAATTTGAAAAGGAGCCCTACTTAAACGTTTACAAAGCGCAATAGAAGGTGACCCTCGTGAGCAGACCTTCCTAATGGAAGGCTTTGCTTTTAGCGAGGACCTGAGGTAACAAGACTACATTTAAAGGAGAATGTGAACTAAGTGTATTAGAAATGGTTAAAGCCATGAATAGAGCTTTAGACGCCACAAGAAAAGAATGAGATATGGAGGGTAAATCAGACAAATACGAACAAACAGCAGCGGAGGTTAAAATAGAGTCATTGAGAGGATCCTGGGATAATGGCAGAGCAGGAAGCTGTGTCCCCACCTAGACCACAGTTGCACCAGAAGGACCTGTCTGATGTAACCATTTTGGAACTCTGGAAGCTACTGAAGGCTTGCAACTTCCAGGGGAGGCTTGGATGGCAAATTGGGGTTAATTTTGGTTTCAGCTCTTGGCACAGCAGCGGCTACCCATGCCCCACAGACAGCCATGCACATGTTCTTGGAGCACCTCGCACACAGCTTGAGGGGTTCAGGGTGAGCAAGAAGGATCCTTTTCTCCAAATAGTGGGTATCTGTGCTCAGGATCCCTGATTGCTGCTTCTGATCACAGAGGTGCAGACAAAGAGGTGCGCTGCGCTGCCGTTGTTATCACACCTCCCTCAGTCGTTACAAGCCCCTCCCCCTCCAGCTGAAGTATCTTCAAGAGTATTTAAAGGGCCAGCACCAATTGCCCCCCTCTTTCATTTTTCTCTTTTTCCCCTTTTGGGAGCCAGACATTAAAAGACTAGGAAATTCAAAAACAACTATGGGGAAAATAAGAAAATTTAGAAAATTAGACAGTGACTGCATGCTCAGGGAAAGGTACAGCTCAAAAAAGATCTGGAAAGACCTTAAATTTCCATCTTGGGTTGATCCTCTGCACAGAAACAGCCTGCAACAATCAAAACAAGAACAATAAATAAAAATAACAAAAACAGCAAACCTAGGGCAAGGGGAGGAAGAATCTAATTTCTAGAGTTACCACATTATTAGACTTAACATGTCCAGTGTTCAGCAAAAAAAAAAAAAAAAAAAAAAAAGCCTACAAAGAGACAGGAAAATATGGCCATTTAAAGGGAAAACAAAATCAGCAGAAACTATCCCTAAAAGAAAGGCCAGATGATAGATCTACTAGACAGAGACTCTAAAACATCTGCCTTAAAGATGCTGAGAAAACTAAAGGAAAACCTGCAGAAAGTCAAGAAAATCATGCATGAACAAAATGGCAGTATCAATGAAGAGATAGAAAACCTATAAAGAGAAACAAACAAAAAAAGGAATTGTTGAGCCTGAGAAACAGAAAAGAAGATTGAAGAAAAGTGAACGGATCATAAGGGGTATGTGGGCTACCACCAAGCAGACCAATATATCTATTGTGGGAGTCCCAGATGGTGAAGAGAGAAAGAGGCAGAGACAACTTTGAAAAAATAATGGCTGAAAAATTCCCAGGTTTGATGAAACACACAAATATAAACATCTAAAGAAGCTCAATAAACTCCAGATGATCAAACTTTCGAAAACCAGAAAAAGAATCTTGAAAACCGCAAGAGGAAAGCTACTCATTACATGCAAGGTGTATTAGTCTATTTTTACACTGCTCTAGAGATACTACCCAAGACTGGGTAATTTATAAAGGAAAGAGGTTTAATTGATGACTCACAGTTCCACATAACAGGGGAGGCCTCAAGAAACTTACCATCACGGTGAAGGTGAAGGGTACCTTTGCACATGGCGGCAGGAGAGAGAAGTGTGTGAGAGCCCAGGAAAAACTACCATTTATAAAACCATCAGATCTTGAGAGAACTCACTCACTGTCATGAGATGGCATGGAGGAAACCCTCCCATAATCCAGTCACTTCCCACCAGGTTCCTCCCTTAACACCTGAGGATTACAATTCAAGATGCGATTTGGGTGGGGACACAAAGCTAAATCATATCACAAGGGATTCTCAATGAGATTATCAGCAAATTTCTCATCAGGAATTTTGAAGGCCTACAGGCAGTGGGCCAATGCTAAAAGAAGAAAAAAAAATGTTAACCAAGACTTGTATGCAGTAAAACTGTCTTTCAAAGATAAGGGTGAAATTAAGACATTCCCAGATAAACAAAAGCTGAAGAAGTTTTTTAGCACTAGACCTGCCTTGCAAGTAATGGTCAAGAGAGGTAATGGAGAGAAGTCTTGTAGGTTGAAATGAAAGGATACCATACAGTCACTACAAGTTGTATGAAGAAGAAAGATCTCAAAGTAAATACATGGTCAGCTATAAAAGTTTGTATTGTTGTAACCGTGGTTTATAACTCCATTTGTTTGTTTGTTGTCTGCATGATTGAAGAGATAGGGCTGGGCATGGTGGCTCACGCCTGTAATTCCAGCGCTTTGGGAGGCTGAGATGGGTGGATCACCAGGTCAGGAGATCGAGATCATCCTGGTTAACACGGTGAAACCCCATCTCTACTAAAAATACAAAAAAATTAGCCGGGCGTGGTGGCAGGCGCCTGTAATCCCAGCTACTAGGGAGGCTGAGGCAGGAGAATGGCGTGAACCCGGGAGGCGGAACTTGCAGTGAGCCAAGATCGTGCCAGTGCACTCCAGCCTGGGTGACAGAGCAAGACTCTGTCTCAAAAAAAAAAAAAAAAAGAGACATACATTTAAAAAACAATTACTAGTTTAAAAGCTGGTATTGTAATTTAGTTTGTAAATTCTAACATTTTGTTTTCTATATAATTTAAGCTACTCATGTATTACTAGTTTTACTCATGAATTACTGGCTTGTGTTTTAGGGCACTCAATACATAAAGATGTGATTTTGTGATATGAGCAACTGAAAAGGATGGGGACAGAGCTGTAAAGGGGCAGGGTTTTTATGTTATTGAAGTTAAACTTAATATAATCAAGTTATAACATTATATAGAGAATTGGAAAACTGGAGAAAATCAATGAAACCAAAAGTTTGTTTTTTAAAAAGATCAATAAAATTGACAAACCTTTAACTAGATGGACTAGGAAAAAAAGAGAAAAGACTCACATAACTAAAATCAGAACTGGGTGTGTGAAGACATTATTACTGCTTCTACAGAAATAAAAAAGGATTATAAGACAGTACTGTGAACAACTGTACTCCAGTAAATTGGATAACTGAGATGAAATAGACAAATTCCTAGAAACACAAACTACCAAGACTAAATCATGAAAAAAATGGAAAATCTGAATAGACTTATAACTAGTAGAGAGATTGACTCAGTAATTAAAAATCTCCTGAGAGGCCGGGCACGGTGGCTCATGCCTGTAATCCCAGCACTTTGGGAGGCCGAGGCCGGCAGATCACAAGGTCAGGAGTTCGAGACCAGCCTGGCCAATATGGTGAAACCCTGTCTCTACTAAAAATACAAAAATTAGCTGGGCGTGGTGGCGGGCGCCCATAATCCCAGCTACTCAGTAGGCTGAGGCAGGAGAATCGCTTGAACCTGGGAGGCAGAGGTTTCAGTGAGCCGAGATCATGCTGTTGCACTCCAGCCCAGGCAACAGAGCGAGACTTTGTCTCAAAAAAAAAAAAAAAGATATTTCCAACTTAACAGTGGGTTTACTGGGACATAGCCCCATTGTAAGAGTGTTGCCAGACACTGAGGTTTCAGCCTAGGTCTGCTTTCTCGCTGCAGGGAAAGCCCATCTCTGACACAGTCAGTGTTGCCAGAGAAGAAAGGCTTTCATGTGGGTGACATCAGACGAGACCAGCCTCAAATCCATCTTCCCAGCCAACTCAAGTGGTTATACAGGAGTTGGTCAACAGGCAGCAGGTGGTTGGATGAGGGGTCTGGCATCTCATTGTAACCATGTGTGGGAAAACAGGAATTAGGGAGGGATAAGGAAAGGGAGTTGGTCAACAGGCAGCACGTGGTCAGTCTGGTGTCTTATTGTCAAGATGGGTTATCTGGGAAATTTCAGTTCTTTGATACTATCTGGGAGAGAAATTGGGCCAGGTTCAAGTGGAGCATCTGTACTTGCAAACCAAATTGGCAGCATATTAAAAGAATTACACACCAGGGAAAATAACCCTAGACCTTGCATTCTAGTGCTCTGCTTATCTGTGACTTCAGACAAAGATGGAGAGAGCTGACCATCAGTATAATTTAGCTGAATGAAATAATGAGATATTTTAGGAAGAAGAACATTGAATGTCAGAAGTTAAATGTGAGATCCAAGAAGTAACAGTGAACAGACAAGTTTGTGGGTATGTGGATATGTCTTAAATAAGTCAGGTTGTGTCAAATTATGATGGATGATGATGACTGCGAGGCAGGAAGGAAGATGAAAAGGAGGAGGCATTGAACACTAATGGTCACAGGGAGCACCGGGAGCGTGGTGACGCCAGGGTGAGCTGCTTGTTCTGTGAGGGTGGAGGGAAGAGATTTATTAACCTTAGACTTTGTTAAAGTATACATGTGACGTCTACATGGGAAACTGCTAAATGAATAGAAGTGGAAGGTGTAACTTCCACACCATTAAAGGGTAAAAAGGAGAATGAAGAAAAGTCAATTTAGTAGAACCTGCGGGAGGAAGATGGGGGAAGGAGAAATAATAGTAATTAGAAAGCACAGATTAAAAAAAAATCAAAATGTCAATAATCACAATATATGTAAGTGGTTTAAATGTATAAGTTAAGACTAAGATTCACATTAGGGTCAGTACATAGTAACAACAAGGAAAGGCTCCCACAGGCCTTAATGTTTGTAGTTATTGGGGTGGAGGAGACACAGGAGACAGCATGGAGAGGAAGAACTAGATTAGATGCACGTCCGACAGTTGGAAAGATCCTAAAGGTAGTGTTCAAAGAAAAAACTAAGAGAATGTGATTCACAGCCAAACAAATCTATACATAGGATTCTGGTAGCAGATGGCAGCTGCTCACTTCCAGAACAAAAAATGTACACAAAGTACATCTTCACTGAAACTGTGGGACAAACAGACCCATCCACTGAAAGTCCAACAGGCAGAGGAAAGTACTGGAGACCTGCAGTGTCACCCGGACACAGGGGGTGCAGAGACACGGGAGTGCGGCCTGGCAGGCAGAGCCAGCACCTGGGGCCTGCCCCCAGCGGCGCTGAGAGTTGAAAGGGAGCAGTGGGAAAAGAAGGCATGGGGAGCTCCTGGGAAGAAGAGATGACACATCTTTGAAAGGATCACCTTCCAAAAGGAAGGCAACATGCTGGAAGGCAGAGAGAAAGGGACCTGAGGCTCTGAGGGCCCACAGAGACTTGGGTTCTGTGGTGAGGAGACCTCCATCAAGCCGACAGCAGTGAGACAAACCTGGGACCCAGCCAGTACCCGCTCCAAGAAATCCGACTTCTTCAGAAAACAATGAAAAGGTTATGTAAGAAAACCCCAGCCAGGTGCAATGGCGTGTGCCTATAATCCCAGCACTTTGGGAGGCCGAGGCAGGAGAACCGCTTGAGCCCAGCCTGGAGTTTGAGACCAGCCTGGGCAACACAGCAAGGCCTTGTCTCTACTAAAAAAAAAAAAAAAAATAGCTGGGCACAGTGGCATGTGCCTGTTGTCCCAGCTACTCAGGAGGCTGAGGTGGGAGTATCGCTTGAGCCCAGGAGGCCAAGGCGCGCAGTAAGCCAAGGTCCTGTACAATTGTGCTCCAGCCTGGGCAACAGATTCTGTCTCTAAAACAAACAAAAACAAAATCCTGACCCAAAACAGCAGAACTTCCTTACAGATGGAGAAAAGCCACTTAGAAAAATTTTTATCACAAAGTAGATAAAAGTTATACTCTAATATTCACAGATTTTTTGAATATGAGGATTCAGAGATAGCCAGGCAGAAAGGAGAGCTAGGATTGGGAACTTGTAGAACTCAGGAGTGAAACAAGGAAAAGAAAATTATTTTCTAAGCAAAGCCTAAACCTCAAGGAACACACTAGAGAGTAGGAACCACAAGAACGGCACGAAGGTGGATGTGGGGAGTGAGCAGAGTGCAGCTGAAAGAACCTGGGAAAGAGAGAAAGAAGGAATGTAGGAAAGAAAGAGAAGGATGCGAGTGACGCCTTGGGCAGGGGCTGCTGAGGAGAGGCACTGTGCATTCAAGCAGGCCAGAGGATGGTTCAGCGGGGCTGAGTCACATTGGGCGACGTCGTAAGTAGGATTACTGGACGCAACCAAGAATCCTGTAGATACCCAGGCAAAAAAACAAAACAAAAAGCCTAAATTGCTTCTAAGGGGAGAAATAGGGCCAAGTGGAGGCTGTTCACAGCAGGACCCAGTGCTCGGGACAGGGTGGGCTCCTCAGAACGAGCCAGGGGTGTCTATCCAGGCATGTGGCTCTCTGGGTGTAACAGCTACAGAGATGCAGGTTGGAGCATAGAGAATTAAAGGAACATGTCCTTCCTGAGTCAGCTGCTGAGAGATGAGCTCCAGGCCTCCAGCAGAATCAGGTGAAGCTCCAGCAACAAGTTGGGCAGTGGCAGCTGCCGGGGGTGAGTGTGCCAGAAGGAGTGATGCGTACTCAGAATGTTGCCCCCACCAGAAGGGGCAGTGGGAGGAGCAGGGAGAAAGGAGGGTAAGTTCACCCCCAACACCGGCGAGCCAGAGCCGCTGAGTCAGGTGGGAGCAGAAGCTGAGGTGTGTTCAGGAGCAAAGGAGAGCATGAAGATAATGCTACTGATGAGAGCTGGGCTCTAGGGGCGGTTGAGGGAGGGGGTCCAGGCTGATTTCAGTGTGCACAAGCAGGGACATGTAATGTCCGGGACATTACATGTGGGCATGCAGGCTGACGGGTCACATAAAGGGCCGCCAACAGGACAGGACGGAGTCCCCAACAGCAGGAAATCAAGCAGCTCCTCTGCCTCACAGTGAAAGGCTGAAAGCCCATAGAAACAAGCAAGACATGAATGTGTTCTGACTGTGGCCAGCATATCTGGAAAGAGGAAAATGGGCTCGCTTACTTTTTAAAGGACTTCCAGATTGGATCATAAAACCGAATTCTCTGCAGCATGCAAGGAACAAAGAGATTCTGGAAGGTTAAAAATAAAATTGTGGGCAGGCCGGGTGCAGTGGCTCATGCCAGTAATCCCAGCACTTTGGGAGGCTGAGGCGGGTGGATTGCTTGAGCTCTGGAGTTCGAGACCAGCCTGGGCAACATAGGGAGACCCTGTCTCAATTAAAAAAAAATTGTGGCCAAAGGTATGCCAAGGTGAAGTCGAAGAAAGGAGTTGTTCTCAGACAAGGCAGAATTCAGGCCCTACCACTTTCAGTGACACAGAAGAAGGCTTTTTTGACACCAGAGCCACCACTGGGGATGAGATGCACCCTAAATTTAGGGCCTTCCCACTGGCCTATGGGATCCAGGAGAAAGGCCAGTGAATACAGCTGACGGTGAGTTCACCTCTTAATTGAAGGCAGAGATCCTGGACAGATGATGAGCATGAATTCAGCACTGTCGAAAAGAAGGACAGAATACACTGGAGGAAGTGTTTAGAGACCAAGCAGAGACTTAGAGAACAGAAACAATAGAAATAAATAAATCTCTTCTTACGAGCCCACAATAGTGCCGTGTACTTTTCAGAGGCACATGTACTGAGGCGTGAGGTCCGAGCCAGGGCGTGGACCTGTATGTGAACATGGGAGGAGGGGACCTGGGACCTGTGAGGGTGTGTGCCAGCCGGTGGGGTGCACCTGAAAAGCATGGAGAGCAGTTCCTTGTGACCGAGTGGGGTTTACCCCAGGACTGCAAGGAGGGCTTAACAACCCTATCAGGTAAAGGAGGAAAACAAATCCAGAGTCATTTTCATGAACACCAGAAAATCATTTGAGAAAATTCAAACCTATTCCTGATGAAAACTTCCCAAGAAACCAGGACTACAAGTATGCTTAGCTTGCTAAAAGACATCAGCGGCTGCCAGCTGATGCTCAGTGAGCCAGACACTTGTGGCCGGTTCAGAAATAAGGCAGGACGCTCACGCCGCTCCTGTACCCCCAAGGCTGCGGGTGCTGGGTGATGCAGGCAGGGCAGAAACAGCAGAGCAGCAAGAGGCAAACAGTGTCTCTCGGAGAATGTGACGGCTGTGTTTGGTGATGGCCTTATGTGAACTGTAGTGACAACAGTGAGAGGCCAGGTCCACAGGTTTTCCCCTGCCCTCCTCATGTATGCAGAGCCACAAAGAGCATTGATGCGTGTATTGAATGGAGCAGGCTTCTGTGGAAAGTTCGGCAGTGTCACTGACGGACACAAGAGATGATATGGATGAGTGGCGGTACAGGCTATGTCTCAGCTGGGAAAGGAGAGGCTGTGAGGGTGGAAATCTTCCCCAGTGCAAGCTCGTTGTAGGTGCGATAAAAATAGCAAAAACGTTTAAATATACCTGGACAGGCAATTTCAAAGTCCATGTAGAAGGAAAGATCTGCAGGTCTAGCCAGTGCTTTATCTTGAAGCCTTACTGTGGGAAGGGTGGGCGTGTCCTGGGGGTGACAGTGTTCCCCATGGCATTCCTGTGACTCCAGCGGGGCCCAAACCCAGGCGGATGGCCAGGGGGAGTGGGGCCAAAGCCAGGGCCGGGCAGCCCACGTACCACGCACTGATGCCTCCCCTCACACCACTTATAAAGGCCAATTCCAGATGGATTGAACAGCTAGGAGTGGGGGAGATGCATTTTATAATCTGTGTGGTGGGAAAAGCTGCATGCAACTACTCAGCAAACCGAAAACGCATGAAGCAAAAGGGTAAAATAGTTGCATAAGGCGGAGGCAGCTTTGTGAGAAAAGACATTGTGCACGGAAGATTCCATTGGGAGCTGGGAAGCTATGGGAAAGTTTTTGACACATTTTTTTTTCTTTTTGGAGACGGAGTCTCACTCTGTCGCCTAGGCTGGAGTTCAGTGGCACAATCTCAGCTCACTGCACCCTCTGCCTCACAGGTTCAAGCCATTCTCCTGCCTCAGCCTCCCGAGTAACTGGGATTACCGGTGCCCACCACCATAGCTGGATAATTTTTTGTATTTTTATTAGAGACAGTTTCACCATGTTGGCCAGGCTGGTTTCGAACTCCTGGCCTCAAGTGATCCTTGGCCTCCCAAAGTACTGGGATTATAGGTGTGAGCCACCGCGCCCGGCCGACATATTGTTATAAAGGGGTCTGATGTTTGGAATATCTAGGGAACATCTGTAAGTCAGTTAAGATAAATAAAACAGGGTCAAGACATGGCGGGCAACCCACAGATGAAAACTGGCCCGATAAGAAGGAAGTGGCACTGGGCCCCGCTGGTAATGGTAGGAATGTAGGTTAGACACGGTGCTGCCAGGCGTCAGAGGCTGGGTTGTCCTGTTGGCATTGGTGGCATGTCCCATGTGCATGCCCCGTGCTGTCCTCGTCCCCAGGGCCCTGCAGAAGTGGTGTGCATGCCAACGTGCACATCAGCACCGCGGCTCAGCGCGTCATGACAAAGCATCTGCAGAGGGCAGATGAGCACCCCCACTTCTGTGTTGAAGAGTGGCACTCTGGGTTGATTAGTGCATTTTATTATTGTGAAAAGCATCTTGCAGAGAACCACATTCTGGTACCATTTCTGGTTTTAAAGGGTGGCCTGTGTGGGTATGTAGAAAGGACACGGGGCCAGCGGTCCCAGACAGGGGCACCCTGGGAGATTGCACCAGGGCTGGGTGCGTGGGCAGTTGTGTCAGAGGCCGCGTGTGAATAGTGACTCCGAAGCCTGCCGCTTCCTGGGACCATGTTTATCCCAGTGTTTATCCCTGTTCACACACGTGGTTTTGTTTGAACACGTGACTGTTACGCTTTATGTGGCCTTTTGATTTCTCCCCACGCGGTTGTGCGGTGGATCTGGCGGCTCCTCAGGTGGAGGCCGGGGCCGTCCATTCCCTGCTGCTGGGTGGAGATGTTGTCTCCAGTTCCTGCCTTTGGCCTCCAGGCACCTGGATTTGAGTGGGTCAGTTCTAGGCCACATCGTGCTTGCATTTGTGATTCCCGTGGCCCTTATCAGGTTGCTGCCTCGAAAGCCTTCCTGCCGGCCCTGCAGCCACCCCTCATCTCAGCCAACGCCACATCAGCGCCATGGGTGCAAAGTCAGAGCTCACTGTCACTCGGATCTGCATTTCTCCACCTCTGCCTGGATTTGCTCTTTGGGAATTGTTTCTTTGCATCCTTTGCTGGTTTTCGGTTGGGTGAGTCTTTTTTTTTTTTGAGACGGAGTTTTGCTTTTGTTGCCCAGGCTGGAGTGCAGTGGCGCGATCTCCACTCTCTGTAACCTCCGCCTCCCGGGTTCAAGTGATTCTCCTGCCTCAGCCTCCCGAGTAGCTGAGATTACAGGCAGCCACCACCACGCCCAGCTAATTTTTTTTGTATTTTTAGTAGAGATGGGGGTTCACCATGTTGGCTAGTCTGGTCTCAAATTCCTGACCTCAGGTGATCTGCCTGCTTCAGCCTCCCAAAGTGCTGGGATTACAGGCGTGAGCCACTGCGCCCAGCCAGGGTGAGTCTTGTTCTTGTCCTTGAGTGCCACTTGGCTAGGCTGTTGCTGCTGACCTTAGCTCCCTTGTTTGCCATCATGGAGGATGCTGGGAGCTCCAGCTCCCTGTCCTGTCCTCCCCGGCGCTCACTAAGGCTCGGTCCTCTCCACGTGGTCCTGACCTGTCCTCTGTGAGCAAGAGAAACAGGACTGGTTTGGGGGTGTCCTGTCTCAGTGGACACAGGACACCACGGTTTTCAGTACAACAAGGAACACAACTTGTTCAATGTGCTTTATGATGGTGAAAATTCCCTTTAAAAATAACATGCGATTGCTAACACTTGACCGAATATATCACTTGACCTTACAGGACCGTATAATAGACGCTGGCCCCAAAGGAAACTACTCTCGATTTATGAATCACAGCTGCCAGCCCAACTGTGAGACCCTCAAGTGGACAGTGAATGGGGACACTCGTGTGGGCCTGTTTGCCGTCTGTGACATTCCTGCAGGTACAAGCTCTGGGGACCCTGCATGGGGCTCCTGGCTATGGGGGCAGAGTGGCCATCGCTGAGGGCTGCGTGGGGCTGGACTGGAAAGGCTCTGGGGGAGGTGGGTGCTGATGTGGAGTCTCTTTTGGTTTGAATATCTCTTTTACCAAGCAAAATTGAAAGGCCATGGGTCAAGCCAGTACAGATACAAAAATAATAAGAGTATTTTTGTTGACCTAATACACGCCCCTTAGCTTTTGAAGAGAAAGGCAGGTGTTTCCAATTTGGTGTCTGTCTCCTCTTCTCCCAGGGACGGAGCTGACTTTTAACTACAACCTCGATTGTCTGGGCAATGAAAAAACGGTCTGCCGGTGTGGAGCCTCCAATTGCAGTGGATTCCTCGGGGATAGACCAAAGGTAAGGCTGTGGCGCCCTCCTTCCCCCCAGGCTCTGTGTTGGCATTTTGCACTCCTGGAGACCTGTGTCCCCCGTGAACAGCGGCTTCCTCCAGGCTGGCTTGTTGCCGGGACAGGTGGGAGCAAGTTCCCTGCTGTGGGCTGGGGAGGATGGCTCTCAACAAAGGCCAGTGGTTAAGAGTTCCTCACTGAACGTGTTTCCTGGGGCTGCCAGAACAATGCCTCACAGACGCGTGGTTTCGCAGTTCTGGGTGTGGGCAGGGCCGTGCGCCCTCTGAAGGTTCCTTGGGAGGCTCTTTCCCAGGCCTGTCTCCCGTTCCTGGTGGCGGCCACAGTCCTTGCTGCTCCTTGGCTTGTAGCAGCACCGCCCAACCATTCTCCCTGCGAACATGACTGTTGACTTGCCCTTCTTATAAGAGCACTGGTCCTGTTGACTTAGCGCCTGCCCTGCTACCGTGTGACCCCATCTTAACAGATCTCATTGACAATGACCCTATTTCCAAATACAGTCACCTTCCAAGGTTCCAGGAAGGACAGAGATTTGGGGGGGCACTCTTGCACCCCTTCCCTGTGCTGTGTAGAACCTGGTCCTGAAAGCCTGGCGGTGGCACCAGCTCGGCCCTGAGCCGGTGTCTGTCCTCAGCCGTGTTGCTGAGGATGGTCACTGCCCTCAGGTCACTGCCGCCCACCTGTGCCCACGTTCCTGTGGAATTTCCTAATGAGGAGACCCTGGGTGGCGGGCGGGAGCTGTTCTGCCTGTGGTGGCCTCCTTTGCCAGTGGGTCCCATCAGCAGATCCTGGAGCTGTGTGTCTGCTGAGATGCTGCTGAGATGCGTCATTGCAGGCTTCCGACAAAGCTCACTCTAGTCGTAGTCTTTGTTCAGCTTTTTCACGCTGAGTCGAGTGAGTCTAAGGATGTCTGGGGAGCACGAGGAGGACACTCCTCTCCTCTCCTCTTAGTGTTGGGCACCTGCAGAGATCTCTGAAGTTCCTGGAGTGTAGCTCGCTCTTCTGCCCTATTTGCTTCAGCCTGTGTAATTCTTTCCGGTGATCTGTGCTTAATTCTTGACTCTAGACCTCGACGACCCTTTCATCAGAGGAAAAGGGCAAAAAGACCAAGAAGAAAACGAGGCGGCGCAGAGCAAAAGGGGAAGGGAAGAGGCAGTCAGAGGACGAGTGCTTCCGCTGCGGTGATGGCGGGCAGCTGGTGCTGTGTGACCGCAAGTTCTGCACCAAGGCCTACCACCTGTCCTGCCTGGGCCTTGGCAAGCGGCCCTTCGGTGGGTGTGCAGCCTCGCGGTGGCTTGCAGCTGTGTCTGTGTGGCAGGCTCCTGATGGCGGCTGCTGCCGCTCTTCCTGCTGACCGGGCCTCATCTGGGTGCAGGCACATCAGGCGCTCATGCAGCGAAGGCCCTGATCCAGGGTGGCAGAGCCTTTCTTTGTTCCACCAGCCGCACATTCTAGATCTCTGCATCGAGCAGAGAAGATATGTGGTGACGGGGTAGCCCCTGGAACCTCCAGGAGGGATTCAGGCAGCCCAAGGCCCAGCTGCAGAATTGGGGCCCTCATCCATGCTGTGGGGGCGGGGCGGCCAGGAAGGAGGCGACGCTGGGAACTAAAGCCCCTCCTAGGAGAAAGGCCTCTACAACAGTGTCTCCCTGGCAGCCCAGAGGGGCCTGGCCTGGCTGCACTACAGTGGGAATGGAGGGGCCCAGAGCCCCTGTCCTGGATGTGCAGGGCAGGCTGTCCCCAGAGATGGTGCTGTGCACCAGGAGGCTCCGCCGGTTGACGAAGGAGCTGCAGCTCTGGCTCTGTTTGAGGGAAAGTAGAGTGGGCTCCACCTTCCAGCACCCGCATTTCAGAGATGACAGGCGCCAGTGGGAAAACAGTAGCGTCTTGTTCCACTTGGTGATGAGACAGTCTGAGAAATGGGTCGTGAGATGACTCTGGCGGTGCGCAGACATCATGGCTCACACCTAAGGGTGCAGCCACCTCCGTTACAATCTTGCAGTGTGTCGCCATGAGGCTCTTGACTGTGTGGAATCACAGAAGAAAAATTAAATGGCCCTTACCCAAAACAAGAAACCCAAAAGAGGCCAGGTGCGGGGGCTCATGCCTGTAATCCCAGTACTTTGGGAGGCCAAGGTGAGCAGATCACCTGAGGTCAGGAGTTCGAGACCAGTCTGACCAACATGGTGAAACCCCGTCTCTACTAAAAATACAAAAATTAGACTGGTGTGGTGGCATGCACCTGTAATCCCAGCTATTCGGGAGGCTGAGGCAGGAGAAATGCTTGAACCCGGGAGGCGGAGGTTGCAGTGAGCCAAGATTGCAGAAAGCTGAGATAGCACCATTGCACTCCAGCCTGGGCGACAGAGCAAGACTCCACTCAAAAAAAAAAAAAACCAAACAAACAAAAAACAAAACTATAAAAAGAAAATCCAGGCCAGGCACGGTGGCTCATGCCTCTAATCCCAGCACTTCTGAGAGGCCAAGGTGGATGGATCACTTGAGGTCAGGAATTCGAGAGCAGCCTGGCCAACATGGTGAAACCTCATCTCTACTGAACATAGAAAAATTAGCTGGTCGTGGTGGCGGGCGCCTGTAATCCTGGCTACTCGGAAGGGTGAGGCAGCAGAATCACTTGAACCCAAGAGACGGAGGCTGCAGTGAGCCAAGATTGCGCCACTGCTCTCCAGCCTGGGCGACAGAGCTAGACTCCATCTCAAAAAAAAAAGAATTCAGATATTTGTGTAAAAACATTTTTGTACGGTAAAGATGACACACGATAGAGAAAAGTGTTGGCCATGGGTGCGAGAGGGTGGTCCCTAACGTGACAGAGCTTTTACAGAGTCATGCCAGAAAGATGAATACCCAAGTTGAAAATCAGTCCCTTGGGAGAGGGCAGGTCACATGGAAATCAGCACAGCAGCCCCTGCCTGTCCACGCCGCGCTGGGGGACACTCCTGCACCCGGCACAGCTCCTCTCAGTTGCCGAAACATAAAGAGACGCTAACAGGTGGTCCTTAGGGGCCTGGCAGGTACTGTGGAGTCAACAGGCCCTGCCAGGGAGCCCGCCCGGGCTGTGGTAGACAGTTTGTCTGCCCGTCCTGTTCGCTGGAGCCAGCACTATTTTGTGTTCATTTGACCTGACAGTTGTAAGTCATCTTCAACCACGATAATGTTGAAGTCGTGATTCCATCACTTCTGTGTGCTCACATCTTGTGTTCTGTTGCAGGGAAGTGGGAATGTCCTTGGCATCATTGTGACGTGTGTGGCAAACCTTCGACTTCATTTTGCCACCTCTGCCCCAATTCGTTCTGTAAGGAGCACCAGGACGGGACAGCCTTCAGCTGCACCCCGGACGGGCGGTCCTACTGCTGTGAGCATGACTTAGGGGCGGCATCGGTCAGAAGCACCAAGACTGAGAAGCCCCCCCCAGAGCCAGGGAAGCCGAAGGGGAAGAGGCGGCGGCGGAGGGGCTGGCGGAGAGTCACAGAGGGCAAATAGCGCCAGGCGGCCGCTTGGCCGGATCCAGGGGCGGTGCAGGGCGGCCGGCCCTGCCTGCGGGAGAGGGCGAGCATGAACTGGCCCGGAGGACCCAGCTCGAGCCGCCAGGACACAGACGTACAGGCCTCCTCGGGAGGGAGCGCCTCCCCACCACTGAGCCATCCTCAGCAGCGTCCGCTGCGTCTGCACTGATGACCGTCTGAGCCCAGCTCAGCGTTCCTGGACAAACAGCCTCACTCCTCAGCGTTACCGCCACACTTGAATTTCTCCGAATGTCAAGGTTCCCTCCCACTCTATTTTTTTAGGTTAAAGTTAATTGGCATATGGAATGTTTTAATCTCCTCTGAAATGTGTAGCGTAGGCTTTTCCCAAGGGTCGCTAGAAACTCGTCTTCGCGTTGCCCCCTTTCTGGCTCTCAGCGCCGTCGCCACTCGGGAGAGGCTGGGTGAGGCCCGTGTGAGGACTGACCCTGGATTCCTCGAAACTGCCATTGTGATCATTACTCTGCTCTTTGGAAATGGCTGTATCATTTTTTTGTACTAATGTGAATTGTTCCTCAGAAACGCTTCTTTTCCATCCTAGTGAGAAGCTGGCCCTGCAGGTGGTGGCAGCAATGGTGTTGTAAGATTTCCTCCCGTAGTTTTTTCTCCTCATGGATTTGAATGAAATGCCAATAACACGTCCACTTTCAACGTGTAGTTTACGCGGAGCACTTTCGAGGCCTGGCCGGGTTGGGCCTACTTCTCACCTGGGCCTATCTTCTGAACTCGCTAGGTTCTTATCAACATTTGGGGGATAACTTTGTATATTTTTTTCATTTGGCTTTTCTTTACCAGTTTCTGATTTTTATTCTCAATATATTTTTGCTAAACCTATTTCACAAATCACCACCGACTGAAGTGTGTGTTTACTGATGCGGCCCTGAGCTCCATGGCGAAAGGAGTGACTTTGCAGGGCGTGAGACCGCAGTCTGCTTAGAGCACAGGAAGTGACAACTTAGGGAGCCCCGTAGGGCGCTGCAGGCCCCGGGGACCCCAGCACGTGGGTCTAAAGAGAGACGGAGTCTAGCTCTCCTGCCACCCAGAGTGGCTTCCATCTCAGCACTCTGTGGGTCTGGTGATGGAAGATGCAGTCTCTGCTGATCACATGTGCCCTCTGCCAGGGCACCTACTGAGAGGTGCGGTCCTGGGGGTGGAGGCCTGCCTGGCAGGTGTGCGTGCCTCGTACGTGTGTTATGGGCACTGGTCTAGGCCAGGTATGACACCCACTCTCCTGTGAGATTTCACTTTAGTTTTTAAAAGGTCCAGTTCTACAGAGTGAGACCTATCTATCTGAGTACTACATATGTTTTAAGACTTGGTTCTTTTTTTGAGGGATCCTTGACCCTGGGAAGTCTGGAGCACCCTGAGAAGGGGGCACCATGTGTGCCTTTGCCCACGTGTCCTGAGGGGCTGCTTGTCTGGGAGGGAGGGAGAGAACATTCAGCAGCAGGTGCTTTTTTATGGCCTTTTCTTAAAATAACCTAAGGGGGACACATCCATCTTGCAGAGAAGTTTACAGAACTCCCCTTGAAAACTGCTGCTGAGGCTCCTGTTAAATTTTCTGTGGCATCTTTTATGCCTTGGTAAAAACTGCAGTGTCTTTGGACCTGAGAGTGGCTACTCCGTGGTTTTGTGACCTGTAAGCGTGGGGTTCAGGGGTGTGTGGCCCTGCAGGGTCCCACGCCTCCCTGAGCACTGACTGGAAGTTTCACTGGCTGGTGGCTGTCCCTTCTCCCATCAGGGTCCCCAGCAAAGTTAACTACACAGAGGACCCAGGGGAAACGAGCTGTGTAGCCACTGACTTGCTCGCGCGGCCGTGGCCTCTGAGGGGCACTCGCCGGTTAAGACAGGGTGGGAGTAGTGCTTTCCAGTTCAGACTCTAACTTCTCCCAAAGTGTCCTAAGAAAATACTGGATCGGCTCATAGATTTATGCTCCTTATGATGCCCTAACTTGGAAGGTTGTTCTAGGGACAGGCCGGGCAGTGTCCCCACACACACCTTAGAGTCGAAGGCCCCAGGGCCCCGCTGTCACTTGCCCAAAAGATCCCTTCCGGCAGGTAAGGGACTACCAATGCTTACGTCAAAACAGCAGAATCGGCTTTGCAGTGCACTTTGGGGAGCAGATATTAACTTATTTTTGTGTTGGACAGTAGTGAAATCTTGTGATTTTTAATCGCTTTGATAATACTTCCAAATTTTATGATTTTTCTGAAGGAAATAATGCAAACATTTTAAATATGTTTCTCCCCCTTTCCAAAAACTGTTAAACTAATGAGCAAGTAACACTAACTTTGAATGTCTCTACAATACCCGTTGATAACTCAGTGGAGCCAGGCTTTGGGGTAGCGGCCCTGAGCTTGCAGGGTTTCTCGCCACTGGGGCTGACCACGCCCCCAGCTGTGACCGTGGGTGTGGCTGGCTCTCGGCCCTGCCCAGCTTTGTTCTGAGGACGTGGTGACTTCCTGAACATCAGCTTCAATCCTCCATCATTAATGTGAAGCAAAACACAAAAACCGCCCCAATCCCTCAGGATTCCTTGGCATCCGAAACCAGCATCTGCACCTAAACCCATACCCACCCGTGTGCGCCCACAGGGGGATGTGTCCGAATGGGCAGCTTAAAATGTGGTCACCTGTGGGGGAAACTCTTCAGGCACCTGAAGTGAGAACCCAGCTGTCCGTCCTCAGGCCGGCCTTTCTTCCGGCGACACCCGTCCATGGCTGGCTGGGTCCCCTTCGCAGTGTTTGTCTGTCTTGACATCTAAACCCCGGCGTGTGCAGTGCCCATCTTCCAGGACTACCTTATTTTCCAGAATTAAACCTGTTTTATAATTCAAGTTAATGCAAATGACTGTCAGTTGCCAAATATCTTGATCCTATGAGTGTAGTTGATGACTGTTTGTTAGTCAGTAGAGTAAAATGCTGTGTCCACGGGGTGTCACAGCCTCACCATACCCTGTTGAGGTGTGAAATGCCCCGTCAGAAATTAAATACAAACTTAAATGTGCCTATTGGTGTCTAAACTTCATACAATGTAAGGTCAGATTCCTTTTAGGAATACTGGGTGCTGTCACCAGGTTTGATAGTTAGACTTAAAAACTTGAAATTCACTTTTTGGGGGGAGGGATATACTGAAATAGAGAGTTGAGACTTGCCAGTTGGGGGAAAATAGCATTTAAAATGGAAAGCTGTGTTTGGAAAATTGTGTATGAGTATTTTTGTATTAAAAACATTTTAAAGGCTTTTTTCTTAACTTATTTTATATGGGATTGTTTGATTTTTTTTCCAGTTACTTTGAATTGCAAAGCATCGGGTGTGGCACTGATGCCTCCGATGGGTGGGGCTCCCTGTCCTGACTGTGTCATTTTGCCTTTGACCTGACCCGCTGGGGAGAGGCAGTGCCACCTTGGGAAGTATAACAACAAATACTGGAAATAGCAGGCATAACTGACTGACTTTGGAAAAATGCTTTCTTCTTCTTTCAGAAATAATTTGCTTCCCAAATTCCCATTAAGGGTGAAATGGTCTAGAGAGAAGGAAGCACTGCTGTCCCCCAGCCCTGCAGTCGGCTGAGCCGGGTGGTCCCCAGGCCCACAGCCAAGTAAGTCAAGGGAGTACCCCGAGGGCTGATCCTACCTGTTCCCCACCCTGTGGGCCAGGGTGTCCTAGGAAGCCCCCAGCCCTGGCCCACCCCGTCCTGATGGCCGCCTAGGGAGGGACTGGGTCCCCGGAGCAGGGAGGACAAGCTGGCCCCAAACACAGCTATGGTGGCTTTCTTTAGAAAAGCTCGACTTTAATGGTTCAGATAGTTTTACAATGAAAATAGGTACCCAAAGACTGTCTTAAATGTCCACAACTATACAAAAGATGAATACAAAACTCCCAGGCAGGCACAGGCAGGGGACAAGGCCCACCGTCTCCCACGCTCTGGTGTGGTCGGGTGTCCCTGCCGCACCCCCAGTACCACCGTGCCACCTTGGTCCCCTCAACCCTGGGGGTAGGAGGGCACTGCCCCAGCGAGGGAAAATAGAAAAGATTTTAAAAAGTAAGAGTCTAACAGGCAGAGCTGTCACTAAAATTAGGAAGTTGTAACTTTTTTGGTTAATTTACTTACTACATTCAAAAATGTAACGTTGAGTCCAAAAAGTGTCTTAAATCACACAAAAAAGAACCCATATTAAAATTTTAAAAATAAGCCCCAAATACCCCAGAGAAATGCATCCAGAACTTAAAACAGGCTGGGTCAGCAGCAGGGCGGCGGCCGGGGGACCTCGGGGGCCAGGTGTCCGCCATCCGGTTACTTTAAGCTGGCAAAGCCATCGTCCCGTGGACCCCCACAAGTGACGGCCAGCTGTGAGGCAGGTGGTTCTAGGACACATTGGTCATGGGCTTGTACTTCTTGAAGCGCGTCCACTGGCCCGTGGCATAGTTCATCTCAAACACTGTGTCCACCAGCATGGTTGTGCTACCCTGGCCGTCCGCCTTGGGCAGGTCCTCCGTGTGCTCGCTCAGCTTGATCTGGATCACGTCCCCCTGCTCCTGGCACGGGTTCTCTGCAGAGAGCAGGAGCTGCTGGGTGGGTGTCTGGGGGCACCCGCCCCCAACCCGGCCCGGTGCACCCCCAGGCCCTGCCTTATGAACATACCTCGGGAGCCGGCCATGAAGCCCAGGATGAGGGCCTTCTCGGGCCGCGTGACTTTGTTGGCCGTCTTGAACATCTCCTGGGCAGCGAACATCTGCTCTCTCTACAGCGGGGAGAGGGGTGTGGGTGCCAGGGCCCCGCCAGGACCACCTCCTGCATCCCCCTGCAGGCACCGTGGCACCCCCACGCTAGGGGAGGTGGCCAGGGCCGTACCACCTACCTGGTGGCCTGTGGGCCCTACCAGTGTACACCTACCGTGAGGGACAGGTTCTTCTTAGGCTGCTGCTGAGCAGGGGCCTGGGTCTGCGGGGCCACCATGGCAACCGGGGGTGTCTGAGTGGTAGGGGCGACAGCCGGAGGTGTGGTGGGTGTCAGAGGCGAGGTGGGCGCCGCAGGCGTGGGTGTGGCAGGGCTCAGGCCGCTGTTGTACATGGGCGCCCGCTGCTTGAACTGCGCTGGCAACGTGGGGCTCGGGGCGCTGGGCTCCTCTGGTGGGCGGCTGGCTTCCCGGGAAGATGGGGCTGCAAGTAGACCGGGGCCTGGTGAGGGGGCTGGACCCCCACCCTGTTCCCAAACCCTAGTGCTCCTGGAGGTGACAGGCTCAGCTCCCCTTCTCTGTCCTGCTACCCTCTGACAAGAACTCCCTGTGGCCCCCAGCCAAGGCACAGGCCCCAGAAGCCCCAGCCAGAGGAACAAGGCCAGTGGTCTCAGGCCTTTCCAGACTCGCAGATAAGATGTCTGGACTCTGGCCAGCTGCTGGCCTGCAGCAGGTCCCCATACCGTAGGCACTGCTGGGAAGACAGGAAGGCTGTATCCTCAAGCCCCTTGGGCCCAGGACCTGGCCTGAGGTGCTGTGAGCCTGGCAGTGCCCTCCGTCTGGGAGGGGATGGCTCTCAGCTCCCCTCCCGCCTACCCAGCAACAAGAGCTGGGTCACCTGGCAGAAAACCCTTTCGAACCCAATCCCCTTCCTGCCGTGTCCCCTGGGGCCGCTGCCTGTCTGTGCCCAGGACGGGCAGGGTGGGGCAAAGCAGCTGGTTTATGTCTTGGAGCTCAAGCTGAACAGCGGGGCATCTGCCCCCAGCAGATTCTGGCTGAGGCAGAAGGGGGACAACAGAGATGCAGGAGTGAGAACCGCAGCCCTGGCAGCGCCCGTGGGCAAGGTCATGTCCTGGCAGGCAGCTTGGCTGGTTCCAGGCTGGGGCCAGCAGACTCACCTGGGGGCGTCTCGGAGCTGGGGATGTAGGAGGAGGCGGGAACCACGCTGGGCGTGGAGGGAAGGTAGCTCGTGGAGGGCAGCGCAGGCTCATTGTTCAGGGACCCAAGTTTCTGGAACACAGAGTTTAAGGTTCCTTCCAGAAGAGGCCATGCTTCCGGCATGTGCTAACACATGGCCCGACCCGGAGCTCCACTGCCACAGGCTGTGGCCCCCCGAGCTAGAGCAGGAAGGCGGGGGCCACTCTCCCGAGCTCCCTGGGCTAGACAACGGGACCCCTGGCCCCTGGCGCCCCAGCAGAGTTGGGGACTGAGCCGCTCCTGTGTAGGAGAGGGGAGGGGTTGAGGAGCCCAAACAGCCCATCTTGAGCACAGAAGGAGCGATGCTTTTTCTTACCACGAAGCGTTGATATAAAGGAAGATGCTCATGTTAAGAAACACAGAACACGCAGCGGCGGGAAGAAAGGAGCTTATTATCCTGAAGTGACCCCACAGTGTGGCCTCCTCCAGGCCCTGGCCTCAGACGACCCACTGCAGCCTCTGTGCACCTGCCGCGCCCCGTGGCTGCCTCCCACCCGCAGGCAGGGCCTGGTCTCCGGGACACTGAGGCCTCTGACCACCCAGCACCCCCACAGGCCTGTCCTGCACCCATTCACGGCCACGTGCAAGGCTTAGGTCCCACCAGCCCTGCCTGACGGGACACTGAGGCACAGGGTTGAGGAGGACTCCCCTGGCAGCCCCTCCAGCAAGCGTGGGGCAGGTTCCCGCTCCAAGCCTGAGTCAGATGCCCATGTCAGGGCACGGCCCACACTGCCTCTCATGTACATATACGTATATATACATAAATACAGACTGCACACATATGTACATACATATATATATTCTCCGACAGAGCACACTAGTGGCCACAATCGGAACAAAAGGGGCACCCGCAGTGGTGCCAGACATGGGGTGCAGCCCCGAGCCCTACCTGCGTGGACACCAGGCCGGCTGCGTAGTCCGGGGTGGCGTTCTCCACCACCGTTTCCTCCTTGGCCGGCTTCTCCACCACCTCCGCATCTGTGGACAAAACAGGAGTCCTCGCCAGTGCCCGGGCGCGTCTGCAGTGTCAGCTCAGGGCAGCGGCAGGGAATCAAACAGCTTCCCAGGGGAGGCCACCAAGGAGCGAGGAGAAAAGCAGGCACCCACCCACGGAGAGCAGCCTCACGGGGCACAGCCCTGCCCGCCGAGCGTGGGCACAACCCACCCCAACTGGGCAGGGCCCGCAGGGACCCCCATTGCCGCCGACACGCAGGCCCCAACCCCCACCGAGAGTCTTCCTTCTCCGCTTCGCCTCTCGGCCAGCGCCAACCATATCCAGCTCAGAGATGTCCAGCAGCTGCCAAGACAAGCACAGCCCTGCCTTAGTGACGGCACCAGGGCGCAACGGGCCCCGGGGTGCCACAGGAGCTGGGGGACGGGCCTACCTTCACACCTCGTTCCTTCCGCAGCAGCGTCCTGGAAGGCGGGATGGGGGTCCGGTTCCCTGTGGGGCTGAAGACGCTGGGCGCCGTGGGGCTTCTGAAGGGCGCCTGCTTCGGGATGCCTTTGAGTGGGGCTGGAGGACGGCAACAGTCAGGGCGCCAGCAGCAGTGACCGGCAAACGTCCCCCACCCCGAGCTCAGAACGTCCCACCCTCTTCTAGGCTAGCGCCGCAGAGGGGAAGGGCCAAACCCCTGGCGGGCAGCGGGCAGGACCCCCAGGATCCCGGACCTCAAGGAGCAGGGGAACGCCTGGAGCCACGACCTCACACTTTGCCAAGACACCAAACAAAGACAGCGGCACCCCAGCCCAGCCACAGGATCTCACCAGGTGGAGTCTCTCACCAGTGTGGCGGGGGCTGAGCTCTGCCTCCTTCCTGTGCCTCCACCGGCAGGGGCATGAAGCCAGGCGCCTGGGCTTGAGGGCCGCCCTCCCAAGCCTTCTCCCCGTCCCCTGAGGACACTCCTGAGGCCTACCTACGCTGTTACCCACCAGCGCCCACACGCACCCTCCAAGGCGTGCGTGGCTCTCATGGTGCCAGGCCCGGAGAGAGGACGCCCGGGGGATGGTGCCATCAGCACACCGGGCCAGGCTGGACACACTGCTCAACGGCTGGCCCACCCTCCCTGGGCCAGCAGGTGCAGCCCTGGCCCTGGGATGCCTGGTGGGGGTGGAAAGACAAGGGTCTGCTCCAGGCGGGGTAGAGGAGAGCAAGGTGGAACCTCGGCTGCGGTGGGCAGGAACATGACCCAGGGACGGCCCCCCACACAGCGACAATAGTCAGCAGACCCAAGATGCCTTCTACTAGGTCCCATGTGAACACTGTGGGATTATGGGAGCCCAAATAAACTAAGCCAGGCTGGTCTGGGAGCTGCATGGAGAGCGCCTGTAAGGCTGCCCTTTCAGCCCCACCCATCTGCAAGTTTACCCAGCTGTCTCAGCACAGGACGACACCCGTCCTGCCCTCTGGCCCCCAGGTCACTATCCAGCACCCTCTGGGGTGAGTATGCCCTGCCATGGTTCCCAGGGGCACGCCGTCTTCCTGTGATCAGGGTGCATCCTGCTTAAGCTCACGCCCAGCCCTGAGAGCACAAATCAGGAAGGGCAGATGGAGGGGTGCGGGGGGCACAGCCCCACGGGCAGCTGAGCACGGTCACGTCCTCCCCGCGGAGCCGCCCAGGGACACTCGGAACCCAAGAGCAGCACTTGGGGCCGAAAGCCCGAGCTGGGAAGGCCGAGAGCCACCGGTGCCAACAGCAGAGGAGCAGGGGCCAGCACTGTCCTCAGATCCCGGCCTTCCTGTCTCCATGCCCAGCGGTGTCCTCAGATCCCGGCCTTCCTGTCTCCGTGCCCAGCACTGTCCTCAGATCCCGGCCCTCCTGTCTCCGTGCCCACACATCCTCCCAGGGAGCTCCCCAAGGGGAGAAGCCGGTGAAATTGCCCCAGTGCCTTCGCTTTCCCACGGGCTCCCAACACTGCTGCCTGAAGACCATTCACAGGCACCACCTCCCCAACAGGGAGCGGGTCTCCAGGTGAAGCCCTTAGCTCTGCCCCAAAAGCAAGGCTCACGGCACCAGGGTGGGGGCCTTACTGGTGGTGTCCATCTTCCGCAGCAGCCCCCGGCCCTTGGCGTGGAAGGGCACCCCGGCGCTCCGCTTCAACTGCTGGGCGGTCTCCGTGGCTGGAAGGAAGAGGTCACATATGTCAGGGATCCTCAGAGCGAGAGCCCTTGGCCCTTGTAAAAACATCTCTGTCAAGTGGATTCATCCGACGGCCTGAGCCGTGAACGCTGCATTCTCTCTAAATGAGCAGCTGTTCCGAGCCGGGCCTGACACCAGCTCGCACTTTACAACGAGTCAGAAACTCACTCAGGTGAGCAAGTTTCGGGAGCTGGGTGGCTGTGGCTGCACCTCCCAGGACCCCATGGCAGGGGGGAGGCAGCCGAGGAGGAGCTGAGGGACCTCATGAGCCCTCTCCATCGACCCGGGCCTCCCCCTGGCCCAGTGGTAGCACCGTCCTCGCTGAGGGTCAGCAGGCACGGTCTAGATACAAAAATATGAGGAAGAAACAAACGAAGAGATATTCCTGACTTGGTTCAGTGTGGCTGAAGGGTCAGGGGACACCGAGTGCCCAAAGCAGACCCTGTGGCCACTGCTGGCCTCCAAAGGGGGTGGGGCCCAAGGGGCCAGCAGAGTCCTTCCTGGGCTACCCAGTGGGCCCGGGGCTGCACGGAGCCTCCCGGACAGCGCTGGGCCCTGGCTGCTGCCCGTTCCAGCCAAGATCCATGCACAGCTGCTGTCAGCCTTTTATTTGGATTCTCTGGAAACGGGGTATTGATGTACATTATAAATATTAATTCCATAACCATTCAAAATAAAACGATGTTATTGAAATCTTTGTCGTGCTTTGGGAAAACGTTAACTGAAATGATTAAATATCTTTCAAGTGGAATTGAGATCACCCGCCACTCCAGAAGGCAGCAACGTGAGAGTAAGGAACGTGCCCCTCCAGCCATTCACCCTGGCACCCACCGTGCCCAACAGCGTGACTCAGCTGGCACAGAGTTCATTTGGTCACAGAGATTAGAGATGCCTTCACCTAAAATTCTGAAGTTGGTGGGTTTTTTTTTTTTTTTTGAGATGTTGTTTCGCTCTTGTTGCCCAGGCTGGAGTGCAGTGGGGCAATCTTGGCTCACTGCAACCTCCGCCTCCCAGGTTCAAGTGATTCTCTTGCCTCAGCCTCCCAAGCAACTGGGATTACAGGCATGCACCACCACAGCCAGCTAATTTTTGTATTTTTAGTAGAGACGGGGTTTCACCATGTGGGCCAGGCTGGTCTCGATCTCCTGACCTCAGGTGATCTGCTGGCCTCAGCCTCCCAAAGTGCTGGGTTTACAGGTGTGAGCCACCATGCCCAGCCTAAATTCTGAAGTTTTTAAAGCATGTTTTCAGAACATAAAGTTTAATATAGTGATAAACTTCTAACAAAAAACTTTATGCAGAACTTTATCTTCTTTTTCTTGAGACAGGGTCTCACTCTCTCCCAGGCTGGAGTGTAGTGGTGTGATCACAGCTCACTGCAGCCTCAACCTCGTGGGCTCAGGTGATCCTCCTACCTCAGCCTTCCGAGTAGCTGGGAGCACAGGCACGCACCACCATGCCCGGCTAATGTTTTGGTACTTTTGGTAGAGATGGGGTTTCTTGGCTGGTCTCAAACTCCTGGGCTCAAACGACCCACCTGCCCCAGCCTCCCAACAGGTGTGAGCCACCATGCCTGGCCCAGAACGCCACCTTGAAGGGGCAGTCTTGGTACCTTAGAACCTAAGAAACCTATGACTGGAAACTACAAAGACAATGCCCGATGGCGGCCGCGGCCACTCACACTTCTGCAGCAGCTCCGCCCGCAGCGTGGCGCTCTTGGGTTTCCGCTTTAACTGAAAATGCTTCACCGGGGGAGTGAGGGGTCCCGCGAGGGTCGTCAGGGCGTTTTTGTTCAAGTACTGGCACTCCAGTGGCAGCATGGCAGACGCTTCACACTCACCCACTGCCGGTAAGAACCACATGAAGTTAGGGGCGCCCAGGCCGCAGACCTCCCGGCTGAGAGGAGCTGGCGGCTGCCCAGCCCCACACCCTCCTCAGTTAGGGTTAGGTCATGGGAGCTTCGGCTGTCCCCTGAGGTCCTCGAGACTGACTCCCCACGGCTCCAGCAGAACACCCAGGAGCATTTGCAGAACAGGAATGCCTGAGAGGCGGGCATGCCTTGAGAGGGCTGTAAACTGGAAACCTCTGGCACCGCGGACACCAAGAACCACAGGCGGACATAGATACAGTGATTCCTGGAGGGCTCCAGACACTTGTAGAACATGAAATGTTAACAGATCCCACCCCCACGTAAGAAGGACCCCCGATCTGTGGCTTCTCTCTTCCCGTCCCCGAGGGTAGCCAGGCTGGTGGTCTCTCCTGGAACCCTGGCCCTCATCCAAACTGCCCACATCCATTTCCTCAGCCTGTGTGCTCACCCACGGTTCAGATCCCAGAAACTGCCCCACGAGGGACAGGCGACCTCCCACCTGAACTGGCTACGTGCCCCACCTGGAGAAAAAGCACAGGCAGGCACATGAGAGTTCACCGGCCTCAGCCTTCCTGCCCGCGGGACACTCCTGAGACACGAACGGGTGGGGTGGGGTGGACCTGTCCAGACCACTGCTCCAGAGGCATCTGTGTGGTGTGTGTGACCTCACAGGTGGGGAGAGGTGCCACTTGCAGGGGGGTGGCCAGCAGGGCCCCTGCAGGAGTGTGCAGCCTCGATGTCTCCATCCCACAACCCTGTCTCTCTGGGTGCTGCCCTTGAAGGAGCTGGGGCACAACGTTTGGGCTCTGAGGAGCCAGTTCCAATTGTCCAAAGCAGGAGAGAAACTCAGAAAAGCACAAGCATCAAGCATCCCATCAAGACATGTTCTTCAAATCCATCTACAAATAGTTGTTTCTTTTAAGAGATACATTCTCACCCTGTTACCCAGGCTGGAGTGCAGTGGCGCGATCATGGCTCACTGCAGCCTTGGCCTCCCAGGCTCAAGTGATCCTCCTGACTCAGCCTCCCAAGTACCTGGGAGGACAGGCATGTGCCATCACGCCCACCTAATTTTTATTTTTTGTACAAATGGGTTCTTGCTATGTTTCCCAGGCTGGTCTCGAACTCCTGGGCTCAAGCAATCTGGCCATCTCAGCCTCCCAAAGTGCTGGGGTTACAGGAGTGAGCCACGGAGCCCAGCCTTGTGAATATTTTCTAAGTGACTTTCAGTTCACATTTAAACAACTAAATCGTTGATATTTTCAACATGCATTTCTGAGCATGTACTCTGGGCCAGGGAATGCTCTGGGCCCTAGAACCTAGGATCTACAGATACCACCTGAATGGGCAGAGCCCCTACCCTCACGGAGCCGACCAGAGAGAGACGGCGAGTGGCGTGACACAGCCTCCCACTGACACCGCAGCAGTGAGGATGGGGCCTGTGGGCTGTTTGGAGTTTGTTTTCAAAGATGGCAAAAGCCAGGCAGCAGCTTACGGGGGAGGATGGTGCATATACAGTTAATATTCTAGGGACCAGGACACACGGAAAAACGTAAAGGTCTAAAAATCAAATTCATTTCAGAAAAAAATTTTTCAAGAAAGATCCATTTCCCTCCACCCAACATGAATTAAAGCAGCACAACATACCCTTTTCTCTAAGTTCTCCCAAAATATCCTGAACGTTGGGATTCTGCTCCTCCAGCTCCAGGTTAAGCGAGCCTGTGTCCGGAAAGGACTTCAAGATGTCGGCGACCATGAGCACCCAGGGGTCCGAGTCGAGGCTGGCGAGCTGGATGATCTCCATTAGGGCGCCCTTCATCTGCAAAATAGGATGCTGCCGGCGCCACCATGCCCCTGCCCACTTCCAAGCCCACTCCCTGCTGAGCTTCCGGATGGGCACTGGGCAGTGGCCGGGCTCTCTGGCAGTTGCCCCCAACACTTCCTCCTGAGGGCTCCCCTTCCTCTGAGCCCCCCGCCTCACCCCAGGGCCACCTTGCTTCCCTGAGCAGCACAGCCTCTGCCAGGTTGCAAGGCCCCGGCATCCGGTGCCCTCCCAGCAGCCTCCCACCTCCCAGCAGCACCCAGTCCACTGGGCCTACTCTTCCACCGGTGCGCAGATGCAAGAAAACCTGAAGGGTGAGAAGCCGGGGCCACCACTGCTCCCGCAGAAAGCCTGCGGGTGGGAAATCCTGGGGATGAGGGGCGTAGAGCAGGCAGGTGCCCGGCACAGCAGAGCGCAGGAGCAGGGTGGAGTCACCTGCCGCGGGGGTGTGTGCCTGGGCAGCAGGGGGTGGGGCCTGGGACCTGGGGCAGCACCCGTGACAGCTGAGCTGGTGCCTAGTCACCATCTAGGCAGGGACGGCTGCCTCTGGGTCTGGACGGCGCTGGGAGTTGGCGCTCGTGGAGCCTGGAGGTGGCCCCGGGATCTGGAGTGAGGCCAGGGCCTTGGGGAGGCCATGGGCGACGTGCGTGGAGGAAGCAGGCGCACCCCGTGCTCCCTCAATACCTGGGAGGCCAGATCCATCCACACCAGGGCCTGCTTCGGCCACATAAACCCCCTCCCACGAGGAAACGCAGAGAGCCAGGCCATGGCGTGCCTGTGCCTCTGCCATGCGCCCACTGGGCTGCTCACAGTGTGAGACAGCTGGGCTGGCTGGCGCTGGGGGTGAACAACAGCGCCCTGCCCTGTCCAGACGCCGGGGCTGAAACCCCAGCCCCAGGCCTTCCTGACACCCACTCCCTGCGTCAGGCGCCAGAGACCCGTCCTACGAGGGCTGCGGCCATCACGTCCCCGCGAGCGCCGCCTCCTGGTGGCCTCTGAGTGGGAGGACCTTCCAGCGCTTCCCTCACTGTCCTCATGGGCTTCCTGCCCTGAGGGAAGTTGGCTCGAAGGGCAGAGATCAGAGGTCGTGCCAGGGGAGCCTGCCTGCTGCCAAGCCCCTCTGCATCTGCCCTGCAGGACACCCAGCTGCCCTCAGGAGTCAAGAACCCCCCGCGTGGCCCAGCCCCTTCTGTTCCTTGGGCAACCAGGGAGGGTGTCGCCCCGGCCGCTGACCCTGCGCCCCGGGCCCTCACTCCCGACGCCCGCCCGAGCTGAGTGCGCGATGCGGCAGAAGATGCTACGTGGCTGCAGGAAGCGCTGCGCACACGCTGCCTCTGGCAGCCGCACAGCCCGGCTGTTTCCAGCCAGTGCGGCCTCTCCACAGCAGCCCCAGGGAAACCCTACGCCTGCCAAGAGGCAAGCGCGCGGCATTTTATAAAAATGGTAAGGATAAAAAAAGTCGGGGATGTTAATTTAAAACAAAAAGGACCACTGTTGTGGAGTCAATGTTTTCTCTCCAGAACGCGCATGTTGAAGCCTGGCTCGCTCTACTGGGGCTTCTTGTAGGAAAACGCTTGGCTTTCCCGGGCGCGGTAGCTCATGTCTGTAGACCCCGCACTTCGGCCGGCAGAGGCGGGCGGCTCACGAGGTCAGGAGTTGGGGACCAGACTGACCCACATGGGGAAACCCTGTCTCTACTAAAAATACAAAATTAGCCGGGCGTGGTAGCGCATTCCTGTAATCCCAGCTACTTGGGAGGCTGAGGCAGGGGAATCGCTTGAACCCAGGAGGCGGAGGTTGCGTGAGCTGAGATCGCACCATTGCACTCCAACCTGGGCAACAAGAGCGAAACTCCATCTCAAAAAAAAAAAAGAAAGAAAGAAAGAAAAAGAAAAGAAAGAAAGAAAAAAGAAAATGCTTGGCTTACACACAACAGAAATTTACTTCTCACGGTTCTGGAGGTGGGAATCCAAGATCAATTAAGGCGCTGGTGGATTCCCCGCCTGGTGGGGGCCCCTTCCAGCTTCATGGAAGGTGCCTTTTGCTGGTGGAAGGTGGGAACGAGCTCCCCTGGGCCTTTTTTTTTTTTTTTTTTTGAGACAGAGTCTCGCTGTTGTCGTCGCCCGGGCTGGAGTGCAATGGCAGGATCTCGGCTCACTGCAACCTCCGCCTTCCCAGGTCCAGCGATTCTCCTGCCTCATGCTCCCACAGTGCTGGGAATCCAGGCGCCACCACCACGCCCGGCCCAGGCCTACCTTGTAAGGTCTGTAATTCTTAGAGAGCAGGGGCCCTAACTCATTTCTGTACTCTTCACTGAATAAACTATCACATCATTAAAATGTCTCTTCCTCTTCCCTGGTATAAAGAACTGCTGTTTACTAAGCTTTTCAGAGGAATAGGGCCGGGTATAGTGGCTCACGCCTGTGGTTCCAGCTACTCGGGAGGCTGAGGCAGGAGGATCACTTGAGCCCAGGGGTTCAAGGCTGCAGTGAACAAAGATGGCACTACTCCACTCCAGCCTGAGCAACAGAGCAAGATTTCATTTCTTAAAAAAATTAAAAATTGGCTGGGCACGGTGGCTCACGTCTGTAATCCCAGCACTCTGGGAGGCTAGGGCGGGTGGATCACTTGAGGTCAGGAGTTCGAGATCAGCCTGTCCAACATGGCGAAACCCCATCTCTACTGAAAATACAAAAATTAGCCAGGCATGGTGGTGCACTCCTGTAATCCCAGCTACTGGGGAAGGTGAGGCAGGAGAATTGCTTGAACTTGGGAGGCAGAGATTCTGGTGAGCCAAGATGGCGCCACTGTACTCCAGCCTGGGCAACAGAGCAAGAGTCTGTCAAAAAAAAAAAAGCCGGGCATGGTGGCTCACACCTGTAATCCTAGCATTTTGGGAGGCTGAGGTGGGCGGATCACAAGGTCAGGAGATTGAGACCATCCTGGCTAACACAGTGAAACCCTGCCTCTACTAAAAATACAAAAAATTAGGCGGGCGTGGTGGTGGGCACCTGTAGTCCCAGCTACTTGGGAGGCTGAGGCAGGAGAATGGCGTGAACCCGGGAGGTGGAGCTTGCAGTGAGCCGAGATTGCGTGCCCCAGCCTGGGCAACAGAGTGAGACTCCGTCTCAAAAAAAAAAAAAAAAATTAAAAATAAAAAGACACATTACAAAACCAGTGAACTGGTTGTAGAATTTCATTCAGAAACACAAGTTGTAGCAGATGCCATGCATAAGGTTAACCTTATGTGTCAACTTGACTGGGCCATGGGGCACCTGGACAGTTAGTCCCTCATGATTCCAGGTGTGTCTGTGAGGATGTTTCTACATAAGACTAACATCTGAATTGTACTGAGTGAGGCGAGGGCCCTCCCTACTGCTGAGTGGGTCTCATCCAATCAACTGAAAACCAAAGCAGAACAAAAATGCTGAGTAAGGGGAACTCCTGCCTGTTTGAGCTGGAAGATTGGTCTTTTCCAGCCTTCAGACTCTGGCTGAAACATCAGCTCTTCCTGGGTCTTGAGTCTCAGGGCTTACATCACTGGCTCTCCTGGTGTGTGTGCATGTATGTGTCTATATACCCTCTTGGTTCTGTTTCTCTGGAGAACCCTGACTGATACACTGTGGAACACATCCAGCCCAGTCATCTAGTCACCCTGTATCTATGGTCCTATGTAGAAAAGTTTAATTTTCAGAATGATATCCCTAAGATACCAGACCCCTAAATAAATGAAGGAAGAAAACTAAGATAAATTAGAATGTCTTATAAACCTTTTTTTAAATACCAAGAAAATAAAAATATTTTTCAGAAAAGTAAATGACCCAGAATGGCCTAGTCCTTTCACAATCCAGTTAAATGAGGTCTTTATCACAATTTCTTGTAATACATAAAGACAAAGTCCAAGAAACATACATATAAAATAAAGCTGGTACATTTATATTAATGTTAGATGGAAGCAGATTTTAAGAACAAAACATTACTAAATACAGAGAATCTCTATGTAAAGATCCAAGGTTGAGCTCACATGGTAACTATAACAACTATACACTTGGATGCACCTAATAACACAGCCCCAAAATATATACAGCATAAGCTGAGAAGGAGGAACAGACAAACCCATAATCCTAACGGGGAGATCAACAAATCCTCTTCTCACTGATTTTTTTTTTTTTTTTTAAACCAAGCTGCACGTGCCTGTAGTTCTAGATACTTGGGAGGCTGAGGAATTTGAGTCCAGCCCGGGCAACATAGTAAGACCCCACACCTTTAAAACAAAAAACAGTTAAGAATAGAATAGATTTGTACAACATGATTATACAAATTGGCCTAATGAACATCCACTGAGCAATGGATTTCAAAACTAGAGTACATATGATTCGCAAGCTTACTGGCAACATTTACAAAAACTGACCATACATTTTGCCATTAAGCAGATCTTAAATTTCAAACGACTAAAATAAACCATATTCTCTGACAAGAGCTCAATACAGCTAGAAATTAATAATAAAAACAAAACTATCTTCCCCTCCAATGTAGGGAAATTATGAAACATTTCTAAATTACACAGGGATCAGTGAAGAACTTACTGAAATTAAAAAATAGTGTGACGATACAGTTCTGTGACTATCAAAACTTGTGGGATGCGGCTTACACTGTAATTAGAAGAGAATTTATGGACATACGCACATACACACACGAAAAGAAGCCTGAGATTGGCATCCATCTTTAAAACTTAGAAAAAGAGCAACAAAGTAAGTACAAAGACAGGAGAAAGAAAATTAGTGAAACAGAAATCCAAGTTCAACAAAGCCAGAAGCTGGTAGTTTGAAAATTCTTATAAAATCAACAAACATCTGGTGAGATGGATCAAGGGGGAAAAAATAAGAAATAATCACTATACATGCTTCTGACATTTAAAAAGAAGATGTTTGAGCTGGTCATATTGGCTCATGCCTGTAATCCCAGCAATTTGGTCAACCAAGGCATGTGGATCACTTGAGGTCAGGAGCTTGAGACCAGACTGGCCAACGTGGCAAAAACCTGTCTCTACTAAAAATACAAAAATTAGCCGGGAATGGTGGCACACGCCTGTGATCCCAGCTACTCAGAAGGCTGAGGCACGATAATCACTTGAGTCTGGAAGGTGGAGGTTGCAGTGAGCCAAGATTGCACCATTGCACTCCAGCCTCGATGACAGAAGGGTATTTGAGACACTCTCTCTACAAAAAATTTAAAAAAAAAGAAAAGTAGGCAGGTATGGTGGTGCATGCCTGCAGTCTTAGCTGCTCAGGAAGGTGAGGCAGGAGATCACTTGAGCTTAGGAGTTTAAGGTTACAGTGAGTTATGATCACATCACTGCCACTCCAGCCTGAGTGACAGTGACACTATGCATTAAAACAAACAAAAAAAACAAAACCCATAAAAACAAAAATCAATACTGAAAAATCCTCCCACAAAGTAAATTTCAGGTCCAGAAGGCTTCATTACCAAGTTCTACCAAATATTTAGGAAGAAATCACTCCATTAGTAAACAAACTTTCCAAAGAAAAAGAAAAGACCAGATACATTACAAATCCTTTTTTAAGGGTAGCATAACCCCAATACCAAAATCCAACAAAGACAGTCTGGGTAAGTAAAACTACAGGTCAATCTCACCCAAGAACAAAGATATAGTACAAAATTCCTATACAAAACATCAGGATGATATAATCTAACAACATAAAATGACCAATTTAGGTTTACCGCAGGAATGCAAGGTTGGTTTATAATTAAAGCTATTTTGTTAATGTGGTGAATTACATGTCAATAGATATTTAAGCATTTGATAAAATTTAAAGTTCCTTTGTGCTCACACCCACTAGGATCGCTATATCAAAAAGATAACAAATGTTGGCAAGGATGTGAGAGACTGAACACTCGAAAATCACTATGGAGAAAGTAAGATGGTGTAGCCACTATGGAAAATAGTTTGGCAATTTCTCAAAATGTTAAATATAGAATAACCTGGGCAGCCCAGACAAGTGGTTTCCCCCCACTGAAGCACACTCCCTCCATCATGGGACAAAGTGCTTCATTAAATGGGTCCTGCTCCCTATGTCACCCAACTAGGTGAGACCCTCCAACAGGGGTTGTCAGACACCCTATACAGCAGTGACCCTACTGGCATCAGGTTGGTGCCCCTCGAGATCAGAGGTCCCAGAAGAAGGAGCAGGCACCCATCTTTGCTGTTCTGCAGCCTCCTTTAGTGACACCTCCAGGCATGGGAGTGAATCAGATGAATATGGCCTGAAGTGAACCCCCAGCAAACTGCAGCAGCCCTACAGAAGAGGGACATGACTACGGCAAGGAAAACAAACGAGCAGAAAACGACAACAGCATCAACAACAACAACAACAACCACAACAAAAGCCCCCATCCAAGGGTCAGCAGCCTCAAAGACTGAAACTAGACAAACTCACGAAGATGAGAAAGAATCAACGAAAAAATGCTGAAAACCCCAAAGGCCAGAGTGCCTCTTCTCCTCCAAATGATCACAATGTCTCTCCAAAAAGGGCGCAGAACTAGACGGAGGATTGGATGGACGAGCTGACAGAAGTAGGCTTCAGAAGATGGGTAATAAAAAAAAAAACAATGATGAACTAAAGGAGCATGTTCTATCCCAATGCAAAGAAGCTAAGAACCTTGATAAAAGGTCAGAGGAATTGCTAACTAGAATAACCGGTTTAGAGAGGAACATAAATGACCTGATGAAGCTGAAAAACACAGCACCAGAACCTCATGAGTCATCCGCAAGTATTAACAGCCGAATCCACAAAGCGGAACAAAGGATATCAGAGTTTGAACACCACCTTACTGAAATAAGACATGCAGACAACAATAGAGAGAAAAGAATGAAAAGGAACGAACAAAGCCTCCAAAAAACACGGGATTTCATAAAAAGACCAAACCTACTACTGACTGGAGTACCAGAAGGAGACGGGGAGAATGGAAACAAGCTGGAAAACACACTTAAGGATATTATCCAGAACTTCCTCAACCTAGAGACAGGCCAACATGCAAATTTGGGAAATACAGAGAACCCCACTAAGACACTCCATGAGAAGATCAACCCCAAGACACATAATCATCAAATTCTCCAAGGTCGAAATGAAGGAAAAACTGTTCAGAGCAGCCAGAGAGAAAGGCCAGGTCACCTACAAAGGGAAGCCCATCAGACTAACTAATGGCAGACCTCTGCAGAAACTCTACAAGCCAGAAGAGTTTGGGGGCCAATATTCAACATTCTTAAAGAAAAGAATTTTCAACCCAGAATTTAATATCCAGCCAAACTAAGCTTCATAAGTGAAGGAGAAATAAAATCTTTTTCAGACAAGCAAATGCTGAGGGATTTTGTTACCACCAGCCCCGCCCCGGAAGAACTCTGGAAAGAAGCACTAAATATGGAAAGAAAAACCAGTACGAGCCACTGAAAAAACACACCAAAATATAGAGACCAATGACATTACAAAGAAACTGCATCTAGTGTGCAAAATAACCAGATACCATCATGATTACAGGACCGAATTCACACATAACAATATTAACCTTCAATGTAAATGGGCTGAATGCCCCAATTAAAAGACACAGACTGGCAAATTGGATAAGGAGTCAAGACCCATTGGTGTGCTGTATGCAGAAGACTCATCTTACACGCAAAGACACACACAGGCTCAGAATAACGGGATGGAGGAAACTTCAAGCAAATGGAAAGCAAACAAAAAGACAGGGGTTGCAATCCTAGTTTCTGACAAAACAGACTTTAAACCAACAAAGATCAAAGAAGACAAGAAGGGTATTACACAATGGTAAAGGGAACAATTCGACAAGAGCTAACTATCCTAAATATATATGCACCCAATACAGGAGCACCCAGATTCATAAAACAAGTTCCTACAGACCTACAACGAGACTTAGACTCCCACACAATAATAGGGGGAGACTTTAACACCCCACTGTCAATATTAGATCAACGAGACAGAAAACTAACAAGGATATTCAGGATTTGAACTCAACTCTGGATCAAGTGGACCTAGTAGACATCTACAGAACTCTCTACCTCAAATCAACAGAATATACATTCTTCTCAGTGCTACGTGGCACTTACTCTAAAATCGACCATGTAATTAACTGGAAGTCAGCAAATGCAAAAGAACTGAAATCATAACAGTCTCTCAGACCACAGTGCAAATTAGAACTCAAGATTAAGAAACTCACTCAAAACCACACAATTTCATGGAAATTGAACAACCTGCTCCTGAATGACTCCTGGACAAATAATGAAATTAAGGCAGAAATCAAGAATTTCTTTGAAACCAATGAGAACAAAGAGACAATGTAGCAGAATCTCTGGGACACAGCTAAAGCAGTGTTAAGAGGGAAATTTATAGCATTAAATGCCCATATCAGAAAGCTAGAAAGATCTCAATTAAAAGACCCAGAGATGTAATTAACATCACAATTAAAAGACCCAGAGAGGCAAGAGAGCAAACTAACCCCAAAGCTAACAGAAAACAAGAAATAACTAAGATCAGACAAGAATTAAAGGACATAGAGACACGAAAAACCCTCCCCCCCAAAAAATATCAACAAATCCAGGAGCTGGTTTTGTGAAAAAATTAACAAAATAGACAGAATGCTAGCTAGACTAATAAAGAAGAGAGAGAAGAATCAAATAGACACCAAATAATAATAATGATAATAATAAAGATGCTATCACAACTGACCCCACAGAAATACAAACTACCATCAGAGAATACTATAAACACCTCTACACAAATAAACTAGAAAATCTAGAAGAAATGGATAAATTCCTGGGTGCATACACCCTCCCAAGACTAAACCAGGAAGAAGTCGAATCCCTGACTAGACCAATAACAAGCTCTGAAAATGAGGCAGTAACAACCTACCAACCAAAAGAAGCCCAGGACCAGACGGACTCACAGCTGAATTCCACCAGAAATACAAAGAGGAGCTGGCACCATTCCTTCTGAAACTATTCCAAACAATTGAAAAGGAGGGACTCCTCCCTAACTCATTTTATGAGGCCAACATCATCCTGATACCAAAACTGGGAAGAGACAACAAAAAAGAAAACTTCAGGCCAACATCCCTGATGAACATCAATGTGAAAATCCTCAATAAAATACTGGCAAACCGAATCCAGCAGCACATCAAAAAGCTTATCCACCACGATCAAGTGGCTTCATCCCTGGGATGCAAGGCTGGTTCAACATACGCAAATCAACAAGCATAATCTATCACATAAACAGAACCAAAGACAAAAACCACATGATCATCTCAACAGATGCAGAAAAGGCCTTTGATAAAATTCAACATCCCTGCATGTTAAAAACTCTCAATAAGCTAGGTATTAATGGAACGTATCTCAAAATATTAAGAGTTATTTAAGACAAACCCACAGCGAATACCATATTGAATGGGCAAAAGCTGGAAGCATTCTCTTTGAAAACTGGTACAAGATAATAAGGATGTCCTCTCTCACCACTCCTATTCAACATAGTATTGGAAGTTCTGGCCAGGGCAATTAGGCAAGAGAAAGAAATAAAGAGTATTCAAATAGGAAGAGAGGAAGTCAAGTTGTCTCTGTTTGCAGATGACATGATTTTATATTTAGAAAACCCCATCAACTCAGCCCAAAAACTTGTTGAACTGATAAGCAACTTCAGCAAAGTCCGAGAATACAAAATCAATGTGATTTTAATAGGCAAGCAGAGAGCCAAATCATGAATGAACTCCCATTCAAAATCACTAGAGAATAAAATACCTAGGAATACAGCTAACAAGGGATGTGAAGGACCTCTTCAAAGAGAACTACAAACCACTGTTGAAGAAAATAAGAGAGGGGCCGGGTGCAGTGGCTCACGCCTGTAATCCCAGCACTTTGGGAGGCTGAGGCAGGCAGATTACCTGAGGTCAGGAGTTTGAGACCAGCCTGGCCAACGTGGTTAAACCCCATCTCTACTAAAAATACACAAATTAGCCGGGCGTGGTGGCACAAGCCTGTAATCCCAGCTACTCGGGAGGCTGAGGCAGGAGAACTGCTTGAGCAAGGGAGGCGGAGGTTGCAGTGAGCCGAGATCGTGCCACTGCACTCCAGCCTGGCCGACAGAGCGAGACTCTGTCTCAAAAGAAAAAAAAAAAGGCCAGGCACGGTGGCTCATGCCTGTAATCCTAGCACTTTGGGAGGCCGAGGCGGACGGATCATGAGGTCAGGAGATCGAGACCATCCTGGCTAACACGGTGAAACCCTGTCTCTACTAAAAATACAAAAAATTAGCCAGGCATGGTGGCGGGCGCCTGTAGTCCCAGCTACTAGGGAGGCTGACGCAGGAGAATGGCGTGAACCCGGGAGGCGGAGCTTGCAATGAGCCAAGATCGCGCCACTGCACTCCAGCCTGGGCGACAAAGCGAGACTCCATCTCAGAAAAAAAAAGAAAAAACAGAAAATAAGAGAGTACACAAACAAATGGAAAAGCATTCCATCCTCGTGGATAGGAAGAATCAGTATCATGAAAATGGCCATACTGCTCAAAGTAACTTACAGATTCAATGCTATTCCCAACAAACTACCATTGACATTCTTCACAGAATTAGAAAAAACTATTTTAAATTTCATATGGAATCAAAGAAGATCCCATATAGCCAAGACAATCCTAAGCAAAAAGAACAAAGCTGGAGGCATCACGCTACCTGACTTCAAACTACACTTACAAGGCTACAGTAACCAAAACAGCATGGTACTGGTACCACAACAGACCTACAGACCAATGGAGAAGAACAGGGACCTCAGAAATAACACCACACATCTACCAGCATCTGATCTTTGACAAACCTGACAAAAACAAGCGATGGGGAAAGGATCTTCTATTCAGTAAATGGTGCTGGGAAAACTGGCTAGCCATATGTAGAAAACTGAAACTGGACCTCTTCCTTACACCTCATACAAAAATTAACTCAAGATGCATTAAAAACTTAAATGTAAAACCCAAAACCATAAAAATCCTAGAAGAAAACCTAGGCAATACCATTCAGGACACAGTCACGGCCAACAACTTCATGACAAAAATGCCAAAAGCAATAGCAACAAAAGCCAAAATTGACAAATGGGATCTAATTAAACTAAAGAGCTTCTGCTCAGCAAAAGAAACTATCATCAGAGTGAAGAGGCAACCTACAGAATGGGAGAAAATTTTTGCAATCTACTCATCTGACAAAGGGCTAATATCCAGCATTTACAAGGAACTTAAACATATTTGTAAGAGAAAAACAACCCCATCAAAAAGTGGGCAAAGGAGGTGAACAGATACCTCTCAAAAGAAGACATTTATGAGGCCAATAAACATGAAGAAAAGCTCTACGTCACTGATCATCAGAGAAATGCAAATCAAAACCACAATGAGATACCATCTCACGCCAGTCAGAAGGGTGATTACTAAAAAGTCAGGAAACAATAGATGCTAGCGAGGCTGTGGAGAAATAGGAAGGCTTTTACACTTTTGCTGGGAGTGTAAATTAGTTCAACCATTGTGGAAGACAGCATGGCGATTCCTCAAGGATCTAACACCAGAAATACCATTTGACCCAGCAATCCTGTTACTGGATATATACCCAAAGGAATATAAATCATTCTGCTATAAAGACACACGTACAGGTATGTTTACTGCAGCACTGCTTAGAATAGCAAGGACATGGAACCAACCCAAATGCCCATCAATGATGGACTGGATAAAGAAAATGTGATACATATACACCATGGAATACTACGCAGCCATAAAAAGGAATGAGATCCTGTCCTTTGCAGGGACATGGATGAAGCTGGAAGCCATCATCCTCAGCAAACTAACAAAGGAACAGAAAACCAAACATTGCATGTTCTCACTCATAAGTGGCAGGTAGTTGAACACTGAGAACACATGCACACAGAGAGGGGAACAACACACACCAGGGCCTAATAGGGGTGGGAGTGAGGGGAGGGAACTTAAAGGACGGGTCAATAGGTGCAGCAAACCATGGCACACGTATACCTATGTAACAAATCTGCATGTTCTGCATATGCATCCTTTTTTTTTTTTTTTTTTTAAAGAAGAAATAAAGGCCGGGAGCAGTGGCTCATGCCTGTAATCCCAGCACTTTGGGAGGCCAAGGCAGGTGGATCACAAGGTCAAGAGATGGAGACCATCCTGGCCAACACGGTGAAACCCCGTCTCCACTAAAAATACAAAAATTAGCTAATTAGCTGGGCATGGTGGCGCGTGTCTCTAGTCCCAGCTACTCGGGAGGCTGAGGCAGGAGAATCCCTTGAACCTGGGAGGCGCAGGTTGTGGTGAGCCGAGATCGCGCCACTGCACTCCAGCCTGGCGACAGGGCAAGACTCTGTTTCAAAAAAAAGAAAAAAAAAGAAGAAGAAGAAAAAAGAAAACATTACATTAAGTGAAAGAAGTCAGGCACAAAAGACCAGATGTATGATTCTATTTATATAAAATATCCTGAATAGACAAATCTATAGAAGCAAAAAGTAGATTACTAGTCACCTAGGAGTGGGGAGGAAGAGGACTGGGCAAATGCTAATGAGTGTAGGATTTATTTGGGGGATGATGAAAATGTTTGAAAATTGACTAGCATGACCATCAAACCTGTAAATATACTAAAAACTACTGAAGTGTACATTTTAAATGGTGAACTACCTGGCATAATTATATGGTACATAAAATAATATCTTTTTTCTTTTGAGACAGGGTCTCATTCTGTCGGCCAGGCTAGAGTGCAGTGATGCAATCATGGCTCGCCGCATCCTCAACCTCCCAGGCTCAAGTGATCCTCTCGCCACAGCCTCCCAAGTAGCTGGGACCACAGCCATGTGCCGCCACCCCTGGCTAATTTTTATATTTTTTATGGAGACAGGGTTTCACCATATTGCTCAGGCTGATCTCGAATGCCTGGGTTCAAGCAATCCGCCCATCTTGGCCTCCCAAAGTGCTGAGATTACAGGCATGAGCTACTGCACCCAGCTATACATTATATTTTAATAAAGCTTTTTTTTTTTTTTTGGAGACAGAGTCTTGCTGTCGCCCAGGCTGGAGTGCAGTGGCGCGATCTCAGCTCACTGCAAGCTCTGCCTCCTGGGTTCACGGCATTCTTCTGCTTCAGCCTCCCTAGTAGCTGGGACTACAGGCGCCTGCCACCATGCCCGGCTAATTTTTTTGTATTTTTTCTTTAGAGACGGGGTTTCACCATGTTAGCCAGGATGGTCTCGATCTCCTGGCCTCGTGATCCGCCCGCCTCGGCCTCCCAAAGTGCTGGGATTACAGGTGTGAGCTACTGCACCCAGCCAATAAAGCTATTTTAAAAAAATTCATGATTAAAAGATTTTTTTTTACAAGTCTTCTAAGAAGAGAATTTCCTTAACTAGATAAAGGGTATTTATTAAAGACAACAGGAAACATAATGCTCACTGGCAAAACATTCCGAGTTCTCCCTGTGTGATCGGAGGTAAGACAATGAGCTGGAGGGTCCTAGCCAGTCCAGTGAGACGAGAAAAAAAACAAAAGGTAATTGGAGAAAGAAAAATAATATGAAGTGCACAGAAAAATCAAGGAGATTCTATAGAAAAAAAAAATTTTGCAACTAGCAAAACTTTAGCACAGATACTAGTCACAAATTCATTATCCAAAAATCAGGCTGGGCATAGTGGCTCACCTGAGGTCAGGAGTTCGAGAGCAGCCTGGCCAACATGGTGAAACCCCATCTCTACTAAAAATACAAAAATTAGCCAGGTGTGGTGGTGCATGCCTGTAATCCCAGTTACTCGGGAAGCTAAGGTAGGAGAATCACCTGAGCTCAGGAGGAGGAGGTTGCAGTGAGCTGAGATCGCGCCACTGCTCTCCAGCCTGGGTGAGAGAGTGAGATCTCCGTCTAAAAAACAAACAAACAAACAAACAAACAAAAACAAAAATCAACGCATTTCTATATACCAGCAACAAGTAAAAACTAAGACTTTAACAGATACCATTTACAACGGCATGGAAAAATATGAAATAGGTGGTAATATATGAGATGGAAGACCCCTACAGAGATCACAAAGAACATCTAAATAGATAAGCCCACACCCACAAATTATAGGATGCAATATAAAGAGGACAGCACCCCAGAATGAACTGCAAGTTCAGCTCAGCCTTAAAATCCCAGCAGGCAGGCTCTACGTGTTTAAGAAGTAAGTATATAAGATACATGTGGAAGTGTGAAGGGACAAGAATAGCCATAGATGATCCCGGAGAAAGATACAGTGGGAGGGTTTGCTCCGTCCGCTAACAAGGCTTATAAATAAAGTGACAAGAACCGACTTAGTGGGTTATTAGCACATCGATATGTAAATGACCAAAAGAACAGAGCACAGCCCAGAAACACATCCACAGCAGAAGCTGCAGTGCAGATCAATGGAAAAGGACAGTCATTTCAATCAACGTTGGGTGCTGGACTAATTGCACATCCATGTGGAAAATTAGACTCCCTGCTTCACACAATCATCAATTCCACGCAGACTGAAGATTCAAGTGCGAAAGGTAAAACTGTACAGCTACGCCAAGATAACCCAGGGAGTGTTCCGGGCATGTCCCTCGGGGAGACACAATAGGCACCAATGATAGTGGGCGGATGAATACACCATCTATGTTAAAACTAGGAGCTTCTATTCATCCATGATTCCAGGAAAAGGGCTGGGCGCACAGATCACACCTGTAATCCCAACACTATGGGAGGCCAAGGCAGGAGGATCACTTGAGGCTAGGAGTTCAAGACCAGCCTGGGCAATACAGTAAGACCCCCATCTCCATACACATGCACAAAAATTAGCCAGGCGTGGTGGCAGCGCATCAGTCCCAGCTACTACAGAGGTTTAGGAGGGAGGACTGCTTAAGCCCAGGAGTTCAAGGTTAAAGTGAGCTATGATTATACCACTAGACTCTAGCCTGGGTGACAGAGTGAGACGCTGTCTCAAAAAAAAAAAAAAAAAAAAAAAAAAGGATTCCAGGAAGCTAAGTCAAAGTCAAAGGACAACTGGGAGATATTTGTAACTGAAAAAGGACTGATATCTAGCATTTATAATAAATAATAAAAAAGACACTCTTACAAAACAATGGGAAAAAAGAGAATTTAAAAGCAGATTTGAATATACAATTCTCAAAGCAGAAAACCAAACAGCAGGCCGAGTGCCATGGCTCACACCTGTAATCCCAGCCCTTCAGGAGGCTGAGGCAAGCAGATTGCTTGAGGTCAGGAGTTCAAGACCAGCCTGGGCAGCATGGTGAAACCCTGTAGTCCCAGCTACTCAGGAGGCTGAGATGGGAAGATCTGAGGTGAGGAGGTCAAGGCTGCAGTGAGTCACGATGGTGCCACTGCACTCCAGCCTGGTTGACAGCGCCAGACCCTGTCTCAAACAAAACACAAACACAAAAACAAAACACTCTGAAAAATAATTTGGCATGATCCTATGATCCTCACAATTCCACTCCTAGATGTTATACCCTAGAGAAATCCAAGATTCCAAACACCTGAACATATGACCGTAATGTAGTAACGGGATGATTTACAAGAGCACAAAAGCTAAGCGTGTCACTGTGGCAGAATGGATAAAGTGCCTCGTGCTCACAGACAGGAATACCACGCAGCAGTGAAAATTAAACTGCAGTCAGCTGCAACGTGGATGAAACTGTCACGGCGTCGACCAAAAAGACACATGCACGCCACACACAAAATACACTATGATACCATCACACTAACTCCAAATCCGGCAACCAAGCTGTGCCATTTAGGGGTGCATAAATAATTGCTCACACCGGGGAGATGGCACAGAAATGATTACCTTTCCAAAATGAGGAAGGGGAAAGGAAGAAGGCCGTGATTACCAGTGGGAGGCTTCCAAGGAACAGGCATGGTTCTACTTCTCCACCTGTGTAAGGATCACAGGAGTGGCTCGCGATGCTATTATTATTCGTTAAACTGAACAAAAATGCACTTTTCCATACATGTCATATCTCAATCAAAAGCAATTACAACCTATAATAGCTAATAATACATCAGTAGCCAGGAACGTTTAAACAACCATGGGGCTTCAATAGTCTGCAAAACTACTCGGTTTATTTCGCACGGAAAGCGATACAATATAAAGTTTAGGAAAAAAGAAAACAAACCTCACACACCCACTTATTGGAATGACGCAAAACGGCGTGTAGAAAAGAGTAAAACGGACACAGAGCGCTCCGGACGGCCGGGGTCTTTGCGAGGTGAGAACAAGAAAATCCAGTCAGCGGACACTGGAGCTACCGAGCCCAGGCCGCCCCTTCCTCACGCGGGGGTTTCTCTCGGGATCCCCGCCCTCGCCCAGGTCACCAGGGCTGCGTCCCCGACGGGAAACCCCGATGGGAGACCCCGCTGGGGCCGGCGCACCCCCGCTCCAAGAGTCGGTCGCTTCGGCACGGTGGGGGATTAGGGTGGTGAGGACCGAAGGCGGGGGAGGCGGGGGCGGGTGGGGATGAGTACCCGGGGGCCCAGGGAGGGGAGTGAGGACCTGGGGGTCGTAGCGAGAACCCGGGGCCCGGCGGGGAGGAGATTGAGGATCCCAGGGGAGGTGAAAACTTGGGTAGGGGTGAGGACGAAAAGTAGGGAGGTGAGGACCCTAGTGGGGGATTCCCAGGGGGCGAGGAGGGGCGGGGGGTCCTGAAGACCCACGGTGGGGATGAGAACCGAGGTGGGAGATGAGGATCGAGGCGGGGGATGAGGACCCAGGGGGAGGTGAGGACTGGAGGGAGGTATTCGGAGGAGCGAGGAGGGGGCGTGAGGGCGGGCCGGGGGGGTTAACAGTCTGAAGGGGGATGGGAAGGTTGGGGGAGGGAGCGAGGAGGGTCCGGAGTTGGGTGTGCGGGTCGGAGGTGGGAAGGTTGGGAATCTGGGGGCCGCGGGGCGCCACGCCTGCCTTACCTCGTCCACCGTGCGGCGCGGGAGGTGCAGCGTCCCGAGTAGCAACTTGAGCTTCACTGCCGACGAGAGGCCATGGAAGCAGAGACGGATGTTGTCGATGACCGCGGCCGTGAGCAGGGACGCGATGCTGGGCGGCGCCCACAGCTCGTCCGTGGCCCCCAGCTTGTTGTGCAGCCACAGGCCCGTGTCGCTCTCCCGCATGGACGCCATCTTGGGGGAAAGCGCGCGCCGCTGCCCCGGCATCTTATGAAGACACCTACGCGTCCCTCGCTAGGACCCCAACATGGCGGCGCCCGTCGGGCTGCGGGCCGCAGAGGCGGCGCAGGTGGCGCGGTCCCACGAGCGGGGCTTCCCGGGAGAGCGCTTCTGGGTGGCGACCGCGTCTCCGGGTAGCGGCCGCGTCTTCGGGAAGCTTTGTGGCAAAGCCGAGAGCCGGAAGGACGGGGTGCCGCTGAGCAAGGACTATCGGCTTCCGTAAAACATCATGGCGGCGCCCTCTGCTGGCTCTCGGGAAGACCGCAAAAAATGACGTCACGAGCAGGCGCGCGTATTCGCGTCTTGGGAGCCCGGGCTGCGGCCTGGCATTCGCAGTGCAGGTGTCAAGCGCCGCAGACTTGCTGCTCGCGCGGTGGGGCGGAGGCTCCCTGTGGCACCTGCCCCGCTGTCCGCTCTTCGCTTTTTCCCCGCTTGGGTCTCGGCGCGGACCGTGTGGACGCCCCGCCCCCGCGGGCCCAGCACCTGCACGGAGAGGAGCCGCGGCCCTGCGGAGCGAGCCTGCGGGATCCCGGTCGCAGCGCTGAGCTTCCGTCCCCCGCTGAGCCCGCTCTGCCCGTGGCGCGCCGCCGACGGGGCTGCGCTGAGCATGCGGGTCGGAGGGCGCTCGGGAGCTGTCCAGGGGCACTCGTGACCCCACAGTGCAGGGAGGCCCCGGCCCCCAGTCGGGCTGGAGCCGCCAGGCAGGAGCCAGTAGTGAACTTTTCAGTTTTAAAAGCTTGTCATTAGATACAAACATGAGTAAAAGTTAAACTTCATTTTATTAAATTCGTTTTACCCTTTTGTCTTTTTGACGAGGCCTTCCTATGTTGGCCAGGCTGGTCTCAAACTCCTGGGCTCAAGCGATCCGCCCGCCCGCCTCTGCCTCCCAGAGTGCTGGGGTTACAGGTCGGGGCCGCCTTGCTTGGCTTCTGTATTATATCTTTTTTTTAAAAGATCTTTTCCTTATTGTTCCACTGCCATGCTCCTGCCGCCGTTCACAGCTATTGCCACTGGGCGGTGGGAACGCCGGGAGAACAGGGCTCAGCCCAGCTGCTAGCAGTGCCCTGGCCCTGGCGGCTTGAACTTGGCAGTCCTGCGGAAGTCACACGGGGGAAACCCGCAAATGCTACAAATCAGTGCTGGAGCGGTGGTTTTGTTGATTGCTTAAACTGAAGAAAGTGATAGAGAAAATGTTGATGATAAAGATTAAACTTAAAACTGTCATGTCGACAACCGTTACATTGCAAATAGCACATAAAATTTAAGAGAATATTTTTTAAATGATTCAAAAGTGTCGAATTCAGCAAAGACAAGTTATTGACTAATGGGTGAAGTTGTGACATCAGTGGGGCTAGTGCTGAAAGAAGTTTAATGATTAGGCCGGTCACGGTGGCTCACGCCTGTAATCCCAGCACTTTGGGAGGCCAAGGCGGGCGGATCACCTGAGGTCGGGAGTTCGAGACCAGCCTGGCCAGCATGGAGAAACCTCGTCTCTACTAAAAATACAAAACTAGCCGGGCTTGGTGGCGCATGGCTTGCCTGTAAGCCCAGCTACTCGGGAGGCTGAGGCAGGAGAATGGCTTGAACCCGGGAGGCGGAGTCTGCGGTGAGCCGAGATTTTGCCATTGCACTCCAGCCTGGGCCACAAGAGCAAAACTCCCTCTCAAAAAAAAAAAAAAAAGTTTAATAATTATAATCTGAGGGTAAGAAATAGTTTAACAGTGGACGACATATCAAATTTAGTATGAGAAGAGTGAAAGTTACTTCAAGTTGTGAAATCATGATTGAACCGTAAACATTAGTTGGTTGAAATGAAAATTTTTGTTCACAGAAACCTGTGTGCAAACGTTTATAGCAGCTTTATTTATAATAGCCCCAAACTTGAAACAATCCGAATGATTCTGACCCCCAACTGTCTGTAGCTTTCTGTAGGATACGCAGCACTTTTCTGTATACAGTGCTTGATGCATCTTGAGTCTTCAGTTTTATGCAGGAAAAATCCAAGTTAACATCTGGCTTAACCAAGAAGACAAACCACTAGGAGGACTTAGTTACAGCATCAGAAAGCAATGGATTAATATTCAGAATGAAAAAAGGAATGCTTGTAAATCGACGAGAAAAAGACCGACAATAGACAAATGTGCAGAAGATAAGAATAGGCAATTCACAGCCTGGCCATCATAGTGAAACCCCGTTTCTACTAAAAATACGAAAACAGTGGGGCGTGGTGGTTCATGCCTGTCATCCCAGCTACTCAGGAGGCTGAGGCAGGAGAATCGCTTGAACCCAGGAGGCAGAGGTTGGAGGGAGCGGAAATCACACCACTGAACTCAGGCGTGGGCCACAGAGCGAGACTCTGTCTCAAAAAAAAAAAAAAAAAAAAAAGCAATTCGTAGGAGAAACCCAAATACCGGAGAAGCACATGGAGAGATGCTTAAATTCATCAGCAACCTGACAAACCCAAATTAAAATAACAAGATGCCTCATTACACCTATCAGATTGCAAAATTAGAAAGCCAAAGTTTTTTTCATTTTAAAACATGGTATCCAGTTGTTCCCATATTATTTGTCGAAATGACGATCCTTTCTGGACTTTTCTATCCTGACTTACTCATCTATCTTTATGCCAATACCAGACTGTCTTGGTTACTATAGCTTTCTAAAATAAGTGTTGAAATCAGGTAGTGTTAATTCTCTGACTTTTTTTTTTTTAAAGTTATTTGGGTTATTTTAGGTCCTCTGTATTTCCTTTTTTTTTTTTTTTTTTTTTTTTTTTTTTGAGGCAAGGTCTGGCTCTGTTGCCCAAGCTGGAGTGCAGTGATGCAATCTCAGCTTGCTTCAGCCTCTACCTCCTGCGTTCAAGTAATTCTCATGGCTCAGCCTTGCAAGTAGCTGGGAATACAGGCATGCACCACCAAACCTGGCTAATTTTTGTATTTTCAGTAGAGACGGGGTTTCACCCTGTTGGCCAGGCTGGTCTAGAACTCCTGACCGCAAGTGATCCACCCACCTCAGCCTTCCAAAGTGCTGGGATTACAGGTGAGCCACAGTGCCCAGCCTGCATTTCCATATAAATTTTAGAATCGTTTGTCAATTTCTACAAAAAAAAAAAAAGGCTTCTGGCATTTTGAGTGGAATTGTGTTGAATCTGTAGGTCAGTTGAGGGAGAACTGGTAACTTCTGTCTAGTGAACATAGTATTTCTCTCTGTTTATTTGGGTCTTTAAATTCTCTCAGCTAGGCTCATGGCTATGTAATCCCAGCACTTTGGGAGGCCGAGGAGGGTGGATTGCTTGAGCCCAGGAGTTGGAAACCAGCCTCAGTAACGTGGCGAAACCCCATCTCTACAACAAATATAAAAAGCTGGGCTGGTGGTGCGCCTGTAGTCCCAGCTACTTAGGAGGTTGAGGTGGGAGGATCACTTGAGCTCAGGAGTTCAAGACCAGCCTGAGCCACATGGTGGGACTCTGTCTCTAAAAAATTAAAAATAAATTAAAAAATAAATTTTCTCAGCCCCATTTTGTAGTGTTCAATGTAAGGGTCTTGCACATCTTTTCAGAATTGCCTCCAAGTATTGCATAACCTTGATGTGGTTGTAAAGGGTGTTGTTTAAAATTTTTAATTTATCAGTGTTTGTCGCCAGTATATAGAAATACAACAGATTTTTGTGTGTTGATTTTGTATCCTGCAGCCTGGCTAAACGCATTTATTTGTTCCAGTAGTTTTTTCATACATTGTATTAGTTTTCTGCAAAGACAATCATGCCATTTGTGAAGGCAGTTTTATCTTTTTTTCTAATTTATTTGCCTGACTCTGCAACATAAAGAGTCCTTATTTTGGCTGGGCATGGTGGCTCACATCTATAATCCCAGCACTTTGAGAGGCTGAGGCAGGCGGGTCACCTGAGGTCAGGAGTTCGAGACCAGCCTGGCCAACATGGTGAAACCCCATCTCTACTAAAAATACAAAAAATTAGCTGGGCGTGGTGGCAGGCGCTTGTAATTCCAGCTACCCAGGAGGCTGAGGCAGGAGAATCGCTTGAAACCAGGAGGCGGAGGTTGTAGTTAGCGGAGATCGTGCCATTGCACTCCAGCCTGGGCAACAAGAGGGAAACTCCATCTCAAAATCGAGACCAGCCTGGCCAACATGGTAAAACCCCGTCTCTACTAAAAATACAAAAATTAGCTGGACGTGGTGGCAGGCGCCTGTAATCCCAGCTACTTGGGAGGCTGAGGCAGGGGAATTGCTTGAACCCGGGAGGCGAAGGTTGCAGTGAGTTGAGATCGTGCCATTGCACTCCAGCCTGGGCGACCAAAGGGAAAAAAAAAGTCCTTATTTTTACTTTAAAGCAATAAATTTTACAACTTTACTGAATTTCTAAAAAAAAACCCTAGTGGTATTTTGATTGGCTTTCCATTGGGTTTGTAGATTAATTTAGAGAGAACTGACATCTTTATATAGTATATGATACACAGACAAGCTTTCATTTTTCTTTCTTTATGATCTTCAGTAGACGTTACTATTTTTCTCCATACAGTTTTTTTTTTTTTTAAGAGAGGGTCTTACTCTGTTGCCCAGGCTGGAATGCAGTGGTGCGATCTCAGCTCACTGCAGCCTCCGCCTCCCAAGCTCAAGCGATTCTCATGCCTCAGCCTTTCAAGTAGCTGGGACTACAGGCATATGCTACCATGCCCAGCTAATTTTTGTGTTTTTCTCTTTTTTGATATAGAGTCTCGCTCTGTTGGTGAGGCTGGGGTGCAGTGGCGCGATCTCGGCTCGCTGCAACCTCCGCCTCCCGGGGTCAAGCAATTCTCCTGCCTCTCACCTTCCCTAGTAGCCTCCGCCTCCCGGGTTCAAGTGATTCTCATCGCTCAGCCTCCTGAGTAGCTGGGATTACAGGCATGCAACACCAAGCCTGGCTAATTTTTGTATTTTCGGTAGAGACGGGATTTCACCATGTTGGCCAGGCTGGTCTCGAACTCCTGATCTCAGATCCGCCCACCTCGGCCTCCCAAACTGTTGGGATCCAGGTGTGAGCCACCACACCCAGCCTATTTTTGTGGTTTGTTTGTTTGTTTAGTAGAGATGGGGTTTTGCCATGTTGGCCAGGCTGGTCTCCAACTCCTGGCCTTGAGTGATCTCCCCGCCTTGGCCTCCCAAAGTGCTGAGATTATAGGAATGAGCCACCACGCCTGGCCAGTTCTTTCTTACTTATTTTTTTTAGAGATAGCGTCTCACTCTTGCCTAGGCTGGAGTGCAGCCGTACAATCTTGGCTCACTGCAGCCTCATAGCTGAGACTACAGGCGCGTGCCACCATGCCCAGCTAGCTTTTGAAATTTTTGTAGAGATGAAGTCTCACTATGTAGAGATGACGTCTCAAACTCTTGGCCTCAAGCAATCCTCCCACCTTGGCCTGCCAAAGAGCTGGGATAACAGGTGTGCACCACCGCGCCAGGCCTCATACAGTTCCTAATCATTTTCATTAGCTTAACTCAGATGCCTTAGTGTATTTCATGCTCTTATGAATGATATCCTGTATTCTATTTTCCAGTTGGTTATTATGAATACGAGAAATACTATTTTTTAAGTTGGACATACATCCAACAACCTTTATGGACTCCTATATTTATTCTAATAGTGGGTTGATTTAGTTGGTTATTCTGAATATTTCATTTACAGACAATGACAGTTCTGTGTCTTCCATGTATATTTATACTTTTCCTTTATTATTTTTTTGGTATTGGCCAAAGATTCCAGTCCTGTTGAACATTAGCAGGGCAGTAAGAATCCTGTTGTCTTGCTTTCAGTCGTAAAGGTATATGTCCAATTTTTTTTTCACAAGGCAGGGTCTTGCTATATTGCCCAGGCTAGTCTCAAACTCTTGGGCTCAAGGGATCCTCCTGCCTCTGCCTCCCGCCTCTGCCTCCCAAAGTGCTGAGCCTCCACACCTGGCCCATGTCTAAATTTTATCCATGAAATAATCTAAGTTATTAGTGGATCACCTTTGTCCACTTAAGGAAGTTTTCTTGTTTCCTTTATGTTCCAGAGTTTTCATCCTAACAGTGTTTCTCTTTAAGAAAAATGAGCTTTTCCGCATCTGTTGAGAAAATCTCACGCTGCCCTTCCTTTAGGCTATGAATGTGGTGCCCAAGGTCATGATAGGATCTCTGATGTTCAACCGTCCCTGTGCTCCTCAGAGGAGCCTTACTTGTCAAGATGAATTATCTTTCAGGGCCAGGGCCCGGGCAAGGGGAGAGAGCTGAGGGAGGCTTAACAGGGGTCAGAACACTCAGCCATCACAACAAATGGTATTTGAATGCAATATTTTAAAAACTCAAAATCAATGCCAGAAAAAATCAATGATAAACAACATACTGAAATTTTAAACAAAGACAGATAGTAACAGTGCCATGTCAAGCCATATTGGAGCTGAGGCAAGAAAACCAATCAGTGATACTGATGCTGTCTTCATTTAAAATTTTATATTTTGTTCACCATAGTTTTTTTGCATGAGTTTTGACTCTTTAAGGTAGTGTATTAAAATATTTACCTTTTAAAATATTTTTTCTTTTAAATTATTTTCCTTTTATAGGAGCTACTAATTGAAAAATATTTATCTTAATAACTATTTTGGAACCTCCTGAATATTTTGCCCAAAGCAAGTGCTTCACATACGTCACCCTAATCACAACCCTGTTTCTCTTAATTCGCTGTGAATTTCTTTAAAATTTGCACCTCTGATTATGAGTGAATTGTCCTATAATTTTATTTGTATATATTCATTTTTATCTAGATTGGGAATTATGGCTTTCTAGCCTTTTATTTATTTATTTGAGACGGAGTCTTGCTCTGTCGCCCAGGCTGGAGTGCAGTGGCACGATCTCCGCTCACTGCAAGCTCCACCTCCTGGGTTCACGCCATTCTCCTGCCTCAGTGTCCTGAGTAGCTGGGACTACAGGAACCCGCCACGACGCCCGGCTAATTTTTTTTTTTTTTTTTAAGTAGAGACGGGGTTTCACCGTGTTAGCCAGGATGGTCTTGATCTCCTGACCTTGTGATCCGCCTGCCTCAGCCTCCCAAAGTGCTGGGATTACAGGTGTGAGCCACCGTGCCCAGCCTAGCCTTTTAAATAAGTTGGCAAGACTTTTCATCTATTCTCAGCAGCTGTGTAAAGGCAGGAGTGACCTCTCCCCTGTTGACTTTGTGTCTGCCTCTGGGCTTTCTGTAGAGTAGGTTTAGAGGCCTTTCAAATCTCAGTGCGGCCCTGCCTGCAAGCTGCTAGAGGCTACCTTTGCCTGCATGATCTATCAGAGACTTCTCTGGCTCTTTCCGTTTTAGGACTCCCTCCTGACTTCCTGGAAATTGTGTGGGTCCAGGCTCTGTTTTCTGGTTTGTAAATCCAGAAAGACAGTCAGTTTTCTGTTAGGGTTATCTGCTTGCACCATGCCGGGGCTCCCTAGCTGTCCTCAGGCTTAAGCTTTGAAAATGGCCTTAAAACTCACCAGGATCAGTCAGCTGTGGTGGCTCATGCCTGTGATCCCAACACTTTGGAAGGCCGAGGCAGGTGGATCACCTGAGGTCAGGAGTTCAAAACCAGCCTGGCCAACATGGCAAAACCCCATCTCTACTAAAAATACAAAAATTAGCCGGGCACAGTGGTGGGCACCTGTAATCCCAGCTACTCAGGAGGCTGAGGCAGGAGCATTGCTTGAATCCGGGAGGCAGAGGTCGCAGTGAGCTGAGATCACACCATTGCACTCCAGCCTGGGCAACAGAGCAAGACTTTGTCTCAAACAAACAAACAAATTCACCAGGCTGGTCCTTTCCTCCAAGTTTTTACTTCCCTCCAAAATCCGCTTGCTTTGGTTTATGCTCCAAAGCCTTTAATCAGTGGGAGGGTTGGCCTGTTAGCTATCCCGCCATACTTTTCACTGTTACATGAGTCCATTAAGTGATATGTTTGCTTATTTTTATTCTTATTTTTTTGAGACGGATTCTCACTCTGTCGCCCAGGCTGGAGTGCAGTAGTGTGATCTTGGCTCACTGCAAGCTCCGCCTCCCGGGTTCTGGCCGTTCTCCTGCCTCAGCCTCCTGAGTATCTGGGACTACAAGTCGCCCGCCACCACGCCCGGCTAATTTTTTGTATTTTTATTAGAGATGGGGTTTCACCGTGTTAGCCAGCATGGTCTCGATCTCCTCACCTCGTGATCCGCCCGCCTCAGCCTCCCAAAGTGCTGGGATTACAGGTGTGAGCCACCATGCCCGGCCATGTTTGCTTATTTTTTAAGGTGCCCTAGATCAAATTAAAGAAGTTCCCTTCTATTCCTAATTTGCTACAGGTTTTTAAAAATCATGACCAACATTTAATTTTATCAAATGTTCTTATAAAATGTTTTGTTGTGCATACTGAGATGATTGTATGATTTTTTCACCTTTATTTTGTAAATGTGATGAATTACATTGATTGCCTTTCAAATTACATAAACCTTACTTTCCTAGAATAAGCCCAACTTGGACTATGTTATTCTTTTTTACACGTTGCTAGATTTCGCTTGTTAGTATTTTATCTAGACTACTAATGCTTTGTTCATGAGGAGAGCCTTTACAGTGTTGGGTTAAGTTTATGCAGCCTCTTGCAGTGAGTGGATCCCTCTTCTCACCTTACCTGGGAGAAGCCCTCTAGGTCATCACCACACCAGCAGCCAGTCCTAATCGGCTGCTACGACGGCTCCTGGAAGCTGGAGAAAAAAATGATGACAGAGAAAATGAGGTGGAAGGCTGGGCACAGTGGCTCATGCCTGTAATCCCAGCACTTTGGGAGGCCGAGGCAGGTGGATCATGAGGTCAAGAGATCAAGACCATCCTGGCCAACATGGTGAAACCCTGTCTCTACTAAAAATACAAAAATTAACTGGGCGTGGTGGCTCATGCCTGTAATCCCAGCTACACAGGAGGCTGAGGCAGGAGAATCGCTTGAACCTGGGAGGTGGAGGTTGCCGTGAGCTGAGATCGTGCCATTGCACTCCAGCCTGGGCACCAAGCGTGAGACTCCGTCTCAAAAAAAAAAAAAAAAAAAGAAAGAAAGAAAATGAAAAAAAAAAAGAGATGGAAAAGACAGAGGGGCCTTGGCAGAATATTGAGGACGGGATGAGAATTGAGACCACCTGTGTCCACTTAACTCTTGGGATCAAGAGCTGAGATCACCTGTGTCAACCTGATTTAATGATTATTTCCAGAAAATTCTTTCCAGGAAGATAAAACTAAATCAGTCAATCACTGTTTGCTTCAGGAAAATCTTGCAGAACAATGTATCCTGGCACATAGTTTACCAATCTGGGAACCAGCTCACTCATCAGAACCTTCATCTGGCTGTGTTTCTCTGTCCTGCACTGTTGGGCCATAAGCTCTGTCCTATCCCAATGAGTCCTTGCACTGAAAGACAGACCATCAACCATCTGAGCCCAGATTCTAAAATCCTATGAGGCCAGGCGCACTTTGGGAGGCTGAGGTGGGAGGATTGCGTGAGCCCAGGAGTTAGAGACCAGCCTTGGCAACACAGCAAGACTCTGTCTCTACAAAACACTAAAAAATTAGCCGGGTGTGGTGGAGCACACCTGTAGTCCCAGCTACTTGGGAGGTTGATGGGGGAGGATTGCTTGAGCCCAGGAGGTTGAGGCTGCAGTGAGCTGTGGTTGCACCACTGCAATCTAGCCCGGGCAACAGAGCAAGACCCTGTCTCTAAAAATAAACAAGTTTTCTGGGAGTCACTGTTGAGTTGTTGGCAGTGAATGGTCCTAAATGTTCCCATGGGATTCGGCTGAGACGGCCTCCCCAGGATGGCCTGAGACCTGCGACTGGAACCAGCACTCTCCCCGTGACCCTCTGGTTTTCTTTTGTGAAAGCTCCTTGTGTTCCAGGATTGAGAAAGCCTTCTTACGTGTGCTTTGATTATCTGATGAGATGAAGATTTTGATCCTTGTGGAAACTACTTTGCTCCTAACAACAATTCTGTGTGTCCGTCTGTCCTTGTCACCTTCTGTTGTGAAGAGCTCCTTGGGAAGAGGATGAACTAACACAGGTCTGAATGTCCCTGTCTCAAGGGCACCAAGGGCCAGTGAGTTCAGATCTCGTGAATCCACTGTTCTTATCTAACAAACTAAGTCCTCATCTGCACCTTCAGTTTTGCCTTGTCTTCAGACAGATTCTCTGCTCACGCCTGTCCTCCTAGGGAGACCCTCAGGTCAGCACTGCCTTCAGTGGAGGGTTTGCAACCCCAGGTTGCGAGCTCTTGCCAGGGTGTGTGGTGGCTGGGGTCCTGCCCTCAGGAGGGGTTTCTGCTCCCGGGTGGGCGTGCTCCCGCTGTGACCTCAGTGCTCCCCTTCCCGAATGGTGCCCTTCCCTCAAAGACCACTTCGGGGCCGGGCGCGGTGGCTCACGCCTGTAATCCCAGCACTTTGGGAGGCCGAGGTGGGGCGGGTCATGAGGCCAGGAGATTGAGACCATCCTGGCTAACACGGTGAAACCCCGTCTCTACTAAAAATACAAAAAATTAGCTGGGCGTGGTGGCGGGCGCCTGTAGTCCCAGCTACTCCGGAGGCTGAGGCAGGAGAATGGCGTGAACCTGGGAGGCAGAGCTTGCAGTGAGCCGAGATGGCGCCACCGCACTCCAGCCTGGGTGACAGAGGGAGACTCCATCTCAAAAAAAAAAAAAAAAGAAAAGAAAAGAAAAATTAATTCCTAAAGGATTCCTTTATCAAATAAAAATGGGAAAACGTAAAACTCTTTCAGATCCCTCCAATTGCAATGTGAACTTTATGACCTTTATTGCACTCTTGCTGCAAGCTCCTCCACTGCCCCATCCCTCTTTTATTTATTTTTTTAGAGGCAGGGTCTTCTTATGTTGCCCAGGCTGTTCTTGAACTCCTGAGCTCAGGTGGTCTTCCCCGCTCAGCCTTTCCAGTAGCTGGAGCCCAGGCCCACACCAGCATTCCTGGCTATCTTTCAAAAATTAATTTTCATTTTAATTTTTGTACAGATGGGGTCTTTTTGTGTTGCTCAGGCTGGGATGCCCATTGTTTGAATTCATGTCCTTTCTCTTCTGTTTGGCCAGAAACCCCTAAGGCTCGACTGCCTCTTAAAGGTAAATCATCTCAGAAACAGGCAAGCCCCTTCTCTCTCTCCTTCCTTCTTTCCTTCCTTCCTTCCTTCCTCCTTCCCTCTCTCCCTCCCTCCCTACCTCCCTCCCTTCCTTCCTTCCTACCCTCTTCTTTTTCTTTTTCTTTCTCCTTCCTTTCTTCTTTCTTTTTCTTTCTTTCTTTTCTTTCTTCTTTCCTTCCTTCCTCCCTCCCTCTCCCTTTCTTCCTTTCTTCCCTCTTTCTCTTTATATCTTTCTTTCTCCTTCCTTCCTTTCTCTCTCTCTCTCTCTCTCTTTCTTTCTTTTGTTTTGTTTTTAGAGTCTTGTTCTGTTGCCCAGGATGGAGTGCAGTGGTGCCATCTCGGCTCACTGCCTACTCCGCCTCCCGGATTCACGGCATTCTCCTGCCTCAGCCTCCTGAGTAGCTGGGACTACAGGCGCCCGCCACCATGCCCGGCTAATTTTTTGTATTTTTAGTAGAGACGGGGTTTCAGCGTGTTAGCCAGGATGGTCTTGATCTCCTGACCTCATGATCCGCCCGCCTTGGCCTCCTAAAGTATTGGGATTACTGGCGTGAGCCACCGCACCCGGTCTCTTTCTTTCTTTCTTTCCCTCTTTCTTTTCTTTTCTTTTCTTTCTTTCTTTCCTTTCTTTCTTTCTTTCTTTCTTTCTTTCTTTCTTTCTTTCTTTCTTTCTTTCTTTCTTTCTTTCTTTCTTCTTTCTTTTTTCTTTTTCTTTCCATAATTTCTCTTTCTCCTTCCTTCCTTCCTTCCTTTATTTATTTTTCTTGAGATGGAGTCTCACTCTGTCACCCAGGCTGGAGTGCAGTGGCATGATCTCAGCTCATTACATCCTCCGCCTCCCAGGTTCAAGCGATTCTCTGTCTCAGCCTCCCTAGTAGCTGGGATTACAGGCGAGTGTGACCATGCCTGGCTAATTTTTGTATTTTTAGTAGAGATGGGGTTTCACCATGTTGGACAAGCTGGTCTCGAACTCCTGGGCTCGAGTAATCCACCTGCCTCGGTCTCCCAAAGTTCTGGGTTTACAGGCTTGAGCCACCATGACTGTCCTGGCTTATTTTTTAAATAACAGCTTTATTGAAGAATAATTTATATATTAAAAATTTACCCTTTTGGAAGTCCAAGCCATAGCAATCAGGCAAGAGAAAGAAATAAAAAGCATGCATATAGGAAAAAAAGTCAAACTATCTCTGTGGGGTAAAGAAAGAGAGATCGGATTGTTACTGTGTCTTTGTAGAAAAGGAAGATATAAGGAACTCCATTTTGATCTGTACTAAGAAAAATTGTTTCTGCTTTGAGATGCTGTTAACCTGTAACTTTAGTCCCAACCCTGTGCTCACAGAAACATGTGCTGTATTGAATCAAAGTTCAATGGATTTAGGGCTGTGCGGGCTGTGCCTTGTTAACAATATGTTTGCACGGCATATGCTTAGTAAAAGTCATCGCCATCCTCCATTCTCGATTAACCAGGGACACAATGCACTGCGGAAAGCCGCAGGAACCTCTGCCCAAGAAAGCCTGGGAATTGTCCAAGGTTTCCCCCAACTGAGACAGCCTGAGATATGGCCTCGTGGGAAAGGAAAGACCTTACCATCCCCCAGCCCGACACCAGTAAAGGGTCTGTGCTGAGGAGGAGGAGTGAAAGAGGGAGGCCTCTTTGCAGTTGAGATAAGAGGAAGGCTTCTGCCTCCTGCTCGTCCCTGGGAATGGAATGTCTCGGTGGAAAGCTGACGATTCCCATTCGTTCTGTTCTGAGATAGGAGAAAACCGCCCTGTGGCTGGAGGCGAGATATGCTGGCAGCAACACTGCTGTGTTACTCTTTGCTACACTGAGATGTTTGGGTAAAGAGAAACATAAATCCAGCCTACGTGCACATCCAGGCACAGTACCTTTCCTTGAACTTATTCGTGATACAGATTCCTTTGCTTACGTTTCCCTGCTGACCATCTCCCCACCTGTTGCCCTGCTACACTCCCCTCGCTAAAATAGTAAAAATAATGATCAATAAATACTGAGGGAACTCAGAGGCTGGTGCCGCTGTGGGTCCTCCGTATGCTGAGCGCCGGTCCCCTTAGCCCACTGTTCTTTCTCTGTAGTTTGTCTCTGTGTCTTATTTCTTTTCTCAGTCCCTCGTCCCACCTGACGAGAAATACCCACAGGTGTGAAGGGGCTGGCCCCCTTCAATCTCTCTTCGCTGATGCTATCATTCTATACCTAGAAAACCCTAAAACTCCACCAAAAGTCTCCTGAACTGTAATGACTGCAGTAAAGTTTCAAGATACAAAATCAACATTCAAAAGTCAGCAGTATTTCTTTTCTTTTCTTTTTTGAGACAGAGTCTTGCTCTGTCACCAGGCTGGAGTGCAGTGGCACAATCTGGGCTCAAATGATTCTCCTGCCCCAGCCTCCCAAGTAGCTGGGACTAGAGGTGCATGCCACCACGCCCAGCTAATTTTCGTTTTTTAGTAGAGACATGGTTTCACCATGTTGGCCAGGATGGTCTCAATCTCTTGACCTCGTGATCTGCCTGCCTCAGCCTCCCAAAGTGCTGGGATTACAGGTGTGAGCCACCACGCCCGGCCAGTCAGCGGCATTTGTGTAAACCAATAGCATCCAAACGGAGAGCCAAATCAAGAATGCTATCCCGTTTACAATAGCCACACACAAAAATAAAATACCTAGGAATACGTCTAACCAGGGAGGTGAAAGATATTGATAAGGAAAGTTACAAAACACTGCTGAAAGAAGTCACAGATGACACAAACAAATGGAAAAAATATCCTATGTTCATGGATTGGAATAATCAATATTGTTACAATGGCCATACTGGGCTGGGCACAGTGGCTCACACGCGTAGTCCCAGTGCTTTGGGAGGCCAAGGAAGGCCTGATCTTTGACAAAGGTAACAAAAATAAGCAATGGGGTAAGGACTCCCTATTCAATAAATGGTGCTGGGATAACTGGCTAACTATATGCAGAAGAATAAAACTGAACCCCTACCTTTCACCTTATACAAAAACTAAAGATGGATTAAAGATTTAAATGGAAGACCACAAACTATAAGAATCCTAGAAGAAAACCTAGGAAACACCATTCTGGACATCAGCCTTGGGAAAGAATTTATTACTTAAGTCCTCAAAAGCAATTGCAACAACAACAACAACAAATTGACAAGTGGGACCTAGTGACACTGAAGAGTGTACGCACAGCAAAAGAAACTATCACAGAGTAAACAGACAGCTTACCGAATAGGAGAAAATATTCTCAGAATATTCCTATGAAGGTGCGATATCCAGAATCTACAAGGATTCGGTTCAGAAGACAGGAGGGTTTGGCAGCCTTATTGCCACATTTTCTTGATGTAGAAGTGTTGCAATCTGGAAGACACAAACTTTACTAAGTGGTTAGACAAGCAAGGGCCACAAATTAGTAGTAATGATATACCTACCAAAGGTCCCAGGTGGGGTAAAAACCAGGTGAGACTTGGGAGGGCATTTCTGACAGTTGACCAGATTAGCTGGGTCTGTGCTCTGGTTATGTCTATGTAACCAGGGAGCTTGCTCATAAATCTTTTGAATGTTAACATTATTATGTCCAGAGTTGTTAATATAGGTGCAGCAGGTTTTGTTAATAACCGTACAGACTCCACCTTGTTCAGCTCGTTAAATAATCCAACACTAGTCTGTTATCAAGGATTATATTTGCCATACAGTCTAGGGATTCTTGTATTCCCTTTTAATGCCTGACCTGTGCTGGTGGCTAATGATTCTAGGGTTTGAGTCGAATTCTTCAGGGTTGACTCGTGGTAGGCAAAGTCACATCAGGGGGCTAAGATTGTCCTATTACTACCCTGATTCCTCCCAGAATTAATCCTATTGCTCATTATCTTCTGATGTTCTTAGGTCTTATGGGGTTATAGACGCGGCCCCTGGAGGGGCAAGGGTGGTCAACATACATTCACTCCTGTTCCAAGATTTTGATATGTAAGGGAAAGCTACTTCTAAAAGAACAGGTGGGCTCCCTGGGGAGCTGAGAGCTGGGTGCTGGGAGTGGTTACGGGGTGGGATTCTTCCCACTTGTGGCCACAAACAAAAACGAACCCAGTTGGGACACAAATAGAGGCCCTGTGGGGCGTGATGTGTATCCTTTCCTGCCAAGTTGGGTCTATAGAGATATTCCTTCCCTGCTCCAATGGGGGTGGTTGAACAACCTTTGTTTTCCAGGACAGGGTGGTACTCCCACCTTCCCAGATTAGACAGTTGTTTTTTCCCCTATATGCTCTGATCTTGGAGAAGGCACCATCTATAATTTCCTCACTCACAAGTGGGATCCGATTTACTTCACTGCAGCCTTGAGAATTTGGCAACAAGTTGTGTGAGAACATTGCAGGGAAGCTTCTGCTTTTGTGTCGTTAACAACACAACAGTGAATGCAAAAGAGAATCGTTAGCACACCGGAGACATAGATAGCCAGCTTTCTGGGTCCAAGTGACAGTGGTGGGGAGTGCGGTACAGGGGTAGGGAGATGGAGGTTCAGGTGAAATCCATTAAGTGGAGGAGAGTTCCACCTAACAAGTAGGGGTCTGGGTACTTTGGGATCACTGTGGTTGGTTAGGAAGTCTGGGGAGATGGCTGTGAGATTTTCCAGATAGGCCAGAAGATGGAACTCTCTGTCCTGGGGATGTTGATGACAAACCCAGCAACCATGAAGATGGTTCCCTGATGCTGTAATTTTTGAAATATTTACTATAGCATTCTGTTACCACCCACCCTGGATCAGGGTGATTGGGAGGGCAAGCAGGATAAACAGTGGCAGCATGGTGTCCAGTTAGGCCTTAGAGTGGCCTCTACACCCAACAAGGACAAAAGAGGTATTTCCCAGTGGGAGGCAGTTGGCCAGAGTGATAGAAAAGAAGTATTACAGGAAAAAGAGAAAAATTAAAACTCCTATTCCCACCCACAGCTGGTGTGCCTGGCTTGCGTAGTGGCCAGACCCTGTGCTTGCTCACTCATGCACCCCTCACCGCTCTTTGCCTGGCTCACCCTTGGCAGGCCTGGGATCCAAGCTGGTAGGATGAGCCAAGCACAGTCTGCCAGGCCAAGTGGGCAGAATGAGCCCAGTGGGCCTGAGCAAAACTCAAGAAAAGGCACCACTGGCCACAGAGGTTTCCAGCTGGTGAAGTGACACCTCAAGGATCCTGTGACAAACCCATATCATTCTGCCCCGGGCCCCCCCAAATCCCACATCCTCCTCACACTTCAAAACACAATCATGCCTTCCCAACAGTCCCCCAAAGTCTTAACACAAAAGTCCAAGTCCAAAGTCTCATCTGAGACAAGGCAAGTTCCTTCCACCTATGAGCCTGTAAAATAAAAAGCAACTAATTACTTACAAGATACAATGGGGGTACAGGCATTGGGTAAATACTCCTGTTCCAAAAGGGAGAAATTGGCCAAACAAAGGGGCTAAGGCCCCATGCAAGTCTGAAATCTAGCAGGGCAGTCATTACATCTTAAAGCTCCAAAATAATCTCTTTTGACTCCATGTCCCACACCCAGGGCATGCTGATGCAAGGGGTGGACTCCCAAGGCCTTGGGCAGTTCTGCCTCTGTGACTCTGCAGGGTACAGCCCCCACAGCTGCTTTCACAGGCTGGTGTTGAGTGCCTGCAGTATTTTCAGGTGCACAGTGGAAGCTGTCAGTGGATCTACCATTCTGGGGTCTGGAGGTTGGTGACCTTCTTCTCACAGCTCCACTAGGCAGTGCCACAGTGGGAACTCTGTGTGGGGACTCCAACCCCACATTTCACCTCCACACTGCTCTAGTAGAGGTTCTGCATGAGGGCTCTGCCCCTGCAGCAGACTTCTGCCTGGACATCCAGGTGTTTCTGTACATCCCCTGATATCTAGGTGGAGGCTCCCAGGCCTCAACTCTTGCCCTCTATACACCTGCAGGTTTAACACCACATGGAAACATTGGTGGCTTCTGGCTTGCACTCTCTGGAGCAGCAGCCTGAGATGTATCTTGGCCCATTTTAGCCACAGCTGGGGCTGGAGTGGCTGGGACGCAGGGTGCTGTGTCCTGAGGTTGCACAGAGCAGTGGGGCCCCGGGCATGGCCGACAAAACCATTTTTCCCTTCTAGGCCTCCAGACCTGTGATGGGAGGGGCTGTCATAAGTATCTCTAAATGCTTTGGAGACATATTCTCTATTTTCTTGACTATTAACATTCGGCTCCTCTTATGCAAATTTTTGCAGCAGGCTTGCTTTAATTCCTCCCCCAGAAAATGGGTTTTTCTTTTCTTTCACATGGTCAGGCTGCAAATTTTCCAAACTTTTATGCTCTGCTTCCCTTTTTTTCTTTTTCTTTTATTTTAGGTTCTGGGGTACATGTGCAGGATGTGCATGTTTGTTACATAAGTAAATGTGTGCCGTGATGGTTTGCTGCACCTATCAATCCATCATCTAGGTATTAAGCCCAGCATGCATTAGCTATTTTTCCTGATGCTCTCCCCCCTCTCCTCCCCCAGCAGGCCCCAGTGTGTGTTTTTCCCCTTTCCATGTCCCTGTGTTCTCATTGTTTGGCTCCCACTTATAAGTGAGAACATGTGGTGTTTGGTTTTTGTTCCTGCGTTAGTTTGCTGAGGATAATGGCTTCCAGCTTCATCCACATCCCTGCATATGACATGATCTCATTCCTTTTTATGACTGCATAGTATTTCACGGTGTACATATACCACATTTTCTTTATCAAGTCTATCATTGATGGGCATTTGGGTTGATTCCATGTCTTTGCTATTGTGAATAGTGCTGCAATGAACATACACATGCATGTATCTTTATAATAGAATGATTTATATTCCTTTGGGTATATACCCAGTAATGGGATTGCTGGGTCAAATGGTATTTCCCATTCTAAATCTTTGAGGAATCGCCATACTGTCTTCCACAATGGTTGAACTAATTTACATTCCAACCAACAGTGTAAAAAGTGTTCCCATTTCTCTGCAACCTTGCCAGCGTCTGTTGTTTGTTGACTTTTTAATAATCGCCATTCTGACTAGCATGAAATGGTATCTCATTGTGGTTTTGATTTGCATTTCTCTGATGATCAGTGATGTTGAGTTTTTTTCATGTTTGTTGGCTGCGTGTATGTCTTCTTTTGAGAATTGTCTGTTCATGTCCTTTGCCCACTTTTTAATGGGTTTTTTTTTTCTTGTAAATTTGCTTAAGTTCCTTGTAGATTCTGGATATTAGACTTTCGTCAGACTGATAGATTGCAAAATTTTTCTCCCATTCTGTAGATTGTCTGTTTGCTCTGATGATAGTTTCTTTTGCTGTGCAGAAGTGCTTTAGTTTGATTAGATCCCATTTGTCAATTTTTCCTTTTGCTGCAATTGCTTTTGGCGATTTCATCATAAAATCTTTGCCCATGCCTATGTCCTGAATGGTATTGCCTAGATTTCCTTCTAGGGTTTTTATAGTTTGGGTCTTACATTTGAGTCTTAAATCCATCTTGAGTTAATTTTTATATAAGGTGTAAGGAAGGGTCCAGTTTCAATTTCTGCATATGTCTACCCAGTTCTCCCAGCACCATTTATTAAATAGGGAATCCTTTCCCCATTGCTTATTTCTGTCAGGTTTGTCAAAGATCAGATGGTTGTAGATGTGCAGTTTTATTTCTGAGTTTTCTATTCTGTTCCATTGGTCTGTGTGCCTGTTTTTGTACCAGTACCGTGCTGTTTTGGTTACTGTAGCCTTGTAGAATAGTTTGAAGTCGGGTAGTGTGATGCCTCCAGCTTTGTTCTCTTTGCTTAGAATTGTCCTGGCTATACAAGCTCTTTTACGGTTCCACATGAATTTTTAAAAATAGTTATTTCTAATTCTGTGAGCAATGTCATTGGTAGTTTAATGGGAATAGCATTAAATATATAAATTGCTTTGGGCAGTATGGCCATTTTCATGATATTGATTCTTCCTATCCATGAACATAAAATGTTTTTACATCTGTTTGTGTCCTCTCTGATTTCCTTGGGCAGTGGTTTGTAGTTCTCCTTGAAGAGGTCCTTCACATCCCTTGTTAGCTGTATTCCTACATATTTTATTATCTTTGAGGCAATTGTAAATGGAAACTCATTCATGATTTGGCTCTCTGCTTGTCTGTTGTTGGTGTATAAGAATGCTTGTGATTTATGCACATTGATTTTGTATCTTGAGACTTTGCTGAAGTTGTTCATCAGCTTAAGAAGCTTTTGAGCTGAATCAGTGGGGTTTTCTAGATATAGGATCATGTCATCTGCAAAGAAAGACAATTTGACTTCCTCTCTTTCTATGTGAATATGCTTTATTTCTTCTCTTGCCTGATTGCCCTGGCCAGAACTTCCAATACTATGTTGAATAAGAGTGATGAGAGAGGGCATCCTTTTCTTGTGCCAGTTTTCAAGGGGAATGCTTCCAGCTTTTGCCCATTCAGTATGATATTGGCTGTGGGTTTGTCATAAACAGCTCTTATTATTTTGAGGTATGTTCCTTCAATACCAAGTTTATTACATTTTTTACATGAAGGGATGTTGAATTTTATTGAAGGCCTTTTCTGTATCTATTGAGATAATAATGTGATTTTTGTCTTTAGTTCTGTTTATGTGATGAATTACATTTATTGACTTGTGTACGTTGAACCAGCTTTGCACCCCGGAGATGAAGCTGACTTGATCGTGGTGGATAAGCTTTTTGATGTGTTCCTAGATTCGGTTTGCCAGTATTTTATTGAGGGTATTTGCATTGATGTTCATCAAGGATGTTGTCCTGAAGTTTTCTTTTTTTGTTGTATCTTTGCCAGGTTTTGGTTTCAGTATGATGCTGGCCCCATAAAATTAGTTAGGGAGGAGTCCCTCCTTTCCATTGTTTGGAATAGTTTCAGAAAAAATGGTACCAGCTCCTCTTTGTACCTCTGGTAGAATTCAGCTGTGAATCCACCTGGTCCTGGGCTTTTTTGGTTGGTAGACTATTTATGTATTTATTTGAGATGGAGTTTCACCCTTGTCGCCCAGGCTGGAGTGCAATGGCTCGATCTCGGCTCACTGCAACCTCTGCCTCCCAGGTTCAAGCAATTCTCCTGCCTCAGCCTCCCAAGTATCTGGGATTACAGGCACCCGCCACCATGCCCAGCTAATTTTTGTGTTTTTGGTAGAGATGGGGTTTTACCATGTTGACCAGGCTGGTCTGGAACTCCTGACCTCAGGTAATCTGCCTGCCTCAGCCTCCCAAAGTGCTGGGATTACAGGTGTGAGGCACTGTGCCCGGCCAGCAGCGTATTTATTACTACCTCAATTTTGGAACTTGTTATTGGTGTATTCAGGGATTCAATTTCTTCCTGGTTCAGTCTTGGGAGGGTATATGTGTTAGGAATTTATCCACTTCTTCTAGATTTTATAGTTTATTTGCATAGAGGTGTTGATAGTATTCTCTGATGGTTGTTTGTATTTCTGTGGGGTCAGTGGTATCACCCCTTATCATTTCTGATTGTGTTTACTTGAATCTTCTCTCTTTTCTTCTTTATTAGTCTAGCTAGCAGTCTATTTTATTGATTAAAGAAACCCAGCTCCTGGATTCATTGATATTTTGAAGGGTTTTCCGTGTCTCTGTCTCCTTCAGTTCCATTCTGAGCTTGGTTATTTCTTGTCTTCTGCTAGCTCTGAGGTTTGTTTTGTACCTAGGAATACAGCTAACAAGGGATGTGAAGGACCTCTTCAAGGAGAACTACAAACCACTGCTCAAGGAAATCAGAGAGGACACAAACAGATGTAAAAACATTTTATGTTCATGGATAGGAAGAATCAATATCATGAAAATGGCCATACTGCCCAAAGCAACTTATATATTTAATGCTCTTGGTTCTTTAGTTCTTCTAGTTGTGATGTTAGTATGTTGATATGAAATCTTTCTCGGTTTTTGATGTGGCAATTTAGTGCCATAACTTTCCCTCCTAACATTGCTTTAGCTGTATCCCAGAGATTCTGGTAAGTTGTCTCTTTGTTCTCATTAGTTTCAAAGAACTTCTTGATTTTTGCTTTAATTTCATTATTTGCCCAGAAGTCATTCAGGAGCAGGTTGTTCAGTTTCCATGTAGTGGCATGGTTTTGAGGGAATTTCTTAATCTTGAGCTCTAATTTGATTACGTTATGGTCTGAGAGACTGTTATGATTTCCTTTCTTTTGCATTTGCTGAGGGGTATTTTACTTCCAGTTATATGATCAATTATATGATCAATTTATGATCAATTTTAGAGTAAGTGCCATGTGGCACCAGGAAAAATGTACATTCTGTTTTTTGGGGGGTGGAGAGTTCTGTAGGTATCTACCAGGTCCATTGGATTCAGAGCTGAGTTCAAGTCCTGAATATCTTTGTTAATTTTCTGTCTTGATGAACTGTCTAATATTGACAGTGAGGTATTAAAGTGTTCTACTATTATTGTGTGAGTGTCTAATTGTCTTTATAGGTCTTTAAGAATGTATTGCCAGGTGCGGTGGCTCACGCCTGTAATCCCAGCACTTTGGGAGGCCGAGGTGGGTGGATCATGAAGTCAAGAGATCAAGACCATCCTGGCCAATATGGTGAAACCCTGTCTCTACTAAAAATACAAAAATTAGCTGGGCGTGGTGATGCGCACCTGTAGTCCCAGCTACTCGGGAGGCTGAGGCAGGAGAATTGCTTGAGTCCGGAAGGCAGAGCTTGCAGTGAGCCAAGATTGCGCCACTGCACTTCAGCCTGGGTGACAGAGCAAGACTCTGTCTCAAAAACAAAAAACAAACAAACAAAAAAAACACACAAAAAAACAAAAAACTGTGTTTTATGAATCTGGGTGCTCCTGTATTGGGTGCATATATATTTAGAATAGTTAGGTCTTCTTGTTGAATTGAACCCTTTACCATTATGTAATGCCCTTCTTGGCCTTTTTTGACCTGTGTTGGTTTAAAGTCTATTTTGTCAGAAATTAGGATTGCAACTCCTGCTTTTTCCTGCTTTCCATTTGCTTGGTAAATATTCTTCCATCCCTTTATTTCTAGCCTATGTGTGTCTTTGTATATGAGTTGTGACTCCTGAATACAGCACACTGATGGATCTTGTCTTTTTGTCTAGCTTCCCATTCTGTGTCTTTTAATTGGGGCATTTAGCCCATTTACATTTAAGGTTAATATTGGTATGTGTGGGTTTGATCCTGTCATCATGATGCTGGCTAGTTAATTTTGCAGACTTGTTAATGTAGTTGCTTCATAGTGTCATTGGTCTGTGTACTTCAGTGTGTTTTTATAGTGGCTTGTAATAGTTTTTCCTTTCCATGTTCAGTGCTTCCTTCAGGAGTTCTTGCAAGGCAGGCCTGGTGGAGATGAAATCCCTCAGCATTTGATTGTCTGAAAAGGATTTTATATCTCCTTCACCTACGAAGCTTAGTTTGGCCGGATTTGAAATCCTGGGTTGGAAATTCTTTTTTTTTTTTTTGAGATGGAGTCTCGCTCTGTAGCCCAGGCTGGAGTGCAGTGGCATGATCTCGGCTCACTGCAACCTCTGCCTCCTGAGTCCCGGTTCAACCAGTTCTCCTGCCTCAGCCTCCCAGGCAGCTGGGATTACAGGCACGCACCACCCTGTCCAGCTAATTTTTGTATTTTTAGTAGAGACAGGGTTTCACCATGTTGGCCATGCTGTTCTTGAACTCCTGACCTTGTGATCCACCCACCTTGGCCTCCCAAAGTGCTGGGATTACAGGTGTGAGCTACTGCACCTGGCCTGGAAATTCTTTAAGAACGTTGAATATTGGCCAGGCGCGGTGGCTCACAGCACTTTGGGAGGCCATGGTGGGTGGATCACGAGGTCAGGAGATCAAGATCATCTTGGCCAACATGGTGAAACCCCATCTCTACTAAAATACAAAAAATTATCCGGCCGTGGTGGCATGTGCCTATAATCTCAGCTACTTGAGAGGCTTGTAGTGAGCTGAGATTGCGCCACTGCACTCCAGCCAGGCGACAGAGCAAGACTCCGTCTCAAAAAAAAAAAAAAAAAGAATGTTGAATATTGGCCCCCAATCTCTTCTGGCTTGTAGGGTTTCCACTGAGATGTCCACTGTTAGTCTGATGGGCTTCCCTTTGTAGGTGACCTGGCCTTTCTCTCTGGCTGCCCTTAACATTTTTTACTTCATTTTAACCTTAGAGAATCTGATGATTATGTGCCTTAGGGTTGACCTTCTCATGGAGTATCTTATTGGAGTTCTCTGGATTTCCTGGATTTGAACGTTGGCCTGTCCTGCTAAGTTGGGGAAGTTCTCCTGGAGGATAACCTGAAGTGTGTTTTCCAACTTGGCTCCATTCTCCCCGTCTCTTTCAGGTACTCCAATCAGTTGTAGGTTCAATCTTTTTACATAGTCCAATAGTTCTCGGAGGTTTTGTTCATTCCTTTTCATTATTTTTTCTCTAATCTTGTCTGCCTGCCTTATTTCAGCAAGACAGTCTTCAAGCTCTGATATTCTTTCTTCTGTTTGGTTGATTTGGCTGTTGATACTTGTGTTTGCATCATGAAGTTCTTGTGCTGTATTTTTCAGCTCCGTCGGGTCATTTATGTTTCTCTCTAAACTGGTTATTCCAGTTAACACCATCTGTAATGTTTTATCGTGGTTCTTAGCTTCTTTGCATTGGGTTAAAACATAATCCTTTAGCTCAGTGAAGTATATTATTACCCACTTTCTGAAGCGTACTTCTGTCAGTTCATCCATCTCAGCTTCAGCCCACTCCTGTGCCCTTGCCGGAGAGGTGTTTTGATCATTTGAAGGAGAAGAGGCATTCTGGCTTTTGGAATTTTCAGCATTTTTGCGTTGGTTTTTCCTCATTGTGGATTTATCTACCTTTCCTCTTTGAGGCTGTTGACCTTTAGATGGGGTTTTTGTGGGGTCTTTTTTGTTGATGTTGTTGTTGTTGCTTTCTGTTTGTTTTTCTTTTATTTTCTTTTTTTTCGTTTTTTTTGAGATGGAGTCTCGCTCTGTCACCCAGGCTGGAGTGCAGTGGCGCGATCTTGGCTCCCTCACTGCAACATCCACCTTCCAGGTTCAAGCGATTCTCCTGCAGCCTCCCAAGTAGCTGGAACTACAGGCGCCCACCACCACGCCTGGCTAATTTTTGTATTTTTAGTAGAGACAGGGTTTCACCATATTGGCCAGGCTGGTCTCGAACTCCTGACCTTGTGATCCACCCTCCTCAGCCTCCCAAAGTGCTGGGATTACAGGCGTGAGCCACTGCGCCTGGCTGTTTTTCTTTTAACAGTCAGGCCCCTCTTCTGCAGGTCGGCTGCAATTTGCTGGAGGTCCACTCCATACCCTGTTTGCCTGGGTATCACCAGTGAAGGCTGCAGAACAGCAAAGATTGCTGCCTGCTCCTTCCTCTGGAAGCTTTGTCTCAGAGGGGCACCGACCTGATGCCAGCTGCAGCTCTCCTGAATGAAGTGTCTGGTGGCCCCTGTTGGGAGGTCTCACCCAGTCAGGAGGCATGTGATCAGGGACCTGCTTAAGGAAGCAGTCTGGCTGCCCCTTACCAGTGTGGGTGCACTGCGCTGGGGGGAATGCCCCCTCATCCAGGTCACTGGGACTCTTGGGAGCCAGCAAGCAGGAAAGATTAAGTCTGTCCAACCTGAGACTGCGGCCACCACTCTCCCCAGGTGCTCTGACCTGGGGAGATGAAAGTTCTGTCCGTAAACCCCTGGCTGGAGTTGCTGGAACTCCTGCAGGGAGGCACTGCTCGGGTGAGAAGGGATGGGTCTGGTTCCCAGTTAAAGAGGCAGTCTGGCCACAATCTGCCACAGCTGCTGTGCTGCGCTGTGGGGAATTCTGCCCAGTCCAAACCTCACAATCTCCCTAGCACTGGCCAGGGAAAACTGCCTCCCAGGTTCAAATGACTCTCCTCCCTCAGCCTCTCGAGTATCCAGGATTACAGGCATGCATCACCACACCTGGCTAATTTTTTTTTCTATTTTTAGTAGAGATAGGGTTTTACTGTGTTAGCTAGGCTGGTCTCGAACTCCTGAACTCATGATCCACCCACCTCAGCCTCCCAAAGTGCTGGGATTACAAGTGTGAGCCACCACGCCTGGCCTTGTAAGCCCATCTGTTCTGCCCATTTACTTTCCTCAGGAGTACAGTAGGGTGCTGCTGGCATGGGTGCAGTACCTGGCATTAGTCCGTGGCCTGGAGCACTGGTGTTCTTCACCTGTGGCCTTGGCTGTCCTGTCCATCAGGGCATTTCCTCCGGGATGATAGAGGTGTCCCCCTTTTGGTGTCCCCTGCAGTGAGTAACTGCCACCTCCTTTGGGAGCTGGACAGCATCTACAATTCCAAGATCTCAGAGCAATGCTGTGTGGGGGATTCCTTAGCTGTTAGCGCTCCCTTTTCTTTCCATATGGCGTCATGAGCGTGGAGCACCAGGCACCCATATTTGGAATCGGTAAATATGTTGACTCTTAAGTCTTTTCTCAGTTGGAGGACCCTGATTAGACCAATTAATTCCACTTTTTGAGCAGATGTCTGGGGAGGTCAAGCTTTGGCCTCAATGCCTTCTTCTCGGCTAACTACTGCATAACCGATCTTTCTTTCTCCCTTATGAATAAAACCACTTTCATCTCTGAGCCACTCAACATCGGGGTTATGCAGGGGCTCAAGGGCTCATCTTTGAGGTCAGGCCTGCTAGAGGAGGTCTGTTCTATGGTTTCCACACAGGAGTGAATGAGTTGGGGATCTGTTTCCTGGGACACGAAGTCCAGCAACAAGGGAGAAGAGTTTAAAACTCGACATACTTTAAGGGTAACATCTGGGGTGTCATGCAGAAGGGTCTGATATTTCAGTAACAAGCCCCTCGTTAGCTATTGGTGTCCCTTTGCCTCTAGGACTCTCTATACTTCATGGGGGGGATCACGACATCTGATGGTTGTCCCAAGGTAAACTTACTGGCTTCTGTCAATAGAGTGGTGGCGACTACAGCTCGCAAGTATCCTGGCCACTCAGCCACCACCTGGTCTAGTTTAGAAAAGTAAGCCACTGGTATAGGGTCATTCCTGAGCCTCTGGTTTAGGATGCCCAAAGCTACCCTTTGTTTTTCAGCCAAGGTGAAAGGGTGGAGCTGGACAGCATCTAAAAGTTCATCTAAAGGGTGAAAAGTTTTTCTTTTTCTTTTTTTTTTTTTTTTGAGACGGAGTCTTGCTCTGTCTCCCAGGCTTGAGTGCAGTGGCGCGATCTCGGCTCACTGCAAACTCCACCTCCCGGGTTCACACCATTCTCCTGCCTCAGCCTCCCAAGTAGCTGGGACTACAGGCGCCCACCACCGCGTGCGGCTAATTTTTTGTATTTTTAGTAGAGACGGGGTTTCACTGTGTTAGCCAGGATGGTCTCGATCTCCTGACCTTGTGATCCGCCCGCCTCGGCCTCCCAAAGTGCTGAGATTACAAGCGTGAGCCACCGCGCCCGGCCTAAAGGGTGAAAAGTTTTTCTATGTTTGGGAGTCCCAAAGTAGGGGCTGTTCCCAGCTTTTCTTCTAATGTTAGGAATACCTGTTGGCAGGTTCCATCCCAATTTAAAGGCTCATGATCACGTCCTTTCAGAGCTTCATAAAGTAGTTCTGCTGTGAGCCCAAACCCAGTAGAATCCAGCCATTCCCCCAAAGGCCTGTTTCTTAGTCTGAGGGGACTGGAGTGCCAGGATGGCCTCTTTTCACTCCTGAGTCAAAGTCCTGTCCCAGGAGTGGGCACATACCCCAAATACTTAGCCTTCTGTACAGAGATCTGGGCATTGCTAGGGATACCTGATGCCCTCGTTTTTCCAGAAAATTAAGGGGCTGGATTGTGTTCCTGTCAGAGACTTCCCTAGAAGGGCTGGGAATTAATAGGTCATCACATATTACAAAAGGGACCCATAGTTAACGGTAGCTCCTTTAACTCTTTTGCCAGAGATGGGGATTGTCTCTAAAACCTTGAGAAAGGACGGTTCAGTTAAGCTAAGAGGCGGCATGAGTGTCTGGATCAGTTCATTCAAAAGCAAAAATATACTGGGAGTCCAGGTGTAAAGGTATACACAAGAAAACATCCTTAATTAGGCATTAAGTCTAATACTGTGAACCAATGAGCATCTTTAGGGACTTGGCTCCATATTGTGTAAGGATTAGGAACTATTGGGAGGATTGAGGTAACTGCCTAAGAGTCTGAGCTGACACTGATGTCAGCTCCCCCAGCTGCCATCAGGAACTCCTTGCTATATGAGCTGGGTGACAAGTCAGTCCAAAGTCTGAGTTACAGCCGACCCAACTGGCCAGACGTGGGTGCGACTTCCCACTCCACCTGACAAAAGCAGTAAAATCTTGTGTCTGGTGCTTAGATGAGCTGGTTCAGTGTTGACGGAAGCTGAAGACAGACGGAAGCTCCACTACAACATGTTCAGGGCGGCCCTCGAGGACAGCGTGGAGAAGAAATCCTCCCTGTGGGTATAACTCGGATCAGTTAGCTTGCTTGTCTGCTTCACGTAGAGGCAGAAGAGTCATGAAATAAGAATATATATGGAGTCGTGGGTGGGGCTGTTTGGCTGGTTGATGAGAACCCGGAAGGAGCAAGTTTGGAAGAATGGGGAGACACGGCTATGGGGAGTGAGTGTGTGGACGAACAACAGGAACAGGCAGAGTGGGAGGGCTGTCACATTGCACATTCATGCTCCGGTGTCCTCCACAGGGGAGGCACTGGATGACCACGTTGATGGCTGATATGGTTTGGTTCTATGTCGCCACTCAAATCTCGTGTGGAGCTCTGATCCCCAGTGTTGGAGGAGGGGCCTGGTGGGAGGGATTGGATCACGGAGGCCGACTTCCCCTTTGCTGTTCTCATGATAGTGAATGAGTTCTCACGAGATCTTGTTTAAATGTGTGTAGCACTTCCCCCTTTGCTGTCTTCCTCCTGCTCTGCCATATGAAGAAGGTGCTTGCTTGCCCTTTGCCCTTCTGCCATGATTGTAAGTTTCCTGAAGCTCCCCAACCATGCTTATGTATATCCTGCAGAACTGTGAGTCAAGGAAACCCTTTCTTCATAAATTACCCCGTCTTAGCAGAGATGGGGTTTTGCCATGTTGGTCAGGCCGGTCTCGAACTCCTGCCTCCAGTGATCAACCTGCCTCGGCCTCCCAAAGTGCCGGGATTGCAGGCTTGAGCCACTGCGCTCAGCCAATACACTTCTAAATAACTTCTTAATCAAGGAAGAATCACAGTAAAATTAGAAAGCATTCTGAACTAAATTAAGATGAGAACTCATCAATATTTGTGTGATGCATTGAAAACATTAAATGCTTAGATTAGAATATAAGAAAGGGATCTTCTAGAAGTGTTTCTTCATATGAAAAAATAAATAAAAATAGTTAATCGGGAAATAACTTGACTTCTTCTAATATCTCAGTTTTCATAAATCATCTAGGTGAATTGTTAAAAATAAATTAGGTAAATGTAAATAGGATAAACATTTATAAATTAACTTTTCATGTAATTTGAAATCTTAAAGTTATGTTATGATAAATTAAATGATATTCATAAATGTCTGGTTCATTTCCAAATAAGATAAAAAATTGAAACAAATTGCTGAACATACATATGTTTGTTCTTGGTTTCCTAAATTTCATAAAAGACTACATATATTTAGGTCTATTAATACACATAAAAATTATGTTATGCATTCTTTTGATACATAAGTTTTCAGCATTTTTACATTTATAATTATATTACACTATAAATTTTACCACAAATACTATTTTGCCCTTATATTGCAAGTTTTCTAGGATGCTATTTTTGTTATTGTTCTAATTGTAAATATTTTATAATTTCCCTTGTGATTTATTTGACCTATGTGTTATTAAATTTGTGCATTTAAATTTCCAAACATATGGAAGTTTTCACTTATATTTTTGTTATTATAAGTAATAATTACATTGATTTGTAGTTAAAAAAATGATCTGTATGATTATTTGACATGTTTAAATTATTTGACATGTTTAAAGCCTTTATTAAGTGATCAGTGTGTATATATATATATATATATATATATATATATATATATATATATATATAAAATTAAAATTTTTTTTCTGGAGACAGGATCTCACTCTGTTGCCCAGGCTGGAGTGCAGTGGCACGACCATGACTCACTGCAGCCTCGAACTCCTAGGCTAAAGGGATCCTCCTGCCTCAGCCTCCCAACTAGATGGGATTACAGGCATGCACCACCACATTCAGATACTTTTTAAAATCTTCAAATCTTTTGTAGAGTTAGGGTCTTGCTATGTTGTCCAAGCTGGTTTTAAACTCCTGGCCTCAAGTGATCCTCCCGTCTCTTATAAGCACAAGCCACTGTGCCTGGCCTAATTTTTTTAAAATTAAACATTCTGCATATACTTAAACAGAATGTATTCTGAGGATACAGTGTTCAATATATGTACTCAATTAGATAATGTTTTGTGAAGCATTCAAATCTATATCCTTACCAACTCATTTCCTGTTTGAATAATTATCAGAAAAAGCACGTTAAAATATTACACTATAATATTGAGATTAATTATTTCTTCTGTACTTCTGTCAATGCCGCTTTCAATATTTTGAAGCTTTGTTATTTAGTGTCTTGCTATATCACAACCCCTTTTGACATCAGTACCTAGAACTGGGTTAAAATGTTTGCCTGGATTAGGGTTAGTTTTCAATGAAAAATCCTCAGCTCTGTCAACGATCTTTTCATCACCTGGGAGTTTATATCAACATACAGTTTTGGTATCAAAATCAAAGAAAGCATTAAATAAGCGAAATGTGTGAATAACACAAGTGAGATTTGTGCAAATTCATTTTTTTTAAATGATGGTGAGCGTTGTGCTTGTCCTCTTGTTGGATTCACGAAATAGAGTCACTATCAAAAGAATACATTATGGCTGAACTCGGTGGCTCATGCCTGTAGTCCCAGTACTTCGGGAGGCCAAGGCGGGTGGATCGCTTAAGGTCAGGAGTTCAAGACCAGCCTGGCCAACATGGTGACACCCCATGTCTACTAAAAATACAAAAATCAGCTGGGTGTGGGGGCAGGCACCTGTAATCCCAGCTACTTGGGAGGCTGAGGCAGGAGAATCGCTTGAACCCAGGAGGCAGAGGTTGCAGTGAGCCAAGATTGCACCACTGTACTCTAGCCTGGGCGACAGAGCAAGATTGCGTCTCAAAAAAAAACAAAAAACAAAAAAAAATTACAGAGAGACCTGTCTCTAAAAATTACAAAATGGTTCTCACCTATAAAATATTGACATGTGATAGTTCAAAATTGCTTGCTAGAAATTAAAATTACTAAGAGTTAAACTTAGGCCAGGTGCAGTGGCTCACGCCTGGATTCCCAGCACTTTGGGAGGCAGAGGCAGGTGGATCACTTGGGGTCAGGAGTTCGAGACCAGCCTGCCCAACATGGCAAACCCTGTCTCTACCAAAGAAAAAAATACAAAAATTAGCCGGGTGTGGTGGCACGCACCTGTAGTCCCAGCTACTGGGGAGGCTGAGACAGGAGAATCACTTGAACCCGGGAGGTGGAGGTCGCAGTGAGCCTAGATCATGCCACTGCACTCCAGACTGGGTAACAGAGTAAGACTCTGTTTCAAAAAAAGAGTTAAACTTCTAATTAATATATATAATTCTGTATATAAAGTGCACCAAAAAGATGTGTTTTATGAGAAAAATTATAAGAAAGGCACAAATATGTGTTATTTATTGAGAAAAAGGAATAATTTTAAGGTTATTTCAAATATGGATTTAGGAAGGAAACAGAAACAACATCCAAAGGAACCAGCAAGTATGACAGAGAGAGAGAGACAGAGATGAAGACAGTCATGGGAATGAAGATGCATTTTTGGTAAGAAATATACATATATATATATATTTTTTGAGATGGAGTCTCACTCTGTGGCCCAGGCTGGAGTGCAGTGGTGTGATCTCAGCTCACTGCAACCTCTGCCTCCTGGGTTCAAATGATTCTCCTGCCTCAGCCTCCCCAGTAGCTGGGATTACAGGCGCGTGCCACCATACCCGGCTAATTTTTGTATTTTTAGTAGACACGGGGTTTCGCCATGTTGGCCAGGCTGGTCTTGAACTCCTGACCCCAGGTGATCCACCGGCCTTGGCCTCCCAAAGTGCTGGGATTAGATTGTCCGTGGGCGCGACTGTCCGTGGGCGCTAGGGGCAGGGGTGATAGGAGCAGGTCGCGAGCGGGCGCAGCGTGGGACCGAAGGGGAGAAGGACGCCTGCGGCCCGGCGCGTCCCCGGAGGCACGTCCCCCCCAGGGCTCCGCGGCCCCGGCAACAGCGCGGGGCTACCCCTCTACGGCTCCCGCCCCACTGGGGGACCGCGACGGCCTGCTCCCGGGCTCTTGGCTCCGAGTGGAGAAGAGCGCGGAAGTGCGCACTAGCCCGACACTCGGGAGGGCCGCTGCCTCCCCAGGCGCCTGGGACAGCGGCCCGCAGCCCCCACCCGGCCCCTCGGGCCCCGCGTGCGTTTCAGCGCGCTGAGGATGCAGCACACCCCCGAGGTGCGACCGGGTCCCCGAAGCCCGGCGTCGGCCCAACCCGGAGGAGGCAGCGGCAGTCACGGGCACGCTTCCCCAACCCACCCTCCCACCCACTCTTAGGGTCAGGACACCCGCGTCCGGCCGGGGCAGGGGCGGCTCTGACCACGCGAGAAGCAGGTGCGTCCGCAGTCCCAGCTTGTGCCGGGAAGACCACCGGCCAGAACCCCGGGGGTTGGGGGTAGAGGTCGGCTAGGCTGGGGAGGGGGGCGCCCGAGGCTCCGGGTCCTGCACGGCGAGCGGGGCGGCCTCCAGGTAGGGGTGCGGCTCCGCCCACCAAGAAGAGGGTCTGGCGGGAGGTGTGGTTAGTCCCTGAGCTCCCGGCCACAGCGCGGGCTGCTGGGTGGGGTGGGGGGGGAGCGGGGGCGCCAGCACCCACGTGCGCCTGGGGCGCCTTCTGAGGAGGCCACCGCCTGTGTCGGTGTCGGCGTGGGGGCCTGGCTCCGACGGCTGGGACCATCCCTCCCAGGGCGTCCGGGGCCCAGATTCGCACTTGCCGGGCGCCCCCGGGGGCCACTGGCTGCACGGCGCTCTTTAAGGCCAACAGCCCTGAGTTCACGGGACTGAAATCGGCACAGAGAGGCCGAGGACCTGTGGTCGGGGCTCCGCGCAAGCGGTTCTCCGGTCTCCGAGGACACCGAGAGGCGGAGAGGAGGACCCTGGGTTGGGGGTGGGTAGCCGGGAGGGACCGAGCAGGCTGGTGCCCACCCTGACGCCCGAGGATCGGGGAGAGGCTGGGCCAGGGAAAAGCCGGGCGAGGGCGGATCCCCCGAGCCGATCCCCCAGACCAGCTCTCTCCGGGCGGTGCGACCCCACACTGGACCCCACTCGCCCGCGGTCGGAGGCCAAGCGTTTGCATGCGCAGCTCCCCGCGCCTCGCGAGCATCGAGCAGCTCCCTCAGGATCGCTCCTGACCTGCTGAGCTCCAGCCACAGATTTCCCACTTCCTCAGCTTTTCTCCCGCCGGCCTTGCGCTCTGGAGGTCTCGCCCCGGCGCCGCCTCCTCCAGGCAGTCCTCTAGACTGCATCCGCCATGGGCCTGGACGCTGCTCCCGGGGGCAGCCCCCGGCCAGGGCCAGGCACACCCGATTCCTGGAGCGTCCTAGGTTCCTCTAAACCCGCGGCCAGCGCAGTCTCGGGTTTCCATGACGACGACGTCGGATGGGGAACCCGGGCGGGGTCGGGTCGGAGCGCATGCGCGTTGCGCGCCGGACGCGGAACGTCTGCCGGTGTCCCCGCGCTGCTGGTCCCGGGGTCCCTGAACCGCGGTAAGGGCGGTGGTGCGGGCGTCCGAATGGGCGTTTTCTAGATACGGGGCGCGGACTAGAGGCTCGCTGGGCCCGGAGACCGGCGGACTGGAGTCGGGGAACCGGAGGTGGGGAGGGGGCTCCCGGGCCCGGGGTGGGTGGGTCCAGGGCTCCCAGGCCTGGGGCTTGGACAAGGGTCGTGGGGCCCGCGGGAGGGGACGGGGGCTCACCGGCCCGGGGCGGGCGGGGCGGGCGCCGCTGACCCCTCGCTGGCTTCAGGGCGGCCCCGCTCCCTCTGCTGGCCATGGCCCCCCCGCCCGCGTGCCGGTCCCCGATGTCACCGCCGCCGCCGCCGCTGCTGCTGCTGCTGCTGAGTCTGGCGCTGCTGGGCGCCCGGGCCCGCGCCGAGCCCGCCGGGAGTGCCGTCCCCGCGCAGAGTAGGTGCCGGGGGCCGGGTTCCGGGGAGCGGGGCGGGGCTGGCGACAGGGGCGTGCGGGGCCGGGGCTCTGCGGGGAGGACCGCGCCTCGCCTTTGTTCCCGGGAGCGGGTCCTCCCCTTCGCGGGAGATGGTGGCTTGGGGAGTGGGGACGTGCGCTCTTTGGCACTGGGTGGACGGGCCCAGAGTGCGTGGGGGCCTTGCGGGTGACCCCCCCTGCGCCCCCTCCACCCTGACCCGCGCCCCCCGCAGGCCGCCCATGCGTGGACTGCCACGCCTTCGAGTTCATGCAGCGCGCCCTGCAGGACCTGCGGAAGACAGCCTGCAGCCTGGACGCGCGGGTGAGCGCCCGCGGCGCGACGGTCCTCCCGGGCTTCCCAGGGGGTGGGGAGGGCAGGGAGGATGAGGAAGAGGCCCCCTGCGGGAGTGGAGTGTCCCTCATCCTTCACCCCGATTTAAGATGCCGCACCTTGCCCCCTTCCTCTGGCTCCAGTCATCCAAGGGGCATTCTGGGCACCTGTCTCACCTATGAGACGCCCCTCTCTCCAGCATACTCTATTTCTAGCCCCTCCCCCAGAAGGCTCTCACTGGGCACTTTGTCCTATGACCGCCACTCCTGAGGGCTGTGACAGATCTGGACCCTGGGGAAGGACTGTCAGCCCAATCCAGGATCCCCTAGGTGGGCGGCAAGGCCCCAGGGCAGAGGAGAAACTGAGGCCGGAGGATGTGGCGAAAGTGTCAGGAATGGGGGGTCAGGCTGGGCAGGGTGGTCTGGATCCTGGGTGGATGCACAGGTTGGTTAAGGCCCCTCCAAGCCTGGATGAACAGGGAGCCCCCACGCCATGGGGTGCAGCCAAGGAGTTTTTGTTTGTGCCGGGGCTCAAGCTTCTTCCTGGAAAGGGAGAATTCTAGGAAGGAGAAAGCAGGGAAGACCCTGCCTGGTCCCACCCCCCACCAGCCCTAGTGTCCTTCTTGGGAACACTCCAGAGGGCTCCGACTAAGACCTGGAGCCCTCTCCCCACTCACAGAGCCTGGAACTGAGCTCTTGGGAGGAGCAGCCCCCACCTATCCTTAGGCATGAGGGTGGCAGGGAGTGGGGGACAGTGGACCCCTGCGGGTGGTGTGGGAGCTGGAAGAAGGCAGGTGGGCACGCTGGCATGGCGTGGGCACCAGCAGACCCCAGGCAGGCCCCACCAGTGGGAGCCACTGCAGAGGAAAGAGATGAGTGGGAGGCTCTGGGTGTGGGGGTTAGAGCCAGGGCCTGACCTTGTCTGTCTCAGGAGCCGGTGGAGATAGGGCTGCCTTGGGTGGGTGGAGGCCCAGGGGAATGCCAGTGGGCAGCTGGGCTGCACCCTCACCCCTCTTGTTGCTTTGCAGACGGAGACCCTACTGCTGCAGGCAGAGCGCCGTGCCCTGTGTGCCTGCTGGCCAGCGGGGCACTGAGGACCACGCTGCTCCGTGTGAATAAATGCCCAGTGGCACGCCTGTGTCCTGTCTCTCTGTTCTGGCCACCAGAGCCCCTGCGTCGCCCCCGGCAGTCCTGGGTTGGGCCCCTCTCTGGGCTTGGGTTTCCCCAGCTGTTCCAGCTGGGCGAGCCCTCTTGGCTGCTGTCCCATACCAGTGCCCGTGCGGAGAGGTGGACACACACGTCCGACCTCAGTGACCTGTGCTTCCTCGTACCTGCTCCCCTGCCTGCCTCCCCTTGTTTTGAGGCTGGGGAAGTGTAGAAATCGGCCTGACCCCCCTGAGCCCCCAGAGCAGCTGCCCCAGGGCTGAGCCCCTCCAGGCTCCTGCACCACTGAACTGGTGGACCAGCTGCCTGAGACTGTGGGAGACAGAGGGTCCCGGGGAGAGAGGGCAGGGCCACCCCACACAGCATCATCTCCCCTGCCAGCTCCCACCTGCAGCCCTGAGCCTGGACCCTGGTCACTGGGGAGCTCTGGATGGGAACTTGATGAGGCCGTACTGCCATCCACACACCTGTGCACACAGCACCCAGGTGACCTCCAGCTGAAGCGGGCACCTCCCTCTTTTCATTCATTCTGTAAATGCTTTTTCAGTAAAATTAGAGCCTTTTATCAAAGTAATGCAGGAACATGGTTAGGAACAAATCCAGGTGAACAGCAGGCTGGAGGTGACTGCCAGGTGCCCTAGGTGGGACTTGGCCTCTGGGGCTTTGGTTCCCTGGCCCTGGGGCCCCAAGCCCTGCCCTGCCTCGGGCGGGTGGAGCTGGACGTGCCTGGTATCCACAGTGAACAGAGTCCTCCCTTGGAGCTGGCACACGTGGAGAGACTGAGTCAGGTGTCCAGCCGGGAGGATGTCTGCGCCCTCTAATGCAGGCCAGGGAGAGCAGGGGCCTGAGGTCACTGCAGGCCCAGGCAGGGTGGGGTGTGGGGCAGGAACCAGTGCCGGCCACCAGCACCTGCTCAGAGGCTGGGAGGCTGGGCCATGTCTTTGGGGGCATGGCCTGGGTGGTGCTCATGTCCCATTGGTCAGCCTTCCTCACGCCTTTCTAGCTGCAAGGGAGGCCAGGAACATAGCCCTATTTCTAGGCTTATATTGACAGATTTAGGCAATCAAGTCCAGGAACAGCCAGATTCCTGTTTATCCCTGCAGTGTTAGGGATTCCTCACACTAAATATTGTTTATCCAAAATTCAAATATAACTCAGTGTCCTGTGTTATGGGCAGCTGTGTGCCCTGGCACAGGGTGAGGTCTCCATTACTATAAAAGATGGGGTCTGGGGCACACTCGTCACACACGCCCTGGGGAGGTGCCCTCTGGGATTCAGTGGGGGCAGGAGCCAGGCTTGGCTGTGGGACACTGGGTGGAGAGGCCTCCCCCTAGGCCTTGCGGGGCTGGGGCAAGGACAAGGTTTGGTAACGGGAGCTTCTGGCTGCCGGTAGGGAAGGGACTTGCGGGGCTTGTGAGGAGGTGACGGCAGACTGAGAAGGACAGCAGCCCCACGGCAGCAGAGGGTAAGAGGCCGCTGGATTCCGGGTGTGTTTGCAGGTAGAGCCTGTGGGATTTGGGTGGGGGGTGGGAGTGGTCATGGGGGTCCGGGAGGCCACTGGGGAGGTACGCCTGTAAAAGGAGCTGGAGAGAGAAGTCTGGGATCCCCTGTGGCCTGTTTGGGGGCAGAGGAGAGAAGAGGGCCCCTAGGGGTGACGAGCAGCTGTGAAGCAGGAAGAGAACTGAGCTGCGTCCCGGGCAGCCACAGCTGTGTCTCATGCCACCAAGGCCAAGCAAGGCAAGAGGACCACAGGGTCCATGAAGAGCGGGGAAGGCCTCGGAGGAGCAGAGCGGAGGGAGCCTGGCCACAAGCGTGGGCAGGGCCAGTGGCATTCACACTCAGTCCTGGAGCCATGGCGCAGCTTTCCTGCCAGGGGCTCAGCAACTCAGGGATGAGTCAACCCTGGCATGGCCGAGCAGTGACCTGGCACTGCAGTCTCTTTCTGGGACACCTTTTCTTTTCCTGGACCTGCTATTTCCCTGATCTTCCCTGCATTCCGCCCTTATGTCTGTAGCTTCTCCAGTGTCAGGGCATCCCCTTGGTCCAGGGCCTCTCCCTGTGTTCCCTGTGGGCCCTGCCTTCCTCCCTGACCGCTGGGTATCCCCACTGCCCACCTGCACTCCAGCCCAGAGCCGCCTTTCTCTGGATCCTATGTCCTCTTCTCCCTGCTGCCATGTAGAAAAGCGTGTGGGAGGGACACTGTGTCTGCTTGTCTGGAAGGCGGCTGCTGCCACAGTCCATCTGCAGGTCACCCTTCCTACCGCAGGGCCTGTGCATGTGCCCTCTGCAGGGACGCATCCCTTGCCCTGGGACCGGCCTCACTCTGCAGCCCTGTGTCCCTCCTTAAATAGTTTATTTTTAAGAGAGGGCCTTGCTCTGTCGCCCAGGCTGGAATGCAGTGGCCTCATCACAGCTCCCTGCAGCCTCAACCTCCCAGGCTCAAGCAATCCTCCTCACTGGGCCTCCTGAGTAGTGGGGCCCACAGTGCCGGTACCAGCCCACAGAGCCCAGAGCCTGTAGCTGGGTCCCCAGCGCACGCCGACACACCCAGCCCCGCATTTTCTTCTAAGCGTTTGTCCCTGAGGGGTCCCGGGGTGTTTGTTTCTTTCCTCCCTGCCACCCCACACTGGATTGTGAAGCCCAGGAGGGTGAGATCTGCTCTTCCCAGGCGCCCCTGCAGGCCGCGCGCTCCCCCAGTGGAAGCTGCAGGGAGGCTGCCTGGGCCAGGGCTCTGGGAGGAGCTGGCTACAGGGGTCCCCCGCAGCCCCTCCCTTCCTGCTCTGGGGGTCTTTGGGACGCAGGGCTGCATGGGGTGTGGTTTTGGGCCATCTTCCCATGGAAGATGCGGGGTAGGGCGAGCCTGGGGCCTTGGGCGCCTTTCTGCCACTCCCACCTCCCGGCCTCCTGTGGAGCCCCGTTAGGCGCCCTGTGGGCCTGGGGACCGTTTTGCTTTTCCTCCTTCTTCCTCTGGCCTCCCGGTCTGTAGTTCCACTTCATAAGAGACCTCGGCCCGCCCCCCGCCCCGTCTCACCCGCAGCTCCGTTCCACCCCGCCCTGCTCCCTCCCACCGTGGCCAGACCCGCGCCGTCCTGGGGTTCCCCTGGGCTGCTCGGCGGCTCCCCGCGCCCCTGTTCTTCCTCCCCACGGACTCGGGCTCGGGGCGTTCGCGGCGGGATAGGAGCGCCCCGACGGCGTTGGAGGAGACCCCGCAAGTCCGGCCTGGGCGTGGGCTCGCGGGTCCCCGCTCTGCCGTGGGTGGGGCTGCACTGCCCACGTCCGCTGCGTTGGGTGTGCCCTCCTCGAACCTGAGTATCCAAGCGGCGGAGGCCCGGGCGCCTCTCAGCTTGGCATCTGAAATCCGGACGGTCTCGGCCGCTCCGCTCCCAGGAAGGCGAGGCCTGCATGGGCCAGGCGGGGCGCGGGGGCAACTGGGGCAGGGGCAGGGGTCTCCGGTGAGGAGGGCGCTCAGGGAAGCAGGAGACAGAGGCGGAGGTGGGCGGCCAGGGAGGACCGACAGGTCTGGGTTTCCGCTCTTGCCCCACAGGCTGACCTGACCGAGCCTCAGTTTCCTCCTCTGTAAAATGGGCCCTTGGCGACAGCCTGGGGCTGATATAGGCGCTCTGCTGCTGGCGCTGGGAGCACCGTGTGGCCTACGGGGTTCTCCCCTTGTCGTGGGGAGGGGCTCTAGGCCCCCCAGCCCCCACCCAGAGCAAGTACCATGGTCTCCCAGACCTTCCAGGCTGCTTCCTGGAGCCCAGCCCTGACCCTTCCAAGCTGACGGTGTTCTGGTGCCTTCCAGGTACCTATGAACCCGGGGCTGGAGCACAGGCCTCAGCTGACCATCAGGGCTACTGGGGGTCACATGGCCACGGGCTTTGGGTGACTTGTAGGGGCTGGAGGGTGAGGCCAGGCAGGCTGGTGGGAGGGAGTCTGCAGATGGAGACTGGAAGGGCCACCAAGGCGTGCTGAGCAGGCCTCTGTCTCTGGGCCTGGCTGCTGGGGCCGAGCAGTGGCAGGCTCAGGCTGAGGCTGTGGGGATGAGGTGGAGAGGGCAGGGGCCGGCAGAGGCTGTGGCCCTGTAAGGGCTGGACCGCTCTCCTCAGAGGTCACTCAGGCCTTGGGGTCTGGGTGGGGACACTGCTCAGGAGCTCCTGGACAGTGACCATGGCTTCTCCCCTCTCCTGGCCCCCATCAGAAGCATGACAGCCTGTTCCCCCAGTCTCTGCTCTGGAGCCCCAGGCCCCCATTCAAAGCCCAGCCTCATCTTCCTCCAGCCCCCTGGCTCTCCAGGCGCGCCAGCCCCTCACTTGCCTCCACTGCCTGGTTTTTCCTGCCCGGACCCCTTGCGTGCTGATCCCTCTGCTGGGACGCCCTTCCTGCCGTCCACGTGGCCGACCTTAGGACGACACTGCGGAGCTGCCCCTGTGGCTGGGCAGGGACCCTGGTCAGCACTTGAGCGTCGGGTGCAGGGGTTGTTGAATGGATCAGCGAGTTCCTTCGAGATTGTCCATGACCCACGTTGCCTCCCTGGAAGGCGTGAACCTAAAGGGTTGCCCTGACCCTGTGCCCCGGCGCCGCAGTCCTCAAACCTGGCTCCGGTAAACTCTCCACTTCACATTAATTTTGCCTCAGTTTTTTCCCTTTAGGTCAACATATCTGGCATAAGTCAGCAGGCTTCAGTGACCCTCTTCCCTGACCACCTGGGGCTCCTTCCAGGACTTGGGGGTGGTATGAGCAGGAACCCACCATGCTCCCCTCACTCCAGAGGTTTCCTGGGTGCACAGGGGTGAGTCCTCCTGAATTCAGAGCTTTGTTTTCTTTTTGGTTGACATCTAGATTTTATTTGGAGTGTTTTTTAAACCTGCTTTTAACAGAAAGAGGGCTTCAGTCTCTGTCTTTGGACAGGGGACTCAGATAAACAGAGAACTCCGCCTTCTCTGCCACTGCCTCAGGGCAACGGGTTTAGGGCCTGGTATGGGCACCAGTCTGGCACTGGTGGTTTCACATCTTTGGGCCTAAAGTTACACAGCAAGCTTTAAAAATTGCAACTGCTGGGCTGGGCGCGGTGGCTCATGCGTGTAATCTCAGCACTTTGAGAGGCCAAAGTGGATGAATCACCTGAGGTCAGGAGTTCAAGACCAGCCTAGCCAATATGGCGAAACCCCATCTCTACCCAAAATAAAAAAATTAGCTAGGCACAGTGGCACGCACCTGTAATTCCAGCTGCTCGGGAGGCTGAGACATGAGAATCGCTTCAACTCAGGAGGCAGAAGTTGCAGTGAGCCAAGATGGTGCCATCGCACTCTAGCCCGGGCAACACAGCGAGACTCTGTCTCAAAATAATAATAATAATAATAATAATAATAATAATAACAACAACAACAATTTCAACTGCTCCCCGTTGCCTGTAGTTCAGACTTGTCTTTTCATTTGGGGCCAGTTCCTGTCTGTCCTATGTGGGAAGGTGCATGAGGGTGAGTTGCCTCACCCCAAAGAGAAGAGTCGGTTGCTGTCTGCGACCCATGCAGGTGCTCTGGGCAACCAGAGACTTGGCAGAGATGTCAGAACTGTTGTCCTGGGTGCGCGGTGGCCTCACAGGACACCCCTCACAGGAGAACATTTCTGTAACTCCCACTTATCTGGAAAGGTATAAATAAGGGCCTGGTCACGCCACTACCTAGAGTCCCTGACTCTCAGTTGACACCCTGAGGAGTGGCTCATTAGCAGCGCACTTCACCCCAAAACACATCCCCAGCCTTGGTCACTTTTGAAAAGTTCCTAAATTATGGGAAACCAAGCTTCAAAATCTGAGCATTCTTTTCCTTTTCTATTTTTCTTTCTTAAAACAATTTTTTGTGAGACAAGTTCTGGCTGTATCGCCCAGGCTAGAGTGCAGTGGCACGATCTCAGCTCACTGCAGCTTCCACCTTCCAGGCTCAGGCCATCCTCTCACCTGAGTAGCTGGGGCTACAGGCATGCACCACCACACCTAATTTTTATACTTTTTGTAGAGATGGGGTTTCACCATGTTGCCCCGACTGGTCTTGAACTTGTGAGCTCAAGCGATCTGCCCACTTTGGCCTCCCAAAGGGCTGGAATTCCAGGCACGAGCCACGGCGCCTGACCAAAAGCTGAGCACTGTTTTAAGGGACAACTGCCTTAAGAAACAGCAGCTGGTTTTATGTACAACACCTGTGAGGCATCCTTTTGTAAATATCTAGGGAAATGGACCCACATAGCCCGGGATGGTCATCAGCAGTAATGGCTGAAATGGGGGTCCTTTGAAATGGCTAAAATAATTTATTTGTGTGCACAGTTGGAAAAGGTGATTTTAGAACCAGACTGATGGAAGACCTACTTTCTGTTTATCCTGACTGAAATCTGATAATAAGAGGTTTGAAGGGATTTTTTTTTAAGAGCTCTATGGTCAGAAGTCAGCCTAATTAAAAGCTAACATTCAGCCACGTGGGCAGTATAGCAAGACCCGGTCTCTACAAAAAATTTTTTAAAAATTAGCCAGGCATGGTAGCACACGCCTGTCATCTCAGCTACTCTGGGGGTGGAGGCAGGAGGATCACTTGAGCCCAGGAGTTTGAGGCTGTGGTGAGTTGTTTGTGCCACTGCACTCCAGCCTGGGCAACAGAGTGAGATCCCATCTCTTTAAAAAATTAAATTTGAGCTACACACACACACACACACACACACACACACACACACACACACACACATTTTTAAAGGCCTTTCTGTATTTTTGTTTTGTTTTGTTTTTTGTTTTGGCAGACACAGAGTCTTGCTACGTTACCTAAGCTGGTCTCAAATTCTTCGGCTCAAGTGATCCTCCTGCCTCAGCTTCCCTAAGTGCTGACACTTCTTACCTGGATCCTGTTGCTGGGATTTTTTCAGTCGACTGAAACCCCTTTTAAAATAAGTTTGGTCCCTTTGTTTGCTTTTCTTGTCGGCATGAGTTTGCTGCGAAAAATGTAAAACGTCACTGACCTTTTAGAAAGCCTAAAATCTTGAGAACCGGCTCCTCTGTGACGCCTTCCGTTTTCCTCTGCTTGTGCTTCTCCTGCCTTGTACCATCTTCAGTACCACATAGGAGACTTCTAGCAGCCTGAGACCTCTTGAGGAACACAGAAAACGGCCACGCACACCCTGTTTTGGGGGCCTTCTGCCTTTCTCACGGAGTCTCGAGAGTCCTGGGCAGGCCCCTCTCAGGCCGAAAGCTCTGCTGTCTTTTGCATTGCGTTACCTGATCTCTTTGGCTTTGCGCGTTCCAGGGATTACTTTGTACTATGAGAGAGAACTTGACCTTCATGTGCCATGGCTGACAAGTCACTGGCGAAAGCCCATCCCCAAAGTCACTGGGAGGTAGCTGGCAGCGGCTGTAGTGAATGGTTATTATGGCAGGGGCTACTTGTTTCTCTGTGCATTTAGATAAGAAAGGTGCAGTTTGGGCCCCTGGAGGCTATGGGAAGTCTTGCCACCAAGGTAAAAGACTCCTGGGGTGACGGGCTGATCACGGGGTGGGCTGATTGGTGTTGGGTCACCCACCAGCCTTGGGAGAATGTCTTCGTAGCGTGGCACACTGTGGAAACACCGTGTGGCCCGGTCCCATGGGGTTTCTTCTCTTGGGGGACTGGGGATTTGGTGTAAAGATGGGATCCTGGATACTTAAAGATCTGGATGCTGTGCCTTCCAGCTGTGCCTGCTCTTCGCATATTTAAACAGCAGCTCCTGAACGCTGCAGATGCTTTCTGTGCCCTGTTCACTAAAGGGGTCTGCCAGAATGCAACTTTCTGATGTTTAGCTGGCTATGTTGAGACTCTGTAAAAGACATGGACATCTATAAAGGAAATCTCCATTTCTAAGGACATCTCTTTCTCTAAACCACTAGAAACTTTGAGGATAAGGAAGATATTGACTTAACATTTACATTTACATAGCAAGTCTTACTTTTGTTTAAGATACTTTTACTGGGCAGGGCGCGGTGGCTCATGCCTGTAATCCCAGCACTTTGGGAGGCCGAGGCAGGCGGATCACCTGAGGTCGGGAGTTCGAGAACAGCCTGACCAACATGGAGAAACCCTGTCTCTACTAAAAATACAAAATTAGCCGGGTGTGGTCGTGGGCGCCTGTAATCCCAGCTACTCAGGAGGCTGAGGCAGGAGAATGGCTTGAACCCGGGAGGCGGAGGTTGCAGTGAGCCGAGATCGTGCCATTGCACTCCAGCCTGGGCAACAAGAGCAAAACTCCATCTCAAAAAAAAAGATACTTTTCCTGGTATTTTAAAATTTTTTATTTCATTTTATTTATGGTTTTTTTTTTTTTTGACAGAGACGGGGCTTCACTCTGTCATGCAGGCTGGAGTGCAGTGGCACGATCATAGCTCACTGCAGCTTTGAACATGTGGGCTCAAGGGATCCTCCCACCTCAGCCTCCTGGGTAGCTACATGCATGTGCCACCACACCTGGCTAATTAAAAAAAATTTTTTTTTTAGAAATGGGGTTTCACAATGTTGCCCAGGCTGGTCTCGAACTCCTGGCCTCAAGCAATGCGGTGTTGTCTTGACCTAATTATCTGTGCTCTTTTTTGTCTCAGGAAATAACAGTGTTTAGCTCTAAGTTCTGTGCCTTTGAGATATACATTTTCTACCTTGTTTCTCCTAAGAATCACGTCTTTGGAAGTATAAGTTGAGGGTTTCTTAGCTAACGATTGTTAAGGGCAGTGGAACAGGTAATCAAGAGACTGATAGTCTAAAGGGGGTCGAGAAACAATTTGAAAACTGACAGATGAAGAATCTTATACCCCTACAGGATCTGCTTCTGTCTGTGTGTCTCTATGTCTCTATGTTTATGTGTCATATGCATGTGATATTTCACTACCAACGGGTATGAAGGTGCTCTAGTTAATTAACCAATTCACCAATTAGTTACTTGGTTTAAAGAAAAAGTAGGTGTTAAATAAAATATTTTATCAGAAAAATAGAAACCAACTCAACTGCCTTTGAGTTCACATGACTTGAGGAAACCTCTGGTAGGTAAGACTACTTTGATACTGTTAGTTAGAGGAAAACAACGGTGTCTTCTGATTGGTGAAATGCCTGTGTTTGAAACTTTGGGGTTCTCACTTATGTGGTCACTGCCTCACATTTTCAGGCTGTAAAAATTATTAAAAAGGAAATAACTTGAGATGATGGCTAGCTTTGTTTAATGGACAAATCAAGCATAATAGTTAAGAATGAGTAAAGTTGGCTGGGCACGGTGGCTCACGCCTGCAATCCCAGCACTTTGGGAGGCCAAGGTGGGCGGATCACCTGAGGTAGGGAGTTCGAGACCAGCCTGACCAACATGGAGAAACCCTGTCTCTACTAAAAATACAAAATTAGCTGGGTGTGGTGGCGCATGCCTGTAATCCCAGCTACTTGGGAGGCTGAGGCAGGAAAATTGCTGGAACCTAGAAGGCAGAGGTTGCAGTGAGCTGAGATTGCACCATTGCACTCCAGCCTGGGCAACAAGAGCGAAGCTCCATCTCAAAAAAAAAAAAAAAAAAAAAAAAAGAAGAAGAATGAGTAAAGTGAATGTAAATGGGATAAAAATTTATAAGTGAACTTTTCATAGTTACAAAAGTATTTTTACTTTTTTTTTTTTTTGAGATGGAGTCTTGCTCTGTCGCCCAGGCTGCAGTGCAGTGGCGTGATCTCGGCTCACTGCAAGCTCCCCCTCCCAGGTTCACGCCATTCTCCTGCCTCAGCCTCCCAAGTAGCTGGGACTACAGGTGCCCACCACCACGCCTGGCTAATGTTTTGTATTTTTAGTAGAGACAGGGTTTCACCATGTTAGCCAGGATGGTCTCAATCTCCTGACCTCGTGATCCACCCGCCTCAGCCTCCCAAAGTGCTGGGATTACAGGCATGAGCCACCGCGTCTGGCAGTATTTTTACTTTTTTAAAAATAGGATCTTGTGCTGTTGTCTAGGTTAGAATGCAGTGGCGCAATCATAGCTCATTGCAGCCTTGAACTCCTGGGCTCAAGTGATCCTCCTGCCTCAGCCTTCTAAGTTACCAGATTTGCAGGTTCCATTGTACCTGGCTTAAAAATCTTTTTCAGTAACTTAATATTAAAATCATGTTATGTTAAATTAATAGGTAATAATTGTATTAGTCTGTTTTCACACTGCTGTAAAGAACCACCGAGACTGGGAAATTTATGAAGAAAAGAGGTTTGATGGACTCACAGTTCTGCAGGCTGTACAGGAAGCATGACTGGGAAGCCTCAGGAGACTGACACTCACGGCAGAAGGTGAAGGGGAAGGTAGGCACATCTTCCCATGGCAGAGCGGGGAAGAGAGACAGAGAGTGAAGGGGGAAGCACCACACACTTTTAAACCAGCAGATCTCGTGAGAACTCACTCACTATCGTGAGAACACCAACGGGGAAATCCACCCCCATGATCCAGTCACCTCCCACCAGGCCCCTCCCCGACACATGGGGATCACAATTGAACATAAGATTTGGGTGGGGACACAGAGCCAAACCATATCAATCA